>NC_000008.11:43484345-43784345 GCF_000001405.40 Homo sapiens
TCTCAGGATACAAAATCAACGTGCAAAAATCACAAGCATTCTTATACACCAACAACAGACAAACAGAGAGCCAAATCATGAGTGAACTCCCATTCACAATTGCTTCAAAGAGAATAAAATTCTTAGGAATCCAACTTACAAGGGACATGAAGGACCTCTTCAAGGAGAACTACAAACCACTGCTCAATGAAATGAAAGCGGATACAAACAAATGGAAGAATATTCCATGCTCATGGGTAGGAAGAATCAAAATCCTGAAAATGGCCATACTGCCCAAGGTAATTTATAGATTCAATGCCATCCCCATCAAGCTACCAATGACTTTCTTCACAGAATTGGAAAAAACTATTTTAAAGTTCATATGGAACCAAAAAAGAGCGCACATTGCTAAGTCAATCCAAAGCCAAAGAACAAAGCTGGAGGCATCACACTACCTGACTTCAAACTATACTACAAGGCTACAGTAACCAAAACAGCATGGTACTGGTACCAAAACAGAGATATAGAACAATGGAACAGAACAGAGCCCTCAGAAATAATGCTGCACATCTACAACTATCTGATCTTTGACAAACCTGAGAAAAACAAGCAATGGGGAAAGGATTCCCTATTTAATAAATGGTGCCGGGAAAACTGGCTAGCCATATGTAGAAAGCTGAAACTGGATCCCTTCCTTAAACCTTATACAAAAATTAATTCAAGATGGATTAAAGACTTAAGTGTTAGACCTAAAACCATAAAAACCCTGGAAGAAAATGTAGACAATACCATTCAGGACATAGGCATGGGCAAGAACTTTATGTCTAAAACACCAAAAGCAATGACAACACAAGCCAAAATTGATGAATGGGATCTAATTAAACTAAAGAGCTTCTGCACAGCAAAAGAAACTACCATCAGAGTGAACAAGCAACCTACGGAATGGGAGAAAATTTTTGCCATCTACTCTTCTGACAAAGGGCTAATATCCAAAATCTACAATGAACTCAAACAAATTTACAGGAAAAAACAACCCTATCAAAAAGTGAGCGAAGGATATTAACAGCCACCTCTCAAAAGAAGACATTTATGCAGCCAACAGACTCATGAAAAAATGCTCATCATCACTGGCCATCAGAGAAATGCAAATCACAACCACAATGAGATACCATCTCACACCAGTTAGAATGGTGATCATCAAAAAGTCAGGAAACAACAGGTGCTGGAGAGGATGTGGAGAAATAGGAACACTTTTACCCTGTTGGTGGGACTGTAAACTAGTTCAACCATTGTGGAAGTCAGTGTGGCAATTCCTCAGGGATCTAGAACTAGAAATGCCATTTGACCCAGCCATCCCATTACTGAGCATATACCCAAAGGACTATAAATCATGCTGCTATAACGACACATGCACACGTATGTTTATTGAGGCACTATTCTCAATAGCAAAGACTTGGAACCAACCCAAATGTCCAACAATGATAGACTGGATTAAGAAACTGTGGCACGTATACACCATGGAATACTATGCAGCCATAAAAAATGGGGAGTTCATGTCCTTTTAGGGACACGGATGAAGCTGGAAACCATCATCCTCAGCAAACTATTGCAAGGACGAAAAACCAAACACCGCATGTTCTCACTCATAAGTGGGAATCGAACAATGAGAACACATGAACACAGGAAGGGGAACATCACACACCGGGGCCTGTTGTGGGGTGGGGGGAGGGGGAGGGATAGCATTAGGAGATATACCTAATGTTAAATGACGAATTACTGGGTGCAGCACACCAACATGGCACATGTATACATATGTAACTAACCTGCACGTTATGCACATGTACCCTAAAACTTAAAGTATAATAAAAAAAATTATCCACCAGGCGTGGTGGCTCATGCCTGTAATCCCAGCACTTTGGGAGGCTAAGGCAGGCGGATCATGAGGTCAGGAGTTTGAGACCAGCCTGTCCAATATGATGAAACCCCGTCTCTTCTAAAAATACAAAAATTAGTTGGGCATCATGGCAATTGCCTGTAATTCCAGCTATTCAGGAGCCTGAGTCAGGAGAATCACTTGAACCCAGGAGGCAGAGATTGTAGTGAACTGAGATTGTGCCACTGCACTCCAGCCTGGGTGACAGAATGACACTCTGTCTCAAAAAAAAATTGTTAAATTTTCGTAACAACCTATTGAAATAAGGCAGCAAAATCCTCACTTTGTAGAAGAAGACATTGAGCCTATGAGAAGTAGGTTCTCCAAGAACAAATAGCTGTTCATTATGGAGCTAGGCCTTATGCAGAGTTGGGACACTTTCTATTATGTCAAGCTAAGGCAAGTTAATTTACTGAGTCACAGTGCCCTCGATTTATGAGTATTTCACCTTTTTTTCTCTTTAATTAGAAGCTTATTGAGAAGCTTGTGGAATGTAGGCGTAAGTGTATTGGATAATTAAAGTTTTGATATTCTGATATTGTTGGAACTACTTGAAGAATTTAACATTTGGTAAGTATTTTTCATATGAGTATTAAAATAGTAATTTTACTTATTATATGTTTATACATAGAATTTGTCAATTACTTTCTGACTACAAAGACAAACAGATACAAAAAAGCCGTTCTCTCAACAGCAATCCAAGTAAGACTTCTGACAGTGAATTACTCTAGGTCAGTGGTTCCCACTCTTTTTGGCACCAGGGACCGGTTTTGTGGACGACAATTTTTCCATGGACTGGAGGAAGGAGGGGATGGTCTTGGGATGATTCCAGCACATTACATTTATTGTGCTACTTTATATTATTATATTGTAATATATAATGAAATAATGATACAACTCTCCATAATGTAGAGTTAGTGAGATCCCTGAACTTGTTTTCCTGTCACTGGATGTTCTCATCTGGAGGCAATGGGAGAAAGTGACAGATCATCAGGCATTGGATTCTCATAAGAAGCACACAACCTAGATCCCTAGCATGTACAGTTTATAGCAGGGTTCATGCTCCAATGAGTATCTAATTCTACCTCTGATCTGACAGGAGGTGGAGCTCAAGTGGGAATAGGAGAAATGGGGTGTGGCTGTATATACAGATAAAGCTTTGCTGGCTTACCTGCCACTCACCTCTTGCTGTGTGGCCTGGTTCCTAACAGGCCATGGGCTGGTACCAGTTTGTTGCCCAGGAGTTGTGGACCCCTGCGCTAGGTGGTCCTACCATAGATAAGAAAGTAAAAGTAAGGAAGTTTTTATCACAAAAAAAAAACAGTTTGAAAAATCACTGTGTATAAATTGCATGTATATATTTTACAATTTTTTTTGAGAGTAGGTTCGATTTCAGAATTATTTAAAAATTTCATTTTAGGTGATTTATAATTTCAAATATCTGAAAAATTTAATTATGGTCTCTAAAATCTTGTATAATATTTTTATGTAAATAAGAAAAACACAAGTTAGTACATGGTATATCTTTTTTACGGTCACATGATAACAAATTGGACTTGTTATACAATTGAATCTTCTATTTAATTATTTAAATAAATGGTTTGCTTTGAGCAAATGAATGTTAATTACAGTTGACCCTTGAACAGTGTAGGACTTAGGGGTACCAATCCTCCATGCAGCCAAAAATCTATGTATAACTTTTGACTTCCCTCATAACTTAACTACTAATAGCCTACTGTTGACCAGAAGCCTTATTGGTAACACAGTCAGTTAAGATGATATTTGGTGTGTTATAAGTATTGTATGTTGTATTTGTACAATAAACTGGAGAAAAGAAACTGTCGGGAAGAAAAAATATAATTAATATCAAGTGGAAGTGGATCATCATAAATGTCTTCATCCTTAATCTTCAAGTTGAATAGGCTGAAGAGGAGAAAGAGGGAGGTTGGGCTTGCTGTCTGAGGTGACAGAGGTAGAAGAAAATCTGCATATGAGTAGTAGACCCCTACAGTTCAAGCCTGTGTTGGTCAAAGGTTAGCTATATTACACTGAGGTTTGTGTCACTAAAAAAGTAACTATCTTTAAAAGTGGAAACTCAGCAATACCTTTCTAATACCATAAGCAAATGAGAATGAGAACTGCAAGACTTAGTCAGTGTGCAGCAACACCAATGAGAAATTATTTTTTTTAAAGATACCTACAGAAGTGTCCCTGTCTGACAGCTTTGAAGAGAGCAGTGGTTTTCCCAGCATGCAGCTGGAGATCTGAGAATGGGCAGACTGCCTCCTCAAGTGGGTACCTGACCCCTGACCCCTGAGCAGCCTAACTGGGAGGCACCCCCCAGCAGGGGCAGACTGACATCTCACACATCTGGCCAGGTACTCCAACAGACCTGCAGCTGAGGGTCTTGTGTGTTAGAAGGAAAACTAACGAACAGAAAGGACATCCACACCAAAAACCCATCTGTACATCACCATCATCAAAGACCAAAAGTAGATAAAACCACAAAGATGGGGAAAAAACAGAGCAGAAAAACTGGAAACTCTAAAAAGCAGAGTGCCTCTCCACCTCCAAAGGAACGCAGTTCCTCACCAGCAATGGAACAAATCTGGACGGAGAATGACTTTGACGAGCTGAGAGAAGAAAGCTTCAGATGATCAAATTACTCCAAGCTACGGGAGGACATTCAAATCAAAGGCAAAGAAGCTGAAAACTTTGAAAAAAATTTAGGAGAATGTATAACTAGAATAACCAATACAGAGAAGTGCTTAAAGGAGCTGATGGAGCTGAAAACCAAGGCTCGAGAACTACCTGAAGAATGCAGAAGCCTCAGGAGCCAATGCAATCAACTGGAAGAAAGGGTATCAGCGATGGAAGATGAAATGAATGAAATGAAGTGAGAAGGGAAGTTTAGAGAAAAAAACAATAAAAAGAAACGAGCAAAGCCTCCAAGAAATATGGGACTATGTCAAAAGACCAAATCTACATCTGATTGGTGTACCTGAAAGTGACGGAGAGAATGGAACCAAGTTGGAAAACACTCTGAAGAATATTATCCAGGAGAACTTCCCCAATCTAGCAAGGCAGGCCAACATTCACATTCAGGAAATACGGAGAATGCCGCAAAGATACTCCTTGAGAAGAGCAACTCCAAGACACATAATTGTCAGATTCACCAAAGTTGAAATGAAGGAAAAAATGTTAAAGGCAGCCAAGGAGATAGGTCGGGTTACCCACAAAGGGAAGCCCATCAGACTAACAGCGGATCTCTCAGCAGAAATTCTACAAGCCAGAAGAGAGTGGGGGCCAATATTCAACATTCTTAAAGAAAAGAATTTTCAATCCAGAATTTCATATCCAGCCAAACTAATCTTCATAAGTGAAGGAGAAATAAAATACTTTACAGACAAGCAAATGCTGAGAGATTTCGTCACCACCAGGCCTGTCCTAAAAGTGCTCTTGAAGGAAGCACTAAACATGGAAAGGAACAACCGGTACCAGCCACTGCAAAATCATGCCAAAATGTAAAGACCATCGATGCTAGGAAGAAACTGCATGAACTAATGAGCAAAATAACCAGCTAACATCATAATGGCAGGATCAAATTCACACATAACAATATTAACTTTAAATGTAAATGGACTAAATGCTCCAATTAAAAGACACAGACTGGCAAATTGGATAAGGAGTCAAGACCCATCAGTGTGCTGTATTCAGGAAACCCATCTCACGTGCAGAGACACATATAGGCTCAAAATAAAAGGATGGAGGAAGATCTATCAAGCAAATGGAAAACAAAAAAAGGCAGGGGTTGCAATCCTAGTCTCTGATAAAACAGACATTAAACCAACAATGATCAAAAGAGACAAAGAAGGCCATTACATAATGGTAAAGGGATCAATTCAACAAGAAGAGCTAACTATCCTAAATATATATGCACCCAATACTGGAGCACCCCAATTCATAAAGCAAGTTCTGAGTGACCTACAAAGAGACTTACACTCCCACACATTAATAATGGGAGACTTTAACACCCCACTGTCAACATTAGACAGATCATTGAGACAGAAAGTCAATAAGGATACCCAGGAATTGAACTCAGCTCTGCACCCAGTGGACCTAATAGACATCTACAGAACTCTCCACCCCAAATCAACAGAGTATACATTTTTTCAGCACCACACCACACCTATTCCAAAATTGACCACATACTTGGAAGTAAAACTCTCCTCAGCAAATGTAAAAGAACAGAAATTATAACAAACTGTCTCTCAGACCACAGTGCAATCAAACTAGAACTCAGGATTAAGAATCTCATTCAAAAACGCTCAACTACATGGAAACTGAACAACCTGCTCCTGAATGACTACTGGGTACATAACGAAATAAAGGCAGAAATAAAGATGTTCTTTGAAACCAACGAGAACAAAGACACAACATACCAGAATCTCTGGGACGCACTCAAAGCAGTGTGTAGAGGGAAATTTATAGCACTAAATGCCCACAAGGGAAAGCAGGAAAGATTGAAAATTGACACCCTAACATCACAATTAAAAGAACTAGAAAAGCAAGAGCAAACACATTCAAAAGCTAGCAGAAGGCAAGAAATAACTAAAATCAGAGCAGAACTGAAGGAAATAGAGACACAAAAAACTCTTCAAAAAATTAATGAATCCAGGAGCTGGTTTTTTGAAAGGATCAACAAAATTGATAGACCGCTAGCAAGACTAATAAGAAAAGAGAGAAGAATCAAATAGATGCAATAAAAAATGATAAAGGGGATATCACCACCGATCCCACAGAAATACAAACTACCATCAGAGAATACTACAAACACCTCTACGCAAATAAACTAGAAAATCTAGAAGAAATGGATAAATTCCTCGACACAGACACTCTCCCAAGACTAAAGCAGGAAGAAGTTGAATCTCTGAATAGACCAATAACAGGATCTGAAATTGTGGCAATAATCAATAGCTTACCAACCAAAAAGAGTCCAGGACCAGATGGATTCACAGCCAAATTCTACCAGAGGTACAAGGAGGAACTGGTACCATTCCTTCTGAAACTATTCCAATCAATAGAAAAAGAGGGAATCCTCCCTAACTCATTTTATGAGGCCAGCATCATCCTGATACCAAAGCCGGGTGGAGGCACAACCAAAAAAAGAATTTTAGACCAATATCCTTGATGAACATTGATGCAAAAATCCTCAATAAAATACTGGCAAACCAAATCCAGCAGCACATCAAAAAGCTTATCCACCATGATCAAGTGGGCTTCATCCTGGGATGCAAGGCTGGTTCAATATACACAAATGAATAAATGTAATCCAGCATATAAACAGAACCAAAGACAAAAACCACATGATTATCTCAATAGATGCAGAAAAGGCCTTAGACAAAATTCAACAACCTTCATGATAAGAACTGTCAATAAATTGGGTATTGATGGGACGTATCTCAAAATAATAAGAGCTATCTATGACAAACCCACAGCCAATATCATACTCAATAAATTAGGTAGTGATGGGACGTATTTCAAAATAATAAGAGCTGTCTATGACAAACCCACAGCCGATATCATACTGAATGGGCAAAAACTGGAAGCATTCCCTTTGAAAACTGGCACAAGACAGGGATGCCCTCTCTCACCACTCCTATTCAACATAGTGTTGGAAGTTCTGGCCAGGGCAATTAGGCAGGAGAAGGAAATAACGGGTATTCAATTAGGAAAAGAGGAAGTCAAATTGTCCCTGTTTACAGTTGACATGATTGTATATCTAGAAAACCCCATTGTCTCAGCTCAAAATCTCCTTAAGCTGATAAGCAACTTCAGCAAAGTCTCAGGATACAAAATCAATGTACAAAAATCACAAGCATTCTTATACACCAACAACAGACAGACAGAGAGCCAAATCATGAGTGAACTCCCATTCATAATTGCTTCAAAGAAAATAAAATACCTAGGAATCCAACTTACAAGGGATGTGAAGGACCTCTTCAAGGAGAACTACAAACCACTGCTCAATGAAATAAAAGAGGACACAAACAAATGGAAGAACATTCCATGCTCATGGGTAGGAAGAATCAATATCGTGAAAATGGTCATACTGCCCAAGGTAATTTACAGATTCAATGCCATCCCCATCAAGCTACCAATGACTTTCTTCACAGAATTGGAAAAAACTACTTTAAAGTTCATATGGAACCAAAAAAGAGCCCACATCACCAAGTCAATCCAAAGCCAAAAGAACAAAGCTGGAGGCATCACACTACCTGACTTCAAACTATACTACAAGGCTACAGTAACCAAAACAGAGATATAGACCAATGGAACAGAACAGAGCCCTCAGAAAGAATGCCGCATATCTACAACTATCTGATCTTTGACAAACCTGAGAAAAACAAGCAATGGGGAAATGATTCCCTATTTAATAAATGGTGCTGGGAAAACTGGCTAGCCATATGGAGAAAGCTGAAACTGGATCCCTTCCTTACACCTTATACAAAAATCAATTCAAGATGGATTAAAGACTTAAACGTTAGACCTAAAACCATAAATACCCTAGAAGAAAGCCTAGGCATTACCATTCAGGACATAGGCATGGGCAAGGACTTCATGTCTAAAACACCAAAAGCAATGGCAACAAAAGCCAAAATTGACAAATGGGATCTAATTAAACTAAAGAGCTTCTGCACAGCAAAAGAAACTACCATCAGAGTGGACAGGAAACCTACAAAATGGGAGAAAATTTTCACAATCTACTCCTCTGACAAAGGGCTAATATCCAGAATCTACAATGAACTCCAACAAATTTACAAGAAAGAAACAAAGAACCCCATCAAAAAGTGGGTAAAGGATATGAACAGACACTTCTCAAAAGAAGACATTTATGCAGCCAACAGACACATGAAAAAATGCTCATCGTTACTGTCCATCAGAGAAATACAAATCAAAACCACAATGTGATATCATCTCACACCAGTTAGAATGGCAATCATTAAAAAGTCAGGAAACAACAGGTGCTGGAGAGGATGTGGAGAAATAGGAACACTTTTACCCTGTTGGTGGGACTGTAAACTAGTTCAACCTTTGTGGAAGACAATGTGGCAATTCCTCAGGGATCTAGAACTAGAAATACCATTTGACCCAGCCATCCCATTACTGGGTATATACCCAAAGGAATATGAATCATGCTGCTATAAAGACACATACACTCATATGTTTATTGCAGCACTATTCACAATAGCAAAGACCTGGAACCAACCCAAATGTCCAATGATAGACTGGATTAAGAAAATGTGGCACATATATACCATGGAATACTATGCAGCCATAAAAAATGATGAGTTCATGTCCTTTGTAGGGACATGGATGAAATTCGAAATCATCATTCTCAGCAAACTTTCTCAAGAACAAAAAACCAAACACCGCATATTCTCACTCATAGGTGGGAATTGAACAATGAGAACACATGGACACAGGAAGGGGAACATCACACTCTGGGGACTGTTGTGGGGTGGGGGAAGGGGGGAGGGATAGCATTGGGAGATATACCTAATGCTAGATGATGAGTTAATGGGTGCAGCACACCAGTATGGCACATGTATACATATGTAACTAACCTGCACATTGTGCACATGTACCCTAAAACTTAAAGTATAATAATAATAAAAAAAACCAGCTAAAGGAAAAGAAATATTTTGAGAACACTGAAAATATGAAAAAAAGAATGATAATCTTCTAAAAGCTATAAAATTGAATGAGGAAACTTTAACAAAAGAGGTATTTCACTACAATGAACAGCTTAGCATTTTGACAACTGAGAATAAAATGCTTGGTTTTAAACTGGGGGATATAAAGCACCACAAGGAAAGACTGGAAACAGAAATTCAATCATATAATTGTAGACTGGCCACTGCTGTATATTTTTGTGACCAAAGTGAGAAAGCAAAAAGAGACCTCTTTCCAGAGAATAAGACACAAATAGGTTCATTTACAGGAGAAAATGAAGTTTGATATGCCTACCCTAAAAGGTAACAGTGAGGTTCTTTCTGAACAACTCTCTAATGCTGACAGTAAAATTAACAGCCTAAAAATTAAGCTCCATCACACAAGATAAACACTCGGAGAAAAGACTTCAGTTTTAGAACATTTCCAAAGAGATCTATGCCAAACACAGACAGTGTCAAAAGAAAGAAATTGAACAAATGTGTCAAAATGAACAAAGCAGAGTAAATAAATATACTGGAGTGCAGAAACCTATGAAGACAGATTTTCTCAACTACAAAGTGAAAATAATTTGCTTTGGCAGCAACTGGATGATGCTGACAAGAAAGCTGAGAGTCAAGAAAAGACAATCAGTACTATCCAAGAGCAATTCCATGCTGTTGTCAGAAATCTTCTAGCTGAGAGTATAAAGTCTTCTGCTGGAAGAGGAAAACGAGGAGATAATCAATGTACGTAATCCCTTGAAAGAAAGAATATATCAATGTGAAAAAGAGACAGTGGGAAAAAAGTAAGTATTAACAAAGATATTTTTCAAACTTCCTGAAAGAAAATTTAAAGTAATATTTGGTTATGGTAAATGTTATATGTATTTGAATATAAAAATATGTAGACCATAAAATATATTTGCTGTACGGCCTAGAAACATACCAGCAAAAAAAGGTAGACCTGAAATTTGCCTTATTTTGAACAACGAAATTGTATCACCTTTGAAATTTTAAGACTTTATTTTACAAATTTACTATATATAGACTAATAGTTCTAATGTGGACTTCTGCTGAAATAATTTTAATATCTCTCTGTGGACTAATTTTAAGACCATGATGAGACAGATAAACAGAAATGCCTTTTACCTGAAATGAATTTTTTGAAATTAAGATTCAATCATGTGGGTTACTTTGACAGTTATTTCCAGATTTCCCAGGTGAACTGAAATATACTGCTGTATCTCATAGTACTTTTTTAAGGTAGCTTTTTATGTATTTATGTTGGTGTAGTTTTATTTTTATTTTTACTGATTTGACTTAAATCTGAGACTTTAAGTCTCACATTATTGTTATGACCTCTCAATTATTTGAAGGCATTTACTTTTTATAAAATCATTATTTGGAACAGATGTGAATTTCCAGCAAAACCATATTTGATTTAGTCGTACCTCTGGTGTTTATAATTTTAATGTTCTTAAAAGTAATTTGCTCATGATTTTTATCTTATGGCTCAATGACTGTCATTTGGCTATAACCTTGTCCAGTACAAAGATAATTGTGTTTGTCTGCAGTTGCTTTGTTTAGCATTGGGTTTTCATTTTAAAGCTAATGAGGGATGGCAGAATTCACATACAGTTGGAATGGAATGAGTAGGGGAGAGAGTTATAGGAACTGAGGTAAGGGAGGGAGGTGGAGGCCAGGTTACCTAGGGCCTCCAAATGTCATTGGAATTTTACTTTTATTCTGAGGTAGAAATCTATTAGAAGGATCTGAGCAGGCAATTGAATATGTGAGGAGTGGGGAGGTTTATTTGAGGTTCTGATAAAAAAGAGGAAAGACATTTTACACTCCAGCATTTTCCACCACTAGTGCCACCCACATACCGAATTTTTGGGACTTCAGTAGGTTGTTAAGCATTGTAAATGTATCAGGGGTTAATGAATAGTGGGCTGATTCTGTCATCTAGCAGAATACTCATTTGGAAGGAATATAACACCTGTGTCCTTAACTGAATTCAGTAATAAGAATGTATACACATGAGGAAAAGAAGGTGAATCCATGTATGTGGTGCTATTTTTCAAAGTATATGTTGAATGTTATGATCATGTTTTAATAATAAGGTGATATATGAAATCAGTAACAAAAATATCTTAACAGGTAATTATGAGACAACTTCTACAAGAACCGGCTGATACCCTGAAAAAAAACCTGTCAGAGCCTTCCCTAGAGGCTACACCACATTGTCACATTAATTTAGAAGAGACACAAGATTCAAAGAAGGAATTAGGTAAAATCAGAGTCAAGTATGTATGAAATGTAACATGTCAACAGTTAATCTGTAGGTGGTGGAGGAATATATAGTTTTAGGATGCTAATTGCAGTGGATAGATTTCTTTTGTATTTTCATTACAATTAATTTTATTATCTTTATCATGCACTTATTTCTTCTGACTTTTCAGTCTGTCATGTTTTTCTCATAAGTATGTACATTTTAAAGATAATATTTACCCTTAAGAAAGCTGGGAATTATACATCATTCCTCACAGAAGTTGAGAGACTTTTTTTTGTGTGTGAAACAGTATTTTTCAGGGATTTCTCTGTTGCCATGTTGAGGCAAGCCAGATTACATCAGAGGATAATGTTCAATAGAATGTTCCAGAAAAGCATCTTATTGCTTATCTTACTTTCTTGGATGGGTGCAGAATCTTTGTATATTTATTGCATGAATTTTAGGATAACTTGTACAGAAAGGCCATTATACTTTTCTCCAAAATGCAGATGTTTTAGGTTAATTTACAAAGTACTTGAAATGTTAAGCATTCCCTTCTTTTTTCTTTCATTTTAAGTATATTGTAAAAGCATGGAAATGCTCAGTTTGTGTAGAGTATATACATCCAAATTAGAGGATTAAGAAACGTATCTAGATCCTACCATTGGGATTTTAAAAGACAATTGTAGTGATGTATAATTTGAACACCATACAGTTCACATGGTCTCTTAGTATATTCACAGAGTTGTATAGCCATCACCATCACCAATTTTAGAATATTTTCATGATCCTAAAAAGAAACAGTGCATCATTTTGCTATTATCCACCAGTTTGCCCTTCCTCAGCTCTAGGGAACCACCAGCCTACTTTGTCTTTATAGAGTTGCCTATTCTGGACATTTCATATCAGTTGAACCACACAATATGTGGTGGTCTTTTGTGATTGGGTTCTTTCACATAGGATAAGGTTTTAAGGCTCATCTGTGTTGTAACATATATCAGTACTCAATTCCCTCTTATTGCTGAGTAATATTCCACTGTGTGGATATATCAGTCATTTTATTTACTCATTCCTCAGTTGTGGACCTTTGAATTGTTTCCATTCTTTGGCTATTAATCATGTCTGCTTTTATGTACAAGTTTTTGTGTTTTCATTTCTCTTGGGTGTATGCATACAAGTGGAATTGCTGGGTCATATTGTAACTCTATATGTAACATTTTGAGGAGCTGCCAGTCTGTTTTCCAGAGTGGCTGTATCATTTTACATTCCTATCAGAATTGTGTAAGGGTTCCAACTTCTCTATTTCTTTGCCAACATTTTTCACATTTTTGATTAAGAAAAGATTTCCTCTTAGTGGTGTGAAATGATACCTCATTCTGGTTCGATTTGCATTTCCATAATTCCCTATGATACCTCATTTTGGTTCGATTTGCATTTCCCTAATGACTAATTACTTTAATCATCTTTTTACGTGCTTCGGAGTGACTTGTGTATCTTCTTTGGAGAAATGTCTATTAAAATGCAGCCTATTTTTAAAAGTGGTTGCCTTTTTGTTTGTGAATCCATAAGATCCTTAACAGATATGATTCTCAAGTATTTTCTTTCACTCAATAGGCTTTTTTAAAACTTTCTTGATGATGTCTGTTCACGTGCAGACATTTCAAATTTTGATAGTCATTAATCTTTTTTTGCAGTCACAAAGATTTATGTCTATGCTTTCTTCTAAAAATTTTATAGTTTTAGCTCTTATATTTAGTGATTCTATTTTGAGTTAATTTTAGATACAGCATATGCCAGGAGTCTATTTTTATTCTTTTGCATGTAGATACCTAGTTTTCCCAGCACCATTTGTGGAAAAGACTATTCTTTTAAATAAATTAATATTCTTTTTTAAGTGTTGTTCTTTTTGGCACCCTTGTTGAAAATCAATTGACCATAAATGTGAGTTTATTTTTGGATTCTCAATTCTAATATGTTGATTTATGTCTACTGTTATGCCATTACCAAAGCAAATTTTAGAATTGTTTTCCAATCGTGTTACTTATTATTACCAATTGCCTAAAGTAAGAATAGAAATTCAAGTACTAGGTAGCCTTTAACTTCACTGTTTGCTTCTTGAAGGAACATGTGGTCAGCTTATATTATGGTAACTTCATGCTTAACCTTTTGAGGAGCTGCCAGTTTGTTTTCCAAAGTGGCTGCACCACTTTACATTTCCAGCAGCATTGTATAAGGGCTTTAATTTCTTTACATTTTTGCTAATATTTATATTTTCCTAATGACTAATTACATTAAGCATCGATTAATGTGCTTATATCCATCTTTTCTTCTTTGCAAAATTTCTATTCAAAATCTTTGCCCATTTTTAATTGGGTCATCTTTTTATTTATGAATTGAAAGGGTTCTTTATATATCCTAGATATAAGTCCCTTATCAGATATATGCTTTCCAAATATTTTCTTCTACTCGTTGACTTGACTTTTCACTTTCTTGACTGTTTTCTCACACACAGAATTTTTCAGTTTTGAAGTCCATTGAATCCATTTTTCCTTTGGAGTCAGAGCTAAGAAAACACTGCCAAATGTAGTTACAAAGACTTATGCCAATGTTTTCTTCTGAAAGTTTTAGAGTTTTAGCTGTTACAGTTAGCTGTTTTATTTTGAGTTAATTATTAAATATGGTATTTAGTGAGAGTCCAACTTTATTATGTTTTTGCATATGGATACCCAGTTGTCCCAGCACCATTTGTCTAAAAGACTATTCTTTTCCCATTTCATTGTTTTGTTAACCCTGTAAAAAATCAATTGACTGAATACGCAGGTTTATTTTTTAATGATCAGTTCTTTGTTTATGTCTATTCTTATGCCAGGGCCAAATTGAATTTAATAAGTTTTTTTCAATCATGTTGCATATTACCAGTTGTCTTATGTCATAATAAATATTAAATATAGTGGAACATCTTTAACTTCACCTTCTGCATCTCCAGAGAGTCTGTGGTCAGCTTATACTTTACTTATCCTAAGACATGATGAGAAGTCAGGCTTACAAGACACAATTCATTTCTTTTTTTTTCCTCCATTCAAGCCTTTAGTGTCTTATCCAGTGCCTCCCTCTATAGTTTCATTTTCAGTAAATTTTGGTCGCAGGATCCGCTGACATAGCCTACTATTTAGTGCATTATGTCTTATTAACTCATTATAATTCATAGAATCATCCATAGATGCTTACCATCTAGAAAGGAGAAGTTTAAGTCTGAGCTGCCAGCTTTCCTCAGTGGAAGTCAAGTGAAGTTATCATCTTTCAATTCGCAGATCCTTTTTCCACCTGGTAGCTGGTTCTCTTGTGTAGCACTGTGGCTGATCCTTTTCTTGGTGCAGATCCTGCATTCTCAGAAACCACAGTTCCCTGTATTGACCTCGTTTTACTGAAACAGAGATGCACAGCTGTGCTTTGTAGCTTAGTAGAAGATTCTTGGAGTAAAAAGTTTAACTCATTGCAAGAAAAATATTTAGGAGTGCAGCGCTTAAAAATCTGGTAATGTTCAGGAAATTTATCAGTAGTAGATTAGTAATTTGAATTTTAAAATTTCAGAGTCAACTTGTGTGCTATAGAGAAGCGTTGTGGTATAACATAGAGATGGGATGGTCTTAACTTCTCCATACAAACAAGCTTGAAGTAAGGATGAAGGAGAAATCGCATTTGATTTCTTAACACTCAAGGCACACTACATTTATTTTACTTCTGTGAAGATTAAAAATAATTCCATCGTGTTCTCCTTGTTTCCCCACTGAGTAAAGGAAAATGAAAATGGAATACTAGATTGATTAATAAATACTCAAAGCTGCTTACTTTTAGAATTTTTAGTTAATTGAAATCAGGTAAACTGTCTGATTTTGGTTATTTAACCAAGTAGTTCTAGTTGTTTTTAAAAATCACGTCTTCTTGCTTTCCAGTCTTATTTCCTAACTTGAGGGGAAATTCTAAGGAGACACCCTTGCCTTGTCATCAGAGTTCATAATTGAAGGGAGTTTTAGGAAAAGTTCATCCTCAGGAACTTATGTCTCTCTCCCAGTTATCTGCTGCTTCTCAATAATGCTTGTCATCAATAAATTAATCTCAACATTTATTTGATTCTACTTTAAAAGAGACTCTTTTCTGCTGTGTAAGTTATGTTTCCTGTTGTCTCTTTTTTAAAATCATTTTTTTCTAACAATTACCCAGAGTTTAGTGGCGTAAAAGAGAAACATTTAAGGCTGGGCACGGTGGCTCATGCTTGTAATCCCAGCACTTTGTGAGGCAGAGGTGGGTGGATCATGAGGTCAGGAGTTCAAGACCAGCCTGGCCAAGATGGTGAAACCCCGTCTCTAATAAAAATACTAAAAAAAGAACAACATTTATTTTGCTCATGAATCTGTGGCTTGGAAAAAGCTTGGCCAGGACAGCTTGTCTCTGCTTCCCTCAGCTTCCCTAGGAACAGCTGAATGACTGGGGAAATGGAATCATCAGATGCTTTGTTCAACCATGTGTTTGATGGTTAATGCTGGCCATTGGCTGGAACCTTGGTTTGGGCAGGCAGCATGAACACTGACACTGGCACTCCCAGGCTCTCTTTGTGGCCTGAGCTCTCTCTTAGTCTGGGGGCTGGGTTTGAAGGGAAAGCAGTTGGAGATAGAGAAGCCACATGGAATCCCTTATTACTGCATTCTTTTCATTAGAAGGAAGTCAGTAAGGTTGGCCCGTATTCTATTTTTTTAGTGGGATGAATTTATCTTCTCTTTTGTTTTTAATTGACATGTATATACAAAATTATGAGTTATAAAGTTATATTTTGATACATGTATATAGTGTGTATTGATCAAGGTATTACTAGCATATTTATTACCTCAATCATTTTTCAAAAAGTCTTCCAGCTTTTTGAAAATATACAATAAATCATAGTTAAGCATATTCACCCTACAATGCTACAGGACGCCAGAACTCATTCCTTTTTTATAACTGTAATTCTGTATCTATTAACCAGCCTCCCCTCCCTTACTTCCTTGAGTTTTTTGTTGTTGTTAAGAGACAGGGTCTTGCTAGTCTAGTCTGGGCCCTGGGCAACTGCAGTCACTCAGACTAGAGACAATGATTTGATCATAGCTCACTGCAGCCTCAAACTCTTGGGCTCATATGATCACCCCACCTTAGCCTCCTGAGCAGCCAGGATTACGGGTGTGCACCACTGCACCTGTCTGATTTTTTACTTTGTAGACATGAGGTCTCATGATGTTGCCCAGGCTGGTCTGGAACTTTTGGCCTCAAGCAGTTCTCCTGCCTTGGTCTTTTAAAGTGCTAGGAAATTGCAGGCATGAGCCATGTTGTCCAGCCTTCAATTTTTCTTTAGCTCCCACACATGAGTGAGAATGTGCAGTATTTTTCTTTCTGTGCCTGCACTTAACATTCTCCAGACTCATCCACGTGGCAACAAATAACAAGATTTCATTCCTCTATATGTGGAATACTATTCCATTTTGTATGTATACTACATTTTTTGTCCATTTGTTGATGGACATATAGGTTGATTCCATACATTAGCTGTTGTAAATAGTGCTACAATAAATGTACGAGTACAGTTATCCTTTTGATCTTTTGTTTTCGATTGGCTGAATACTCAGTAGTGGGTTTGCTGGATCCCTCAGCAGTTCCAATACTAGTTTTTTGAGAAATCCTCATGTTGTTTTCTGTAGTGGCTGCACTAATTTACCTTCCTATCACCAGCATATAAGAGTTTACTGTTCTCTGAAACCTTACCTGCATTTGTTATTTTTTGTCTTTTCAATGATAGTCATTTATTTGAACTGGAGTGAGATTATACCTCGTTGTAGGTTTGATTTGTGTTTCCCTGATGATTAGTGATACTGAGCATTTTTAAATGTATTTATTTGCCATGTGTATTTCTTTTTTTGAAAAAGAAATGTGTATTCAGATCTTTTGCCTTATTTTGAATTCAGATTTTTTTTAATGTCAAGTGTTTGCGTTCTTGTATATTTTGGATATTAGTCCTTTATTAGATGAATAGTTTGAAAGTATTTTCTCCCATTCTACAGGTTTTCTGTTTACTCAGTTGTTTTCTGGGCAAAAGCTCTTTAGCTTAATGTGGTACCATTTGTCTATCATTTGTTTTTTGCCTATGCTTCTGATGTCTTATCCATAAAAATCTTTGTGCAGACTAATGTCCTGAAGCATTTTTCCTATATTTACTGCTAGTAGTTTGATAATTTTGGGCCTGACATTTAAGTCTTCAATTCATTCTGAGTTTATTTTGGTATTGGTGTTAGATAGGAATCTATTATCATTGTTCTCCATATGTATATTCAGTTTTCCCAGTGGCATTCATTTGAAGAGGGTGTCCTTTCCCCAATGTATGTTCTTGGCATCTTAGTCCAAAATCAGCTGGCTGTAAATATGTGGATTTATTTCTGGGTGGCATGTGCCATAGACTTTACCCCAAGAATCATTACTTCTTAAAATGCAATTCAAATTAGCATAAAACATTTGCATTTTAGGGAAAGGCTTATGACATTAGAATCCTTATTTACAGGATTCATTATTTTGTCTCTTTTTTTTGAGATATGGTCTTTGTCTGTTATCCAGGCAGAAGTGCAGTGGTGTGGTCATAATTCACTGCAGCCCTGAACTCTGTGTCCAAGCCACCCTTTTGCCTCATTCTCCCAATGAGCTGGATGTACAAGGCATGAATAATTAAAAATAATTTTTTTTTGTAGAGATGTGGAGTCTCACTGTGTTTCTGTGGCTGCTCTCAAATTCCTGGCCTCAAGTGATCTTTCTGCCACAGACTCCTAAACTGCTAGGATTACAGGCATGAGCCACCATGCCTAGCATAGAGTGTTATATTATTTTCAGTGTCTTATTCTGAGAGCCATTTTTTGACTTTGGCCTAAATATCTTAATATGATATCTCTGAAACTTTTTTTGACAAATTATGGGGAATGATGATGAGGGAAGAGGTTTATAAACTTTCTCCTAAGAGATAACTTAGAGCCATTTAAGGAGGAACAAAAAGAAACAATCAGAATAATAAAAGATCAAGTGCAAAATTTCTGCATCAAAGATGATGATAGTAAAGAATATATTTTTGTGACTCATGGTGGTCTAATTTTGTTCTTGAATTTCTGAGTAATTTAAGGGTTAACATTTGAGGAATCTG
Organism: Homo sapiens; assembly: GCF_000001405.40. Taxonomy (NCBI): domain Eukaryota; kingdom Metazoa; phylum Chordata; class Mammalia; order Primates; family Hominidae; genus Homo; species Homo sapiens. The sequence continues at coordinate 43,503,452 of NC_000008.11, forward strand.
CTACATTACAGGTAATATTTTATTCCAAGTAAATGTATTTCAAAAATTTTATTGGTTTATTATTAAACCAAAATTTTTATTGGTTTTATTATTCTCAGCTACTGCATTATCAAGCTGTATTATTTCATTCATGCAGTTTGATGATCTCACAGCAGAATTGGAAGCTGTATCTTTACAATGTGTCTATTTGGCTGAAAACAATCAAGTTACTCAACAGGAGTTATCTATGAAAAAAGTACAACAGGAATGTGAAAAACTTGAGGAAAATAAAAAGATGTTGGAAGAAGGAATAGTAAATCTTATGACACATATGGAAAAATATGGTAGAACTTGGTAAAGTACAAGAATATAAATTGGAGCTAGAAGAAAAAGCAATGCCAGCAATAGAAAAAAAATAGAAGAAATCCATTAACACGTTAGTTTTTAAAGTCAGGTAAGTTTATCTGTAATGTGCTTTCATTTATTTCACTGCAAATTACATTTTAGATATTATATGTATTGTGTTTACTCTGCCTCTCATAGCAATTTGTAGAGTTCTAGAAACAGGTGGCATCTGTGTTTTTCTTTTAAATATTTAAATTTCCATCATTATTATAACAAAATTGATCTTTCAGAGTAATGATTCTCACTATAGACTCACTTGATTGTTAAGACCTGTAGGCATAAGACTATTAGGAAAAGAGAAGATTGTGATTTAGAAATTAAATGATACTTTTGAATTGGTCTTAAGCTACATTGTTCATTGTTCAGTTTTTAAAATTATAAATGGATTCTATTACTTTTTAAATGACCAGATTGCATTAATACTAACACTACTAAACATACACTCATAGAAAATGGAATAAGCTTATTAATTTGTTTTGAAAGCATAATCTAGTGAGATGCCTTCAGGAGATTAGTAGAAAGTGAATGCTAACTTGACAATATAATTTTGGAAAATAATGTCAGTAAATAATCTTACCTTTAAAACGTTAGTCAGGGAGAGGTTCGGTGTCTCCTTCCTCTCTCTCTCTCTCTCTCTTTTGTATGGCTTTTTTTTCCTGAAAAAATCTCATGTAGTTAACTTGATCTATTAGTTTTTTTCACTAAGTATTTTTGAATCGTTATAATTAATAAAGTGATCTTGTTATAAAATTACTTGTCAGAATTACCCTAAGTAGAAATATTAATGAGTTTAATTTACTTTTTGGTACATCACAACCTAAACCCAAAGTGTCAAGTACTACTGCTGCTCTGGGTATATCCTGGCCCTCAGGCATGGAACTGTCCTTGATTGTGATCTTTAGTATTATCACTATAGGGCACCTTAAGAAAGACTATTCTGTGTAACATTTTCAAACTACAGAAAGGCGTTCTTGTGAAATAGGGAATAATTATTACAGGAATGAAAGGAAGTGTGATTCACTAAGTGGTTTCAAAATAACACCTTGTTCAGCCTGAAGGGGTGTGTGGAAGACAGAAAGAAAAAACCCCATCTCCAGTGCCTTGGTCACAATGTTAGGGGCTAATTGTCTTCAGAGATGCTTTAGTTCTTTTTGATCACCAACCAAGCCATCTACTTCTCTACTATGAGTTGTTGCTCAGAATTATTCATCATTGCCAAATGCTTAATTGTTCCTAGATAATGGGTGAAATGTACAAGGGTGAAACCTGAAACTGGTTTACTAAGCACAAGTATTTCTAGCGGTTTTTTTTTTTGGTTCATTTTAGATTTCTTAAATGTATATTATTTAAGGAGTACAACAAGCCGTTTTGATATAACTATTTATAGTGAATTGGTTCTTATAGTCAAACAACTTAACATATTCATTTTGTCACATAGTTACCCTTTAAATACAAGTATTTCTAATAGAATCTTCCAAATCTTACAAGTAGAGTCATTTTAGAAAGCAGCAAGTGTTACCTGTTCAGCCCCACATTACTGATAGCCATTTCTCTTCCCTCTCTACTTTGTTTGAATTGCTTATTCAGTAGAAATCACCCTAGAAACACATGTACTTCTTTTGAACGACTTTAAAATTATAATTGGTTACAACAGATATGCTCTCACACATCTTCGGTGAGAAAACACTTTAGTGGGTAATTTGGTTTACTCTCTCAGCAACTTTTAAAAAAGTGGAAGTCATTAAGACTCACTTAAGGAAAAATGAAATACTAAGCATTTGTCTTTGCTATCTTCACAGATCAAATAAGAAAACAAGTGATCAGCACCAAGCTCCATATGGAGAAAGAGTGGATGAAAGCTTTTCTCAGTGCTCTTTCTATGAGGCCAGGCTCAGAGCCACCTTGTGTTGAAAATCTTAATAGTATAGGACTCAACAGAAAATGTATTCCCAAAACACCTGTAAGAATTCCTACTTCAAGCCCACAGACTTCAAATTACCTTTTCTATTTTGGGTTTTATTTCACTAATAATATTCTTGTTTTTAATTTGGTGAAATACTGAGTTGTTCAGTTGACCTATGCATGTTAAGTAAAGATTATAGTTAGCCATATTAACACAGAAAGGAAATGGGAACTTTACTTTTTTTTAAATTCCCCAGAGCTCTAATTTTCAAGAGACACCCATTTGCTAACTTTATTCAGTAAATGTAAATAAACTGACACATTTCAACTTTCTTTAAAGGCTGCACTTAAGTTAGATTTTAGAAATTGCATGTTATTGCCTAATAACTGAAGGTATATTTTGAGATGCTTTGGCTTACGCTCTAATTGATTGTAGTTTGGCTGTGGTTCATGCCACTTTTAAGGTTTCTTTGTACCATCTCAACTCTTCCCACCCATACTCACAAAGGAATGATTGGCATCCAAACACTTAATCACACATGGGTATTTACTATTTAATAGAATCCAAAATAAGTGCATTTTATGAATTAAATAAACATAAAATACTAAAAGATTCATTTCCATTTTTATTTTAAAAGCCTTGTGCTCTTCTTACATAAGAGTACATCCTCTGACTATAAAAATCCTGGAAGTAAACCTAGGAAATATTCTTCTGGCCATAGTGGTTGGCAATGAATATATGGCTAAGTCCTGAAAAGCAATTGCAAGGATAACAAAAATTGACAAGTGTGATCAAATTAAACTAAAGAGCTTCTACACAGCAAAAGAAACTATCAAGGGATTGAACAGACAGCCTACAGAATGGAAGAAAATATTCACAAACTATGCATACAGCAAAGGCCTATTATCCAGAATCCATAAGGGACCTAAACAAATATACAAACAAAAAATAACTCCATTAAAAAATGAGCAAAGGACATGAACAGACACTTTTCAAAAGAACACATATAAGTAGCCAACAAACATATTAACAATTGCTTATCACTAATCATCAGAGAAATGCAAAACAAAACAACAAGATACCATCTCACACCAATCAGAATGAATATTGTTAAAAAGTAAAAAAAAACTGGTGTTGGGAGGATTGGAGAAAAGGGAACAATTACACACTGTTGGTGGCAATAAAAAATTAGTTCAGCTGCTATGGAGAGCAGTTTGGAAATTAAGAACTAAGAATGATCATTGGATGCAGCAACCCCATTTCTATGCTGGGGGTATACCTAAAGGAAAAGAAATCATCGTAACAAAAAGATGCATGCACATGTATGTTCCTTGCAGTACTATTCACAATAGCAAAGACATGGAGTCAACCAAGGTGCATCCAAGGTAGACTGAAAATCCAAAGTAGATTGGAAAATTTCACATACACCATGGATTACTATGCAGCCATAGAAACAACAAAATCATGTCCAACATGGATACAACTGGAATCCATTATCCTAAGCAAACTATCATAGAAACAGAAAACCAAATATCTCATGTTCTTACTCATAATGTGGGAGATAGGCATTGGGTTCACACTGTCATAAACATGGGAATAGTAGACACTGGGAAATAAGAACGGGGAGGGACAGAGTAGGCCAGGGTTGAAAAACTACTTATTGGATCCTATGCTCACTACATGGGTGACGGGTTCAGTTGGACCCCAAACCTCAGCATTCCTCAATATACCTTTGGAAGAAACCTACACAGGTACCACCTTGATTTAGAATACAATCTAGAAAAAATTTACTATAAAAAAGGTTACTGTAAGTGGAGAATAGAAATTTCTTTTTAAGGAAAAGTTTACTGAAGTAAAAAATGGATTGAACTTTTATAAAGGGCAGAATTTTGCTAAGAGTTTTGAAGCAATGTATTCATTGCAAAACATGACTTTAATTGTTTAACCTTTGTACTAATAAAACACCACCTTTTTAAAATTATTTATATACAATAGACCAATATTAATTTTATTGTTATCAGATAAATCTAAACAGCATTACACAGATATATCCTCTATTATCTAAACTTAAAATAAGTAGAAATTTTATTTTATTTATGTGATTATTTTTCTATTTAAACAAGTGTTCAAGTTATGTGTAGTCACTAAATATACTAAAGGCCACATTTTGTAAGTGATATATTATTCTCACGATAATGTCTCTTGTTTAACTTAAACATTATTATTATTTTTACTTGAGATGGAGTTGGACTGTGTAGAACAAATAATTAGAGAAACAAAGAAAAGTATGTTGCCAAAATTTATTAATTAAATTTAGACTTATTTTAGAAATAAACTGTATATAGCAAATGGCATTCCTTTTCATTGTTGGGTTAGTAGATACTATGTTATTCTTTTCTTACATACATCTAATGACAGATGTGAAAACAAAAACTTTCACAATGAAGAGTATACTTATGCACCATTAATTCATCATGTTCCATAGCTTAAAAAATTCCCAAGAAGTCTATGCATCCCTTTTTTACTGGCTCTACACTTTATTCACTTTTGTCATTCTCATGGAACTGTCAGCCAGCACACTCAAACAATTCTCAGCAAACAAAGGCATCATCAGGTTCTCAGGGTTCCGGTAGAGACTTAAGACCAACAGACCTCATGCTCATTTAGAAATACTCAGCTGAGCCATAACCATTCATAAGCAGTCACTTGACAGGTGACATTTTAAATTTTCTGTCATTTACTTTGTCATTGGCTTACTTTTGTTCTCAGGAAAAGTTCTAAATTTTTCACCATGGAATAAAAACACCTACATCAATGTGATTCTTGTCAAGTTACTCAGCCTTGTCTCTAGCCACTTACCACACTCTGCCCTTTGCTCTAGCACCAAACTGGATGGAGTGGAACTCCACAGGGTTCTTCCTCACCTCAGGCTCTTTGCCTTCATCTCTTCCCTCTATCTGGCAATCTTTTCCTCGTCCTTCAGGCATCAACCTACCTATCTTCTCCACCAGAAAGCCTATGATATTGACACAAAACTGGGATAGATGACTCTTCTGTGTGTTCCAGTAGTACCCTGCTATATACCTGTCATGGCATCTATGACTCTATGTGGACATTGCCTGCCTGTCTGTTTTTTCAGATTACAGCATATGATTGTTGAGAGGTGGACCATACTATCTTCATCTTGTAATTCCAGTGCTGGTTCTAGTACCTTAGCACATGGCTGTTGAGTATGTGAATGAAGAATAAAAAGCTCTCATATTTAACCACAATTGTAATTAATTCCATGTGTAAATACGAGCAAATTCTATTTAATAGTAATTTTGTATTATAATTGTACATACATATTTCTCATTCTTATTAACCCTGATAAAGTTCTGAACTCTTTATTTATTTATTTATTTATTTTGAGATGGAGTTTTGCTCTTTTTGTCTAGGCTAGAGTGCAATGGTATGATCTCAGTTCACCGCAACCTCCTCCTCCCAGGTTCAAATGATTCTCCTGCCTAAGCCCTACGAGTAGCTGGGATTACAGGAATGTGCCACCATGCCTGGCTAATTTTGTATTTTTAGTAGAGATGGGGTTTCTGCATGTTGGTCAGACTGGTTTCGAACTCCTAACCTCAGGTGATCTGCCCACCTCAGCCTCCCCAAGTGTGGGGATTACAGGTGTGAGTGACTGCACCTGGCCAACTCTTTAGTTTTTAAACTTACACATAGTTAACTGAAATGTTTTAGGTAAAGAACATAATTCTTTATTTTTCTTTCCAGCTTTTGCTGTGTTGGACATTTTCTCCCATCTGGTTTCTTCTTTAGAATCCACTGATGAGCAACAACTAATGAAGAGAATATCTAAACCATAAAATCTTAAGGAAAAAGTTTATGATTTAAAAGACCTAAAACATCTTAAAACTTTATTACTGATCTGTGTACATGACATTTTAATTGTTTCTCATAAAATATGTAACATCATGATCTTCACTAAAGTAGAATATGTTTGTATCATATGTGTGATGAAAATGTATATGGTATTTTAAATGATTTTTTAGCCTCTTTAAGTTTTAAGTTGATCTTGTAAATGAAAACCAGTATTGTTGAGTTTGACATACTCAAATTGCCCAGATTTCAGCTGTTTAAACAGCCAAACAATCAAGTCATCATTGATACTTCAGTAGAGGTCATTGATGGCTTATTGGCATTTTATAGCTTTTACTACTATATATAATAGGAGACTTGAGGAGTACCAGCCTGGTATGTTCGTGCTAATGTTACTATTTCCTTTTTTTCTTTTTTTGAGATGAAGTTTTGCTCTTGTCACCCAGGCTGGAGTGTAATGGCGTGATCTCGGTCACTGCAACCTCTGCCTCCTGAGTTCAAGTGACTCTCCTGCCTTAGCCTCCCGAGTAGCTGAGGTTACAAGCACCTGCCACCACACCCAGCTAATTTTTTTTTTTTATTTTTAGTAGAGACGGGGTTTCATCATATTGGCCAGGCTGGTGTCGAACTGACTTCATGTGATCCACCCACCTCAGCCTCCCAGAGTGTTACTATTTCCTTTTTGTAGTTCAACAGTATTTTGTGTGGAGATATTTTGAGGCTCTGTAAATATCTGGTTGCTCCTCAAAACCCACTAGATTTAGCATTTCATGGATGACTTGTGTTTGAGCAATTATTACCGTAATGATTGCCAAATGATTACTTTCTTATTCTCTCCTTTGTTCTACATGGAGAAATAAAACCAATACATAACCGAGAAGGGAAAGCTCGTGATTCTGGTCCTCAAATGCCCCAAGATTAGGCCAGTGGTAGACATTTCAAGCTCCCTTCATCTCTTTTTTATTTGTCCCCATTAGTCTGTCAGCACTTTTTTACTTTCTGGCACAAGATGCTCCAAGCTTATCTTGTATTTTCTCTGCCCCAGCCCTGGAATGAGTGATTGTTCTTAGAAGCAGAGGTGGAGCCACCGAGGAAGCACAGGATGAGCATTCCGCAGCTTGCACTTACTGGTCCCCAGTAGGAAGAACCACTGCTGCATCCACTGAGGTACCAAGAAAGTAGCAAAGAACCTTCTGACTGTCTGGGGACAGTCCTCATGTGGTCCTTGGCTCAGCCTGAAAGGTTCTGGATTAGTCTCCTTGAAGCCCCTGTGATTTGTCTCTAGACCTGTGCTCTGCAGGAAGGGCCCTGAGAGACCAAGCAGCACAGGGTGTCTCATCTGCCAAATGTCCCTCCCTTCCTCCCACTCTGAGACTCAGGAATAGGCTAGATGATGTGTTCAGGCAGTGCCAGGCCACCTCACTGTCTCCTTTGAGATGGGCCCAGAGGACCTTGGGGGGTGAGTGAGAAGCTGGGCACATGGAGCCTGAGGCTGACTGTCCCTCCCTGTGTCTTGGAGGAAAGGCCTTGTCCCAAGAAGACCCACAGGGCCTGATCTGTGGGCACACATGCAGGGAGGGATGGTCTGTGGGCTGACTGGGACATTGGAATGAGACTTTGAGCACTGCTGCTCAGGGGCCTGGTCAGTGGCCCATGGTCAGTGATGACCTGGTCATCAGGACCTGGCCAGTTGGGGCAGGATCAGGGACCTCGTTAGTGGTGGCCTCCTCAGTGAAGGCCTCATCAATGGGGACCTGAAGACCTAGTCATTGGAAGACTGGTTAGTGGTGACCTGGTCAGTGGTGGCCTTATTAGTGGGGCCTGGTCAGTTGGAACATAAACAAGGAAAAAGTAGTTGGTGGGATCTGTATACTTGGGGTCTGGTCAGTTGGGGCCTTAATGGGCTGGGACCTGGTCAGTGGGAGCCTAGTCAGGGGGGCCTAGCCAGCTAGGGACTAATTCATGGAGAATTGTTTAGTGGGATTCGGGTGAGCAGCAACCAGGTAAATTGTGGTCTTCTCAGTGGGGGCCTGGTCAGAGGAAAATTGGTCAGTGGAGTCTGGTCCATGGGGCCTATTAATGGGGGCCTAGTTCGGGAGAGATGGCCAGTGGGTACTTGGTCAATGGGGACCTGGTAAATGGAAGAGTGGACATTAGGAACCTGGCTAGTGGGAACCTGGCCAGCTGGCCGCTGTGTGACCTCAGGCAGGGGGTTTGTCTGAGGAACCTCCTTGCCTCCACCTGTAGGGTAGGTGAGTCAGGTCACCCTGGAGGGCTACTGGGAAGAGGATCTGAGAAGTTGTATTGAATCCAGCATTGCTGGGCAGACCTAGCACTTTACACACGACCTAGATTCCACCTAGGGAGGGTGCCAGCCCTCTGCTGTACCCAGTGCCCCTCCTCTGCATCCCCATGACCACCCTGGGTGGGGAGGACAGAGATTGGGGAGCTCCTGTGGAGACACTAATGCTGGCCCCAGGCCCTGGTGGTGACAGTGATGAGGACCTGGGTGCACCTGTGAGTGGAGCACCTAGGCCTAGCCATAGAAGCAACACAAACACACACATGCACACAAAAACACACACACACATGCACAAACACGTTGCACACACACATCTCAGTTCAGGGGATAAGGGATACTGACTCTGTGCCCTGTTTATCCAAGCAGGCTCCCATTGTGATGGGTTATGTTGCCCCACGATGTCATCATTGCTGAGCCCCCAGTGCCTCTGTGTTGTGGAGCAGTTAGAGACACATGGCAGTGTCCTTGAGTGGCTCTGAGTGTGGGACCATTTTCTAGGTGATCACTCAGCATAGCTTACCGATCAGACTCAAGTGAATGGAACCTGCCCTCTTCCCTTCCTCCTGGCTTTGGAACAGTTGCTACCAGGTGAGTGGTTTTTCCCTCCAGACAGTTACTGAGAGTAATCCCTGAGCACTCACTGGGTGCCTGTTCTGTGCTGACAGTCATCTCATTCATCCTAACAGCAATTCCATTCTGCATCTTCTCTGGACACCCCCAGGACCATCCAGGACAACCCTGCCTGACACCAGGCCTAGTGTGGCTCCATGATAACAAAGACGCAGGTCCAGAGACAATCCCCCTACATGGTGCCTGCATCTGATTCCCCTTGGTGGGTAGTGACGATCACAACATGGAAGAAGCCAGGGCAGCTTGCAGCCAGCTGCTGTGCAGCCCCAGATGGCTCCTGGACCTTGGGAAGTAATTCTCAAAGGGGAAGCTGGTCACTTTGAGGTCCCTGGAGGGATGGGTGAATGTGGCATACTGGCAACGCTGACAGCCAGCAGCATGCCATACATCTCACCTAACATGTGGGACAGAGGCCCCCTCCAAGAGCACGAGTCTCATACATGAAGCATCCTGTCTCAGGCCTCATCCTGAGCCCTAGGAGGGGAGGGGTACCGTGGGCCACCAGCAGCAGCCAGGATTACCACACACGGGACTCAGTATTCTGTAGCCCTGGCCAGACTTAGAATTTGGCCCAAGACAGGACAATATCACTCGGAGCAGCATGTCGGTACTTGGGGTCTGTGCATGCCAGGCAAGACCAACCTGGCTCAAAGAGCAATCAGCCACCTCTATAAGGGTGTCCCAGGAGCAGGTGGACCAGCCACCAACCTCACCCACTCAAGGAAGCAGGGATAGCCAGGTTCCCACAGCCTGAGTGGCCACTACATAACAGCTGATGGAGTAGAGGCCTGAGGAAAGCAGATGGCACTGGGCCCTACCTCCAGGGTAGAGGAACTGATATATCTAGATTGGCAGCGTGTGAGGTTGGTGACTGGTCCACCTGCTCCTGGCACACCTTTGTGGAGGTGGCCGCTTGCTCTTTGAGCCAGTTTGGCCTTGCTGGCATGCACAGGCCTCAGTGCAACAACTGTGCTGCAAATGGAGCCACATGGAGGAAATGAGCAGCAGGCTCAGGAGCAGGCTGTGTGCTGCCTTTGGGGCTCCAGTCCATGTATCAGTTCTCACACAGCACTGAGGGCTTCTTGGGTGCCAAGAGGCAGACCACAGGTCATTTTGAGGAGGACTTTATGTCCAGATGCAGAAAGGGCCCAATCTGGTGGATGAACCACATGCCAGCTTCTGGGTGCAGGCACAGTGCCACATCTTCCATCACTTCCTGATATGTGCCCCACCAGCACTGAAGAGACAGCCTGGAAACAGGACAATATAAAGGCTGAGAAGGGTGAGATGGTGAGTGCCAGCTTCCAAATGACCCTGAGTCCACCCCCATGGTAGCCTTCAACCTTTAGGAATCGAATGCTACACCAAGAAGATGGACAACAGGGCACTCAACTCAACTTCACAGCCAATGAGTTGACATGCAAGCAGATGATGGTGGCAGGCTTTAAGAAGGAGCATCAGAAGGCAGGCAGTTTTTCTTCAGCCTCAGCCAGGCCTTGGAGCTGGACCAGGCCATCCACTTCACCAGAGGTGCCAGCAACACCATCAGTGAGCTCTCTGCCAATCTGTCCCAACAAGGCCTGGACCCCATGATGCACCTGTTATTGTTGTCTCAGGGACACCAGTCCAACGTCCTGGACATCATCCATGTACCCAAGGAAGCTCTTGCCAAAGTCATGGAAAGCAGGCAACATGTGGCAGAAAGGAAGCAGAAGTGCAGAGGCTGATGACATCAGGATCACGGTAACAGGATTTATTTGGCCACTTTGGCTGAAATTCACCACTTCCATCCAACTAAATTGAGAAACTTGAAATCACAAATGCAGTATTTCTTGCAACAAGAGATACTATTTTTCCAAAAAGTCACCCAGGAATTGAGAGTGTTGAATGACTAGATATTCAACTGCGGACTTTTTCCAGTTCAAGGATACCTTCTACAGCAGAATAATAACACTATCAAAGAGCCAGTGCCAGCTATTGTGGTAGTACAAGTATTGTTTTGTGTTAGACTAAAACCCAGCTGAATATTGACTTGTGCAGGAAGCAGTTAATATGGTGATAGAATAGAAACAGCACCAAACTAAATCATACTACAAATGCTTACACTACCTTTGTAACTTTTGGAAGAATGATAATACCATTTACTTCATTGCTTTTTGAAGTATGAATATTTTAGTGTATATGCTGTAGACCTTATATTTATGAAAAGTCTCAAAGAAGCTGGCTGGATAAAGCCTGCTGTAGATGGTTTTATACTGAAAGATTGATGATATGATTCAAATATGTGTCCCCACCAAATTTCATGTTGAATTATGTTTCCTAATGTTGAAGGTGGAAGCTGGTATGAGGTGATTGAATTATGAAAACAAATTTCTCATGAATGGTTTAGCACCATCACTTTGCTACTCTCCTTGTAATCATGAGTGACTTCTTGTGAGATCTGGTCATTGAAAACTCTATGCCACCTCCTTACTTTCCATGTTTTCCTCTTGCCATGTGAGAAAATTCAGTCTTTGTCTTCCACAATGATTGAAAGATTTCTGAGGCCTCCCAGAAGCAAAAGCCACTGTGCTTCCTGTACACTGCTGAATCAAGGGTCAGTTAAACCTCTGTTTCAAAATAAAGCACACAGAAAATGGCAAATGAGGATTGAACGATTGCTATGAAGATACCTGAAAGTGTGGAAGTAGCTTTGGAAGTAAGTAATGGGCAGAGGTTGGAAGATTTGAGATGGCTCAAGTGAAGACAGATAGATGGGAAAATTTCTGGACCATCTTAGAGACTGTTTAAATGGTTGTGACCAAAATGCTGACAGAAACATGGACAGTGAAGGCCAGGCTGAGAAAGGTCTCAGATTGAAATAAGAAGACTTCAAGAAAATGTCTTCCTTTTGGATACGGAAATCTTACACAATGCCTGTACCACTATTGTACCTTAGAAGCAGTGAACTTGCTTTCTATTTCAGCACCTCATAGGCAAAAGAGACTGTAGCCTTGGCTCAGATGGTACTTTGCACTTTCTAACTTTGAGTTAATGGTGGAATGAGTTAAGAATTTGGGAGACTGTTGGCAAGGGATGATTGTTTTTGCAATATGAGAAGGACATTAAATTCGTGGGAGGGACAGAATAATATGGTTTATCTCTACTTCCCTACCAGAACTCATACTCCCTAATGTTAGAGGTGGGGCCTAGGTAGAAAAAGATTTAATCATAAAAGGGTGAGGGTGGATCCTTCATGAATGGTAAAGCAACATGCCCTTAATGCTGTCCTCCTGATAGTGAGTTCTCATGAGATCTGGTTGTTTAAAAGGGGGTGGAACCTCTTTTCTTGCTCTGCCTTGCTCCCACTCTTGTTGTAGGAGACATCTCATTGTCCCTAAGCTGTCTGGTGTGATTGGGAAGCTCTCTGACTCTTCCCAGAAACAGAAGACACAATGCTTCCTTTACAGCCTGCAGAACACTCATTAAATTAAACCTCTATTATTTATGATAATACAGAAATTTGGTACTGCAGAGGGGAGCTGTGAAATGTCTTCAAGGCCTTTTCCCCTTTGACTTGGCTATCAGCACTGGGCTTCTTTATGTGCAAATTTCTGAAGACTTCTTGAATTTTTCCCCTTAAATGGGGTTTTGTGTTATTGCTACATAGTCAAGCTGTTACAGAGATACCTGAAAATGTAGAAGCACGTTCAGAAGTGGGTAACAAAGAATGGGAGAGTTTGGAGGGCTTAGAGGATGACAGAAAAATGAGGGCCTGGTGAGAATGATTTGATCATGAACAGGAGGTGGGTGAGAGTGGAAGAAAAAAGGGGTGGGTAGGATGGGGAGAAGTAGGTTGGCAGTAGGGTGGTGGGAGTGTGGAGGGTAGTAGGAAGGGGGAGTAGCCTGCTGTAGAGGCAGAGCCTCATGGAAAACCTCTATTAGGGCGTTGCACCTGTGGTTTTGCAGGGTTTAGCCTCCATGGCTGCTCTCATGGACGGGGTTGCTGTTGAGTGCCTGTAGCTTTTCCAGACTGAGGGTGCAAGCTGTTGGTGGGTATATGAATCTGGAATCTAGAGGATGCTGATCCCCTTTGTGGAAGCTCAAAGCCCACTATTTTCCTTCCGCACTGCCCTAGCAGAGGTTTTCCAAGAGGCTCTGCTTCTGCAACAGGCTTCTGCCTAGAAACCATGGTGGGTGAGGGTGGAGGATGGATCCTTTACTAATGGGTAAGCATCATCTTCTTGATGCTGTCCTCATGATATAGAGTTCTCATGAGATCTGGTTGGATTACAGGGTGTGGCACCACTTTCCTCTCTCTGTCTTGCTCCTTTTCCTGCCATGTGACACATCTCCTTGCCCCTTGACCTTTTGGTATGATTGGGAGGTTTCCTGATTCCCTCCAGAAGTAGAAGCCACTATGCATCCTTTACAGCTTGCAGAACCATGAGCCAATTAAACCTCTTTTCTTTATGATCATACAGAAAATATAGTACCTTGAAGTGGACCTAGGAAATGACTTCAAGGACTTTTCTCCATTTTCTTGGCAATCAGCAGTCAGCTTGTTTTCATGCAAATATCTGAAGCCTGGTTGAATTTTCCCCCTGAAAATGGATGTTTCTTCTTTTACGACATTCCCAGGCTGTGACAAAGCTGGAATGTAGAAGCAGGCTCAGAAGTGGGTAATGAACAGAGGTTGGGAGAATTTGGAGAGTTTAGAAGACAGGAAGATGAGGAAAAGTTTGGACCACTGTAGAGCATTTTACTAGTCATGTTCAGAAGGCTGACAGAAGCGTGGATAGTGAAGGCCAGACTTTGAAAGTCTCAGATGAATATGAAAAGCTTACTGGGAACAGGAGCCAAGGTCACTTTTGTTTTGCCTTAGCAAAGAAGGTGTCTGCTAGGTGAACCTGCCCTGGAGATTGGTGAAAGTTTGAACTTGCTGGTGATCATTTGGGGTGTAACTAGCAGAATGACCTTCTAAGCAGCAAAGCTCAAGAGGTATCCTGTCTGCATTGAACAGCCTGTGCTCTTAGGTGTGATCAAAGAAATGACTTCAAGTTGGAAATTATACTTAAATAAGAAGCAGAGCTTCAAAGTTAGAAAAATCTGCAGCCTCCTTAAGTGGTCAAAAACGAAAGCTGATTTTCAGAGGGAAAATCCAAGAAGGCTGTAGAAATTTACGTAAAATGGAGTCCAGTGCTAATAGCCAAGGCAATGGGGAAATGGCCTTGAAGGCATTTCAGAGACCTTTGTAGCAGCCCTTGCTGTCACTGGCCCTGAGGACTGTGAAAGAATAATGGTTTCCTGAAACAGCCACATGGCCTCACTGCTGTGTGCAGCCTCAGGACACTGCTGCCTGCATCCCTGCAGTGCCAGCTCCAGCTCTAGCAATGGCTGAAAGATGCACATGTACAGCTTGGGTCACAGCTTTGGGGCCTGCAAGCTATAAGCTTTGGTGGCTTCCACATAGTGTTCAGCCAGCGGGTGTGTAGAGCATGAGACAAGAGGCTTTGGAGCCTTTGTATAGATTTTGGAAGATGTATGGAAATGCCTGGGTGTCCAGGCAGAAGACTGCCAAAGGAGGAGAGCCTCATGGAAAACCTCTACTAGGGCAGTGCAGAAGGAAAATATGGGGTTGGAGCCTCCACACTGGAGGCCACCACTCTCAAAACCTCAGATTCATACACCCCCAACAGCTTGTACCCTTAGAGGGGAAAAGCTACAGGCACTCAACACCAGCCTAGCCCATGAGAGCAGCCATGGTCACTAAACAGTGCAAAGACACAGGTGCAGGTCTGCCCAAGGCCTTGGGAGCCCAGCCCTCACACCCCTGTGCTCTGGATTTGGGACAGTGAAGCAAAAAGGATGATTTTGGAGCTGTAGGATTGAAAGACTTGACTGCTGTGTTCTGGAATTTCATGAGGCCTGTAAGTCTCATCTGCTTTTGTTCTTTCTGGCAAAATTCTTCCTTTTGGCTGGGAATGCTTACCCATTGCCTGTGCAACCATTGTACCTTGGAAGTAGATAACTTGCTTTATATTTCAGAGGCTCATGGGCAGAAGGGAGTGTAGCCTGTGTCAGATGAGATTTTAAGCTATAAACAATTATGTAAATGCTGGAAAGGGTTAAGATTTGGAGGACTGTAGGGAAGGCAACATTGTATTGTGCAATGTGAGGAGGACACGAGATATTGGGGGCCAGGGCAAAATAATATGATTTTGCTCTGTGTCCCTACCAAAACTCATATGGAATTGTCATCGGGAATGTTAAAAGTGGGGCCTGGTGGAAGGTGATGTAATCATGGATGAGAGTGGGGGTTGGAAGTTGGGAGGTGGTTGGGAGAATGGCAGGGATTATGGTGGTGGGGGAGGGAAAGGTCGGGGTGGTGTGAATCCTTCACAAATGGTTAAACACCATCTCCTTCATGCTGTCCTCATGATAGTGATTCTCATGATGATTTTGGAGCTGTAAGATTGAATGAATAGTGGCTGGCTGGATTTTGGGCTTGCATTGGGCCTGTGGTCCCATTTGTGTTATTTTCCTGGGAAATTTCTTCCCTTTGGATTGAGAAAGCTTACCCAATACCTGTACCATCATTGTACCTTGGAAGAAAAGAACTCCTTTTTAAATTCAGGGACTCATTTGCAGCCTTATCTTATATGAGACAATGAACTTTTTACATTTGAATTAATGCTGAAATCAGTTAAGATTTTTGGAAACTTTTGAAAAGAAATGATTGTATTTTGCTCTGTGAGAAGGACATGAGATTCAGAAGGGTCGAGGTCAGAATAATACGGTTAGGGTATTTGTCCCTACCACAACTCATGTGGAATTGAAATCTCAAATGCTTGAGGTAGGGCCTGGTGGGAGGTGATATAATAATGGAAGGGAGGGGGGTGGGGGTGCAAGGAAAAAGGGGTGGGTAGGGTGGGGAAAAGTAGGTTTTCAGTAGGGTGGTGGGAGGGTGAAGGGTAGTAGGAAGCAGAGTAGCCTGCTGTAGAGACAGAGCCTCATAGAAAAACTCTACTAGGGCAGTGTGCCGTGGATTCACAGGGTTTAGCCCCCGTGGCTGCTCTCATGGGCTGGGCTGGTGTTGAATGCCTGTAGCTTTTTCACATTGAGGGTGCAAGCTGTTGGTGGGTCTATGAATCTGGGGTCTGGAGGATGGTGGCCCCCTGTGTGGGGGCTCCACGCCCATATTTTCCTTCTGCAGTGCCCGAGTAGCAGTTTTCCAAGAGGCTCGGCCTCTGCAGCAGGTTCTGCCTGAAAACAGTGGTGGGTGGGTGTGGGAGAAGATCCCTCACCCATGGTTAACCACCGTCTTCTTGATGTGGGCCTCATGATAGTTCTCATGAGATCTGGTTGTATAAAAGCATGTGGCACCTCTTTCCTCTTTCTGTCTTTCTCCTACTCCTGCCATTTGAAACATCTCATTGCTCCTCAGCCTTCTGGTATGATTGGGAGGCTTCCTGGGTCCTCCCAGAAACAGAAGCCACTCTGCTTCCTTTACATCCTACAGAAACCAGAGCCAATTTAACCTCTTTTCTTTATGATCACACAGAAAATTAGTACTGCAAAGTGGAGCTATGAAATGCCTTCAAGGCCTTTTCTTCATTATCTTGCCTGTTAGCATTGGCCTACCTTTTTTATGCAAAGATCTGAAGCTTTCTTGAATTTTCTCCCTGAAAATGGGGTTTTCTTCTTTTACCACATTGCCAGGTGTGACTAAATTAGCTGAAAATGTAGAAGCAGGTTCAGAAGTGGGTAACAGCCAAAGGTCAGAGAGTTTGGAGGGCTTTGAAGAAGATAGGGACATGACAGAAAGTTGGACCTATTGTAGAAATGTTTTAAATAATTATGATTAAAAGGTTGACAGATGTATAGTGAAGGCCAGGCTTAGAAGGTCTCAGTTGAAAATGAGGAAGTTATACTGGGAATAAAAGCCCAGGTCACTTTTGTCTTACCATAGCAAAGAACTTAGCCGACTGGTGACCCTGCCCTCAAGATATGTGAATCTTTGATCCTGAGGGTAAAGATTTAGGGTGTATCTGGGTGGAATGAACTTCTATGCAGCAAAGCTCAAGAGGTGTCCTGTCTGTGTCAAACAGCCTGTGCTCTTACGTGTGACTGAGGAAATGACCTCAAGTTGGAACTCATATTTAAGTGAGAAGCTGAGCTTAAAAGTTTGGAAAATTTGCTGCTGGCCAAGTGGTCAAAAAGAAAAGCTGATTTTCAGGAGGGAAAATTTAAGAAGTCTTCAGAAATTTGCATAAAAAGGAGCCCAGCGCTAATAGCCAAGACAATGAGAAAAAGGCCTTGAAGGCATTTCAGAGACCTTTGCAGCAGCCCTTAGTGTCACAGGCCCTGGGGCCTAAGAGAGAAGAATGGTTTCCTGGGCCAGACCCATGGCCCTGCTGCTGTGTGCAGCCTCAGGACACTGCACCTTGCATCCCTACAGCTCCAGCTCCAGCTTCAGCCCTGGCTCAAAGATGCACAGGTACAACTTGAGTCACTGCTTCAGAGGGTGCAAGCTATAAGCCTTGGTGGCTTCTGCATAGTATTAACCCATTGGGCACACAGAGCCCACGACTAGAGTCTTGGGATCCTCCTCAAAGACTTCAGAAGATGTATGGGAATGCCTGTGTGTCCAGGCAGAAGCCTGCCCAAAAGGAGGAACCTCATGGGAAACCTCTACTATGGAAGTGCAGGAGGAAAATATGGGTTGGATCCCCCACACTGGTTTGTCATTGGGAATGTTAAAGGTGGGGACTGGTGGAAAATGATTTAATCATGGATGAGAGTGGGGACTGGAAGGTCGGGGGTGAGGAGAATGGGACGGATGATGGTGGGAGTGGGAGGTGAAATTTGGAAGTGTGGGGGGGATCCTTCAAAAATGGTTAAACACCATCTCCTTAATGGTGTCCTCATGATAGTGATTTCTCATAATTATTTTGGAGCCGTTAGATCGAATGATTACTGTCTTGCCGGGTTCTGGACTTGCATTGCGCCTGTGGTTGCTTTCGTGTTATTTTTGTGGGAAATTTCTTCCTTTTGATTGAGAAAGCTTACCCAAAGACTGTACCATCATTGCACCTTGAAAGAAAATAACTCCTTTTGAATTCAGGGACTCATCAACAGAAGGGACTGTAGCCTTGTCTCAGATGAGACTTTGAGCTTTTAACATTTGAGTTCACGCTGGAATGAATTAAGACCTAGGAAACTTTTGAAAAGGCATGACTGCATTTTGCTCTGTGAGAACAACATGGGATTTCCAGGGGTCAAGGTCAGCATAACACGGTTTGTCTGTGTGTCCCTACCAAACCTTATGTGGAATTGTAATCTCAAACCCCAGAGGTGGGGTCTGGTGGACGGTGATTTGATCATGGATGGGAGTGGCGTGGGGGTGGAATGAAAAAGTGGTAGGTGGGGTGAGGAAGAGTAGGTTTTTCAGTAGGGTGGTGGGAGGGTGGGGGTAGTAGGAAGTGGGAGTAGCCTGCTGCAGAGGCAGAGCCTCATGGAAAACCTCTACTGGGGCAATGCACCTGAGGCTTTGCAGAATTTAGCTCCTGCAGCTGCCCTCAAGGGCTGAACTGGTGTTGAGTGCCTGTAGCTTCCTCACACTGAGGGTGCAAGCCATTGGTGGGTCTGTGAATCTGGTGTCTGGAGGATTGTGTCCTGTGCGGGGGCTCCAAACCCATATTTTCCTTCTGTATTGCCCAAATAGAGGTTCTCCAAGAGGCTCTGTCTCTTCCATAGGCTTCTGCCTGGAAACAGTGTTGGTTGAGGGTGGGGGGTATATCTTTCACCTATGGTTAAGCACCACCTTCTAGATGCTAACTTCATGATAGTGAGTTCTCATGATATCTGGTTGTATAACAGCATGTGACACATTTTTCCTCTCTCTGTCTTGCTCCTACTTCTACCACATGAAACTTCTCATTGCCTCTTGGCCTTCTGGTATGATTGGCAAGCTTCCTGAGTCCTCTCAGAAGCAGAAACCACTCTGCTGTTTTTACAGCCTGTAGAACCCTGAGCAAATTAAACCTCTTTTCTTGGCCTGGCATGGTGGTTCATGCCTGTAATCACAGCGCTTTTGGAGGCTGAGGTGGGCAGATCATGAGGTCAAGAGATCAAGACCATCCTGGCAAACAGGGTGAAACCTTGTCTCTACTAAAAAAAAAAAAAAAAAAAAAAAACCAAAAAACAAAAACCTGGGCCTGGTGGTGCACACCTGTATTCCCAGATACTCAGCAGACTGAGGCAGCAGAATCACTTGAACCTGGGAGGTGGAGGTTGCAGTGAGCCAAGATCGGACCACTGCACTCCAGCCTGGTGACAGAGGGAGATTCCATCTCAAAAAATAAATAAATAAAAATAAAATACTCTTTTCTTTATGATCATACCAAAAATTAGTATTGGGAAGTGGAGCTATAAAATGCCTTCATGACCTTTTCCCCATTGTCTTGGCTATTAGCACTGGGCTGCTTTTATATGCAAATATATGAACCCTTGAATTTTCCCCCTGAAAGTGAACTTTTCTTCTTTTACCACATTGCCAGGTTGTGACAAAGATCACTGAAAATGTAGAAGCTGGTTCAGAATATTGGTAATAAAGCTCAAAATCCTGAGGAAATTGAACACTCAAATAAAGGATTCTTAGCAAAGCAATTTTACTTCTGCACAGAGGGGTGCTTCTCCTTGGCCAGTCACCATGAGAGCACATCTGAACAAAGGGGCATGAGAGCCTTTATTCCTGATGCAATTCCTGCCCCTGTACCCTTTTCCCATTGGCCAGGGTCAGGTCACACAATCTGAACTAATCCTGGTTGGCTAAACATTTGAACTTTCTTTAGATAAAGTGGGCACATAAGGGAGAGAGGGGAAAAGGGGAAGGGGTGTCTGCAATGACCTAGAGAGGTAGTCTTTTTTCCAAATAAGGAAAGGAATGTGAACTTGTACTGATAAGCCTGGTACTGTGGTGTGTCTGGGCATGTAACAAAGGCAGAAAGGAAAAAAGACAAAAAGGAAAAGGGGGTGAGCATGGGTAATATGAATGAATAAAGGATTGATCAGGCTATTTGAAGAGAAACCTCATCATATCACACAAGAAGTGAGTAATGGCCAGAGGTCAGAGAGTTTGGAGGGCTTGGAAGAAGACAGGAACATGAGGGAAAGTTTGACTCATTGTAGAGACTTGTTAAATAATTTTAATTAAAAGGCTGACAGAAGGACATACAGTGAAGCCAGGCTTAGAAGGTCTCAGATGAAAATGAGGAACTTACTGGGAACAGAGCCAAGGTCACTTTTGTTTTGCCGCAGCAAAGAATGTGGCTCCACAGTGACCCTGCCCTTGAGATCTGTCACTCTTTGAACTTGAGAGTGATGATATAGGGTGTATCTGGTGAAATGAACTTCTAGGCAGCAAAGTTCAAGAGGTGTCCTGTCTGTGTCAAACAGCCTGTACTCTTATACGTGACTGAAGAAATGACCTCAAGTTGGGACTCATATTTAAATGAGAAGCTGAACTTAAAACTTTGGAAAATTTGTAGCCTGGCCAAGTAGTCAAAAACAAAAGCTGATTTTCAGGAGGGAAAATTCAAGAAGGCTTCAGAAATTTGCATAAAAAGGAGCCCAGTGCTAACAGCCAGGGCAATGAGGAAAAGGCCTTGAAAGCAATTCAGAGCTCTTTGCAGCCACCCTTACTGTCACAGGCCCTGGGGTCTATGAGAGAAGAATGGTTTCCCGGGCCAGACCTATGGCTCCACTGCTGTGTGCAGCCTCAGTTCCAGCTCCAGCCATGGGTCAAAGAGGCGCAGGTACAACTTGTGTTACTGCTTCAGAGGATGTATTCTATAAGCCTTATTGTCTTTTACATAGTGTTAAGCCAGCGGGCACACAATGCATGAGTCTACAGGCTTGGGAGCCTCTGTCTAGATTTCAGAAAATGTACAGAAAAGCCTGGATATCCAGGCAGAAGACTTTCCAAGAGGCAGAGCCTCATGGGAAACCTCTGCTAGAGCAGTGCAGATGGAAAATATGGGGTTGGAGCCACCCCTAGAACCTTGGGTCTGGAAGCAGGCCACCATCTTCCAGACCCCAGATTCATAGACCCACCAACAGCTTGCACCCTAAGTGTGGGAAAGCTACAGGCACTCAACACCAGCCCCAGTCTGAGAGCAGCCACAGAAGCTAAACCCTACAAAGCCACAGGTACAAAGCTACCCAAGGCCCTAGGAGTCCCACTCTCAGTCCTGTGTGCCCTGGGTGTGGGATATAGGTTCAAAGAAGATGATTTTGGAGCTGTAGTGTAGCAGGAGAAGCCTCAGACAAAACCCCTCAGATACCAAGTTAAAGAAGGAAGGGATTTATTTGGCCGGGAGCTTCAGCAAGATTCATGTCTCCAACAACCGAGCTCCCTGAGTGAGCAATTCCTGTCCCTTTTAAGGGCTCACAACTCTAAGGGGGTCCACATGAGAAGGTCGTGATTGATTGAGCAAGCAGAGGGTACGTGACTGGGGGCTGCTTACACCAGTGATTAGAATGGAACAGAACAAGACTGGGATCTTCACAGAACTTTTTTAACGCAAGTAACTGATTAGGTCGGGGTCGATCTTTAACTACCAGACCCAGGATGTGGCGCCAGGCTGTCTGCTTGTGGATTTCATTCCTGCCTTTTAGTTTTTACTTCTTTTTTCTTTGGAGGCAGAAATTGGGCATAAGAAAATACTAGGGGTGGTCTCCTCCCTTAGTAGGATTGAATGACTGGCCTGCTGGGTTTTGGACTTGGAAGGGGCCTGTAAATCTCAGCTGTATTTTGTTCTACTTTCTCCAAAATTCTTCCTTTTGAATTTGAAACGCTTTCCCAATCCCTGCAGTCATTGTGTCTTGGCAGTAGTTAACTCGCTTTATATTTCAGAGACTCATGGGCAGAAAGAACTGTAACACTGTCTCAGATGAGACTTTGGGCTTTGGACATTTGAGTAAATGCTGGAATGAGTTAAGATTTGGGGGACTGCATAGAAGGCATCATTATATTTGACAACATAACTAGAACACGAGATTTGGGGGCCAGTGGCAGAATAATATGGTTTTGCTGTGGGTCCCTTCCAAATCTCGTGTGGAATTGTCATCCTGGATGTTGGAGGTGGGACCTAGTGGAAGGTGATTTAATGATGTTCTGGAGTGTGGGGTGGAAAGTGGGGAAGGAGTGAGGAGCATTGTGAGGAGTATGGTGGGTGGTGGGGAGTGAAATGTGGGGATGGGATCCAGATCTTTCATGGGTGCTAAACACCATTTCCTTAATGCTGTCCTCACATGAGTGAGTTCTTGTGATGATTTTGGAGCTGTAAGATTGAATGAATACTGTCCTGCTGAGTTTTGGACTTGCATTGGTTCTGTGGTCTCATTTGTGTTATTTTTCTGGCAAATGTTTTCTTTTTGGATTGGGAATGCTTATGCAATGCCTATATCATCATTGTATCTTGAAGGAAGAGAACTTTGTTTTTAATTCAGAGGTTCCTTGGCAGAAGGGATTGTAGCCTTGTCTGAGATGAGAGTTTGTACTCTATACATTTGAGTTAATGCTGAAATGAGTTAAGAATTTGGAAAACATTTGAAAATGCATGATTTTGTTTTCCATTGTGAGGAGGACATGAGATTTTGGGGGCCAAGGACAGAATAATGTGGTTTGGCTGTGTGATCCTACCAAAACTCATGTGGAATTGTAATCTCAAATGTTGGCAGTGGGGCCTGGTTGGGGGTGATTTAATCATGGACAGGAGGATGGTGGACCTGGAAGGAAACAAGAGTGGATAAAGCAGAGAGGAGTAGGTTGGTAGTAGGGTGGTGAGAAGGTAGGGGTTAGTAGAAAGAGGGACTAGCCTGCTGCAGAGGCAGAGGCTCATGGAAAACCTCTACTAGGGCAATGCATCTGTGGCTTTTCAGAGTTTAACCCCCATGGCTGCTCTCATGGGCTGGGCTGATGTTGAGTGCCTGTAAGTTTTTCACACTGAGGGTGCAAGCTGGTGGTGGGTCTATGAATCTGGGGTCTAGAGGATGGTGGTCTCCCACGTGGGGGCTCCAAGTCCATATTTTTTTCTGCATTGCCTTAGTAGAGGTTTTTCAAGAGGCTCTGTGTCTGCAGCCAGCCTCCGCCTGGAAAGAGCAGGGGGTGGGATGGGGGTTGCATTCTTCACCAATGGTTGAGCACCATCTTCTTGATGCTGACCTCGTGAGAGTGAGTTCTCATGAGATTTGCTTATATAATAGGATGTGACACCACTTTCATCTCTCTGTCCTGCTCCTCCTTTTGCCATATGAAATATCTCTTTGCCCTTGGCCTTCTGTTATGATTGGGAGGCTTCCTGAGCCCTCCCAGAAGCAGAAGTCACTGTGCTTTCTTTACAGCCTGCAGAACCCCGAGCCAGTTAAACCTCTTTTTAAAATAACATGGCAGAAAACTAGTACTGTAGAGTGAAGCTATGAAATTCCCTCACGGCCTTTTCCTCCTTCTTTTGCATCAGCACTTGCCTCCTTTCTTATTCAAATATCTGAAACCTTGTTGAATTTTCCCCCTGAAAATGGATGTTTCTTCTTTTACCACATTGCCAGGCTGCAGCAAAGATACCTTGCAGGTTCAGAAGTGGGTAAAGGACAGACAATGGAGAGTTTGAAGGGCTTAAGAGAATACAGCGAAATGGGGGAAACTTTGAACCACTGTAGACTTGTTAAATAGTTGTGATCAAAAGGCTGACCGAAGAATAGACAGTAAAGACCAGGATTAGAAGGTCTTAGATGAAAATGAGAGAGTTACTGGGAACAGAGGCCAAGGTTAGTTTGTTTTGTCATAGCAAAGAATGTTGCTGCATGGTGCCCCTGTCCAGGAGACGTGTGAAATTTTGAACTTGAGGGTGATGACTTAGGTAGTATGTGGTGAAATGAACTTCTAAGGAGCAAAGCTCAAGAGGTGTCCTGCCTGCATTGAACTACCTATGCTCTTATGTGTGACCAAACAAATGACCTCAAGTTGAAATTTGTGTTTAAATGAAAAGCTGAGCTTAAAAGTTTGGAAAATTTGCAGCCTGGCCAAGTGGCAAAAAAAAAAAAAAAAAAAAAAAAAAAAAAAAAGCTGATTTTCAGGGGGGAAATTAAAGAAGGCTTCAGAAATTTGCATAAAAAGGAGCCCAGTGCTAACAGCCAAGACAATGGGGGAAAAGGCTTGAAGGCATTTCAGAGACCTTTGCAGCAGCCCTTGGTATCACTGACCCTGGGACCTATGAGAGAAGAATGGTTTCCTCTACCAGACCCCTGGCCTTGCTTCTGTGTGTAGCCTGAGGACACCACTGCCTGCATCCTGCAGCTCCAGCTCCAGCTGCAACTCCAGCTCCAGTCATGGTTCAAAGATGTACAGGTACAGCTTGGGTTACTGCTTCACAGGGTATAATTTGAGGGGGACCAGGGGCAGAATCATATAATTTGGCTGCATTTTCCTACTAAAACTGACATCATATCATAATATTTCATGTTGGTGGTTGGGTCTGGATGCCAAGGTGAGGAGAGGTGAAAAGTGGGGATGGTGTTCAGAGTTTGCAGGACTAGAGTGGTGGGCTCGGAGCTTATTTGGAGAGAGGGGTATTGTACATTTTCAGGGCATGGGGGTGGGGCGCAGATTCTTTACCAATGGTTAAGCACCATCTCCTTGATGCTGTCCTCATGATATTGAGTTCTCATGAGATTTGCGGGGTTTTTTGTTTGTTTTTTTTTATAGTGTGTGGCACCACTTTCCTCTCTCTCTTGCTCTTACTTTGGCCATATGGGACATCTCTTTGCTCCTTGGCCTTCTGGGATAATTGGGAAGCTTCCTGAGTCCTGCCAGATGTAGAACCCACTTTGCCTTCTTTACAGTCTGCAGAACCATGAGGCAATTAAACCTCTTTTCTTTATGATCATAGAGAAAATTGGTACTGTGGAGTGGAGCTATGAAATGCCTTCAAGGCCCTTTTTCCATTGTCTTGGCTATTAGCACTCAGGTTTTGTTTTATGCATATATCTAAGCCTTCTTGAATTTTACTTCTGAAAATGGACTTTTCTTCTTTTACCTCATTACCTGGCTTTGACAAATATACCTGAAAATGTAGAAGACAGCTTAGAAGTGGGTAACAGACAGAGGCAGAGAGTTTGGAGGTCTTAGAAGAACAGAATAAGATAAAAGAAAGTTTGGACCATTGTAGAGACTTGTTAAATAGTTGTGATTAAAAGGTCAACAGAAGAATGGACAATGAAGGCCAGAGTGAGGAGGTCTGAGGTGGAAATCAGGAACTTACTGGGAACAGAAGCAAAAGTTACTTTTGTTTGGCATTAACAAAGAAAGTGACTGCATGGTGGCCCCGCCCTGGAGATCTGTGAAACTCTGAACTTGAGGGTGATGATTTAGGGTATATTCGGTGGAATGAACTTCTAACTAGCACAGCTGTAGATATGTCCCACCTGTGTCAAACAGCCTGTTCTCTTATGTGTGGACCAAAAAATGACTTCAAGTCAGAACTTACCTTTAAATGAGAAGTGGAGCTTAAAAGTTTGGTAAATTTGCAGGCTTTTTTCTCAAGTTATGCATTTTTAGAATGACATGAGGTTTGGAGGGACGGGGCAGGGTAATATGGTTTGGCTTCATGTCCCTGCCAAAACTGATGTCAAATTTTAGTTTTTAATGATGAAGTTTGGACAGTAGGTGTTGATGGACTCATGTGGGTGGGTTATTAATGAATGGTATAGCACCATCCCCTTGATGCTGTTTTCATGATAGTGAGTGAGTTTTTATGAGATCTGGTTGTTTATAAGTGGGTTGTACCTCTTTTTCTGTTTTGCTTCTGTGCTTATTATATGAGATGTCTCAGTCTTTTTTTTGCCCTCCTTTCTGACTTGAAGTTTCATGAGGCCTCTCAGAAGTGGAAACTACTATGCTTTTTATACAAGCTGCATAACTATGAGGCAGTTAAAACTTATTTTCACATGATAACACTGAAAATAGGTGCTGAGGAGTGAAACACTTGACTAAAGATACCTGACAATATGGGAAGAGGTTTGGGTCTGGGTAGTGGGCAGAGGTTAGAGTTTGGCATGCTCAGTAGGAGATGGGGATTTAAGGGGAATTTTGGAACATCTTTGAGATTGTTTAAATGATTATGATCAAAATGTTGACAGAAATGCTGACAGTGAAGGCCAGGTTAGGTGGTCTCATAGGGAAATGAGGAATTTAGTGGGAATTGGAACAAAGGTCACTTTTGTCTTGCCTTAGCCAAAAATGTGGCTGCTTTGTGCCCATTTTATAGGGATGTTTAAAACTTTGAACTTAAGTGTGATAATTTAGAATATCTAGCATAATAAATTTATAAGCAGTGAAGCATTCAAGAGGTTGTGTGTCTGCTTCTAATTGCCTGTCTTCATATGAGTGAGCATAGAAATGACCTAAAGTGTGAATTTATATTTAAAGAGAAAGCAGAGATTAAAAGTTTGGAATATATGTAGTCTGGACATGTGGTAGAACAGAAAGCCCATTTTTAGGGGAGTAATTTTGGATGACTTCAGAAATTGGCATATGTAAAAAGGAGCCAAGTGGTAATAGCCAAGACAATGGGGGAAAGGCTTCCAAGGCATTTGAGAGAGCTTTGCAGCATCTGCTTTCATCACAGGTTCTGAGGCCTAGGAGGAAAGAATGGTTTCATGGGCCAGGCCCAGGGCCTTACATCCCCGCACAGCCTCAAGAGACCGCTTCTTGCATTTCATCTGCTTTCTCTCCAGCTCAAGACATATGTCAAAGGGGCCCAGGTATGACTCATTTTACTTCATCAGATGTTTAAAGCCAGAAGCCTTGGTGACGTCTATGGTTTTTTTTTTTTTTTTTTTTTGAGACGGAGTCTTGCTCTGTTGCCCAGGCTGGAGTGTGGTGGCATGATCTTGGCTCACTGCAAGCTCTGCCTCCTGAGTTTATGCCATTCTCCTGCCTCAGCCTCCTGAGTAGCTGGGACTACAGGTGCCCATGACCACACCCAGCTAAATTTTTGTATTTTTTAGTAGAGATGGGGTTTCACCATGTTAGCTGGGATGGTCTCGATCTCCTGACCTCGTGATCCACTCACCTTGGCCTCCCAAAGTGCAGGGATTACAGGCATGGGCCACTGCACCTGGCCCTCTATGTGGTTTTAAGTCTGCAGGTGCACAGAGTCTGCAGGTGCACAGAGGCTTGGAGCCTCCACTCGGAACCCCCACCTAGATTTTAGAGGATGTATGCAAAAGACTGAGTGTCCAGGTAAGAGCTGACTCTAGGGATGTGGCTGTTATCAAGAATCTCTTCTAGGGCAGTGCAGAGGGAACATGTTGGGTTGAGCCCCCAACACAGAGTTTCCACCGGGGCACTGCCTAATGATGCTGTGAGAAAGGAGCTACCATCCTCCACATCCCAGAATGGTAGTTGCACCAGCAACCTGCACCCTGAGTGTGGAAAAGCCACTGGCACTTAATGCCTGCTCAGCTTGTTACTGCAGACATGGGGGTGGAACCCTGCAAAGCAACAGGAGTAGAGTGGCCCAAGCCCTTGGGAGTCCACCCCTTACACCAGTGTGTCCTCAAAGTGGGACATGGAGTCAAGATTATTTTGGAACTTCAACATTTTATGACAGCCCTGCTAGGATTTAGACTTGCATGGGGCCTGTAGTCCTGTGGGGTTTTTTTAAGCAAATTTTTTCCTTTTGGATTAGGAATGTTTTGCCACTGCCTGTACCCTTATTATATCATGGAAGTAACTAACTCATTTTTTTATTTTACAGTCTCATAAGAGAATGGAAGTCTAGCCTTGTCTCAGATGAGACTTTGAACTTTGGACCTCTGAGTTAATGTTGGAATGAGTTAAGAATTTGGGAGAGTATTGGGAAGGCATGATTGTATTTTTCAACGTGAGAAGGACATGAGATTGACAGGTCAGGGGCAGGATAATATGATTTGGCTCTGTGCCTCTCCCAAAACTTGTGTCAAACTCATGTAATCCCTAATGTTGGAGGTGGGGCCTGGTGGCAGGTGACTGAATCATAGGGGTGGATGCTTTATTAATGGTCTACCATCTTTGTTTCTGTCTTGATCCTGCTCCCACCATATGAAACATCTTAGTTCTCCTTTGCCTTCTGCCATGTTTGGAAGGTTCCTGAGGTTTCCCCAGAAGTAGAAGCTGCTGTAATTCCTCTACAGCATGAGCCAATTAAACCTCTTTTCTTTATATGTTACCTAGTCTCAGGTATTTCTTTATAGCAATGTGAGAACATACTATACAATTGAAATTACCTAAATTCAGTCTGTTCTCTATTTAGGTCCTAGAGCAGCATTGCTACTCTGTGCTTTTAAATTTATCTGCACACCTTTTTTTTCTTAGTGAAAGGCTGAAAGGTGAGTACACATAAAACAGAGTGATGATCATACATTGGCAGTGGAGGTTGTGGGATCGAGGATCAGCTGCCAACAAATTGGACAGCTAGTATTATGATCTGATAAAATGCTGGGACATGCAGAGGTGTGAGATTCAGTGCACATCTTTTACATGAAGTCTGTTAGAAAAGAAATAATGCACTGTGTTCCCTTAGAGGCAGCTGTAGCATCATCTCGTCATGCAAGTGTCCTGAAACTTAGTTTGATAATTTCAGCAAATGTGTCTTCTGGCATGAGAAGGAGGATTCTCTTCTGTCAGAGAATTAAAGTGTAGAAGCAGTGATGACACGCACTTGGTTTCAGTTCTTAGGAGAGTTTCGTTTTTGATGTTTTAGCTTGAAGATTTTCCTTCAGTAGTGTTTTTAAAATGAATCTATACTGGTAACTGATAAAGACTCTACTATGCAATTCACTCATTGAATTAAAAAATTTCCAAGGTTGTCTGTAAATCTCAGGGTTCTATGTCATGAAAACTGGTATCGGTTGATGTAAGGAGGAACCAGAAATAATTTATTTCCAGTACTGAAGAAAAAATAATTGATTTATAGTTTGATTTTTAAAAAGTATTGATAAGTCCCCAGAACATTTAATCTTGAAAATATTTTAAATTTTAAAAGGATTATAATGCAAATAAAAATAGCTGATAAATATGAAGATTCAAAAGGAGCTTAATTTAAAAAGCACAAAGAGATTGTCTTGCATTGCTGAAATCTCAATATTTTTATAGTTCCTGGGCTAAATAATTTGATGTTGAGTTTACAGATTTAAAAACTGTGGCTGAAAGGTTAAAGTCTCTACTATTTATATGAAGTCCAACTTATGCTGCCCCAAATCCCTGGGTACTGAAATTGTAACAAGTCAAATTGAAACACTGATGAATAACAATGATGAAATAAAATGATCCGTTTGCAGATAGTCATAAAAAGAAGAGATTACTAAAATCATCATGCAGCAGCACATTGACTCTCAGAAGTAATTTCTTATGGGTTGAATTTTAAGATCAGATTCTCATAATTTTGATATTTGCTCAAAACTTCGTCCCTTAGGTTACTTAGAGCCAGATTTAACATCAGGTGGTGTTGTCTGTACTACACACATGTAGACTGTAACCAGAAATATTGTTCTCTAAAAACAAGATCGAACAACTACCAAAAACTAATTCAGCTCCTAGGACTGAAGAAAACTGGGCAAGTGAGGTTCAGGAGGCCAGGTGCCTACCTCTGCCATCCTTGGCAGTTGCATTTTATGGTAAGAAAACATCAAGATGGCACCACTCACTGAAAGGAGGCTCCAAGTTGGGAACCAGAGGTACCAGCTTAGATTCCTTAATCCCTAAGAAGGCCTCCCTCTCAAAGACAAAGACCCCTTCCTTGGCCTCAAGTCCTCATTCTTGTTGGTTAAACACAATTAATTCTTCATCATTATCACCTGCCTGTTTTTTGACTTGCCCAGAGCTCTGAAGGAAACCCTGGACACTCTGCGGCAAGCGCGAAGAGAGGGCTGTGCAGCCCAGGCCCCTGATCAGCTTCTCCCAGCCTTTCCCTCCCAAAGGCTATAGCAGGGCTGAGTGCCAACATGGACCTGCAGAGGCCTGGGAGGGGAGCAAATGGCTGGGGTTCTTGTGGCATTTGGGATGTTCATGACAGTTAGTGCAAAGCATCCATGGCAGGATCTGTTGTCACCTCTCTCCACCATCCCTGGATTGCCAGGCTCCAGTGGCCTTTCTTTCCTCTCTTCTTCTCTGCCCTCCCTCCCTCCATTTCCTCCCTCCCTCTCTCTTCCTCTCTCTCCTTCTGTCTTTTCTTCCCTCCTGTTTTCCCTTTTTCTTCCTTCACATCTATGCCTCCTCCCAGTATCTGGCAGCCCCATGTCCTCAGCCTGTGCTGGGTGAGTCTGATGAACTCAGACAGGATGTATAGGAGGGGCTTTCATCAGTTCATCCTGGGCAGCTGTTCTAGAAGTGACTACGATGGGGCAAATGCATGGGTACGTGTGTGTGAGTATGCACAAGTGCGTGTGTGTGCCTGTGCATGCCTGTTGACCACATGTCTTCTCTAAGTTTGTGTCCATAACTCCAGAGGACCCCAGGTGTGCTCTCGATGTCATGTTCAGGGATCAAGCACAGCTCCTGCTGGTGGGAATTGCACTGTGTGACACTTTCCTCAGGGACCTGGGGGTGTCAGATCCCAGTAGTCTCCCAGTAGGCTTTCAGATAGGTCAGAAAGATGTTCTATTGTTGTTTTATTTTCTTTTTTTCATCCATGGTTTTACTACCTTCTTCTTCTTAGTGATTTTTCATGAAGGGACATCTGGGTTGGGGAAAGGTAGCTAATAAGAAATGATGTCACCATAAAATAGCAAAGAGTCTCCTGGCTCTGTGGGGACAGTCTTCATATGGTCCCTGGCCCAGCCTCGAGGGCCCTGGTCCAGTCACCTTATGGCCTCTGTGCTGTGTCCCTAGATCTGGGCTCTGTGGGAAAGACCCTGGGAGACCCAGCAGAATGGAGTACCTTGTGTGCCAAATGTCCCCCCTTTACTCTGGCTCTATGACTCTTTCTCCCTGTGTCCTGGAGGAGAGGACCTGTCTGGAGAAGACCCTCAGGGCCTGGCCCTGTCGATTAAGATAGGAGGGAAGGGTCTGTGGCCTGAGGCAGGGCATTGGAAGGGAATTTTGAGCACTGCTGCTCAGGTGCCTGGTCACTGGGACCCAGTGTTTCCCTTGTCAGCAGGGGCCTGGTCAGTGGGACTGTGGTCAGGGGACTATTGATCAGTGTGGCCTATTCTGTGAGGACATGGTTAGGGGGAACCTGGTCAGTGGGAACATTTTTAGGGGGATCAGTCAGTGGGGACCAGGTCAGTGAGGACCTGGTGAGCGGAGGCCTGGTCAGTGGGACCTGGGCATCGGGGCCTGTTCAGTGGGGACCTGCTCAGTGGAGATGTTTTCACTGTGGTCCCCCTCAGTGGGACCTAGACAGTGGGGGCCTGATCAGCGAGACCTGGTCAGTGGCAACCTGATCTGTGGGAACGTGGTCACTGGGGACCTGGTTAATAGAAACCTGGTCAGTGATGGCCTAATGAGTGAGGTCTTGATGAGTGGGGAACCTTGTCAGTGAAGGCCTACTCAGTGGGGTTAGTCACTTTTGACCTGACAGTGAGCACCTGGCCACTTTGGCCTTGCCAGTGGGGGCTTGGTAAGAGGGGCCTGATCAGTGTGGGCCTGCTTAGTGGACCTAGTCAGTTGGGACATTGTCAGTGAGGTCTATTTAGTGGGGTCCTGGTCACCATGGGCTGGGTCCCTGATGACCAGGTCATGGGGCTCTATTCAGTGGAGGCCTGGTCACATGGGACCTAGTCAGCAGGGCCTGGTGGGCATGTCCTCATCAGTGAAGCCCTTGTCAGTGGGTCCATGGTTAGGGCATCCTGGTCAATGGATCATAATCAGCAAGGGCCTGGTCAGAAGAGAATTGGTCAGAGGGGACTTGGTCAGTGGTGGCTTTTGTAGCACTGGTCTAATCAGTGGTGACCTGGTCAGCGGGGATCTGAGCAGTGAGTGCCTGTTCAGTGGGGCCTACTCACTAGGGTTCTAGTCATGGACATCTGGCCACCTCAGGCCTGGCCAGTAGGGGCCTCATCTGTGGGACCAGGCAATGGGGTCATGATTGGTGGAACCTGGTGACTGAGGCCTTGTCAGTAAGGACCTGGTCAGTGGAGTCCTGGTCAGTTAGGCCTTGTCAGTAAGGTCCTGGGCAGTGGGTCCTGGTCAGTGGGTTCTGGTCATTGTGGGCCTGGCAGTGGGGGCCTGGTAAGTGTGGCCTGGTGAGTGGGGTATAATCAGTGAGGGTGTGGCTAGGGAGGACCAGCTGTGCAGGGTCTGGTCAGCAGGGACCTGGTCAGTGGGGGCTGCTGAGCATTGCTGGGAGATGTCAGGTGTAACATGTGTTATTGATGGTCCTGTAGACACCTGGGATGGCCCAGTGGTGCCCAACAGCCCAGTTAAAAGTGGACAAGGCAGGTGTTTGGATGGACTTGGGAGGTCTTGCTCAGAGATTCCGACAGAATAAAGGTAAAGAAGGGCCAGAGTGGCTGGAGAGATGGTCACAGTCTGTGGGCTACACAGGATGGAGGAAGTCAGGGTGTTCCCAGGCAAGGTGGGTAGCTGGGATGCAGGGAGAGGCAGGTGGATGCTGAGAGGTCAGATCCTGCGAGGGCTCTGGGGGCATCAGGTAGGATGGGCTCTTGTAGGGTCCATCCCCACAGGGTCTGTGGGTCTCTCCCCGTGTGCAGAGATGAGAGAGTGTAGAAATAAAGATACAAGACAA
Source organism: Homo sapiens (assembly GCF_000001405.40). NCBI lineage: Eukaryota > Metazoa > Chordata > Mammalia > Primates > Hominidae > Homo > Homo sapiens. Next base: position 43,536,318 of record NC_000008.11, read on the forward strand.
AGAGATAAAAGAAAAGGCAGCTGAGCCCGGGGGACCACTGCCACCAAGTCACTGAGACCGGTAGTGGCCCCAAATGCCAGGCTGCACTGATATTTATTGGATACAATACAAAGGGGCAGGATAAGGAGAGTGAGCCATCTCCAATCATAGGTAAGGCCACGTGGGTCATGTGTCCACTGGACAGGGGGCCCTTCCCTTCCTGGCAGCTGAGGCAGAGAGAGAGAGGAGACAAAGAGAAAGACAGCTTATGCCATTATTTCTGCATATCAGAGACTTTTAGTACTTTCACTAATTTACTACTGCTACCTAGCAGGCAGAGCCAGGTGTACAGGATGGAACATGAAGGTGGACTAGGAGCGTGACCACTGAAGCACAGCATCACAGGGAGATGGTTAGGCCTCTGGATAACTGCTGGTGAGCCTGACTAATGTCAGGCCCTCCACAAGAGGTGGAGGAGTAGTCTTCTCTAAACTCCCCCGGGGAAAGGGAGACTCCCTTTCCCGGTCTGCTAAGTAGTGGGTGTTTTCCCTTGACACTTACGCTACCGCTAGACCACGGTCCACCTGGCAATGGGCATCTTCCCAGAAGCTGGCATTACCGCTAGACCAAGGAGTGCTCTGGTGGCCCTGTCTGGGCATAACAGAAGGCTCGCACTCTTGTCTTCTGGTCACTCCTCACTATGTCCCCTCAGCTCCTATCTCTGTATGGCCTGGTTTTTCCTAGGTTATGATTATAGAGAGAGAATTATTTTAATATTGGAATAAATAATTGCTACAAACTAATGATTAATGATATTAATATATAATCATATCTAAGATCTATATCTAGTATAACTATTCTTGTTTTATATTTTATTATACTGGAACAGCTCGTGTCCTCGGTCTCTTGCCTCGGCACCTGGGTGGCTTGCCGCCCACAGGCTCTGTGCACCATCAGTGCACTGGGCAGGTCTCAGCCCAGGCTCCCTGGACCCTGGCCAGGTGATGTGGTCACTCCATGGGGGACTGCTGTCATGCCCTGGCCACCCACCCTGGGCAGCACAGTCTTATCTCATGATTGGCCTTTCTCTGATCCTGCAGAGGGCACAGCTCGCAGCCCAGGAGGGGCAGTCCCAGGGTGCAGCTTGAGTTCTCCACGGGCCTGAAGCATCCCCTGCCAGCCCTGTACTTTCTCTTCTCCCAGGTCTCGCTTTTCCAGTGTCACCCAGCAGGAAGGCCCCATCCTCCCTTCCTTGTGTGTCTCCTAGGCTGAGACCTGTGGTGGATGGGGACAGGGAGAGTACTTCCTCAGGTCCACTTGGGGAGGAGACTTGCTCCCAGCCTGGTGAAGGTAGTCAGCTTTACCTTGGTTGCCTTAGAATGAGATGGATCTGCCCCCTTTTAGTGCCCTCAAGGTGAAGGTGAGAGACGGTCCCTGCTGTGCAGGAGGTTGGTTTAGGGATGGAGGACTTGGCAGGTCCTCCCAGACTGTCAGGCTTGGGCAGCACTATCCAATTTCAGGACTCAGAAAGTCCAGCCCTGAGACGGGACTGTGCTGCCCAGGGTGGGTGGCCAGGGCCTGACAGCAGTACCCCAGGGAGTGACCACATCACCCGGCTGGGGTCCAGGGAGCCTGGGCTGAGACCTGCCCAGTGTGCTGAGGGTGCACCTGGAGCCCACCCCACCTGACACTCCCACATCCTCACAGGTTCTTCTCTCCTAGCATGCACTTGCCTTTCCCTGCTCCTCAGCAGCCCACTCTGCCTCTTCCCTGACTTCCTCCATGGTGTCCAGCAGGATGGGCTGGACAGGGGGGCAGCCTGTGTGCACATTTTGTGGAAGTGGGACTAACACACACTCCCTGGGAGGCACCATGGTTCCTGCCAAATCCAACCCCAGAACTCTGTCCCTGAGGTGGTTTTACTAAACCCTAAACTCAGAACTGTGGCTGTGGCTCAGGGGTCAGCACCTGCTAGTGCCAAGACACTACTGGGAGTGTGGGACCTTAGCAAACCCCATGGTGTCTGGCCTGAGGACAGGGTGTCTTGGGGCTGAGACAAACACTGGGGCTGAGACCGTCTGACCCAACTGGCCACCAATGGCCATTGGGTCAGATGATCTCAGCCCCAGTGTTTGTCCTTCCCTGGCTCCTTCTGGTTCAGTCCCATCAAGGCCCTGGAGCCCAAATCCCATCATCAAACATCCCCTCCAGGAATCCTGGCCACTCAATTCACTTTATCGTGTTTCATCGTAGAGCAAAAATGACAGAACAGATGCATAGAAAAATGGCTTCAGTTGCTTAATGACTAGAAGAAATCTGGGAGAAGCAAGAAGGTAATGTGGAGAGGGAGAGACCTCCATGATCACTCTCTGCAGAGCCAGGGGCACAGGCACCCAGTGCAGAGGCCTGATGCCACCTGCCTCTCAGAGGGTGTGTGGCACACTGTCATTACCCGGAAGACATCAGGTCTGGTCACCAGCTTTTCTGCCTGTCCTGTAAGCATCAAGTTTTGGAAGAGAATCTCATGCCAGGGCCTGGAACACACCTGGCTCAGGGGTTAGGGGTTGCCCCTTGGTAATCTAAATGAAAAAAATAGGTCCAGATCAGAGTTCCTAATGCGGAGCACTCATCCACTCTTTGAATTGTAAAAGGGGAGGCCTGGTCCTAGGTATACCTAAGATCTTTGAGGAACTGAAGATCCCAAGATTCTGGAAAATTCCAGAGTCCTCAGGCCCTAATCCTCCCTGTCCTCCTGTGGCCTGTCCCATCAGCACACTCTTCTATCTGTAGATGTTTTGGCTGCTCTGTAAGGGAGTCCCCCTGCAGGTTTGGGGCTGGGCATGGTCACCCCTGCTGCATGTCGAGAAGGTGAAAGCCAAGAACACAGGGTACAGTGTTTCCACGCTCATCCAGAGCAGGACAAACAGGCCAGGTTGTGTCAGGAGCCCAAGTATCCAGTTGGTGCAAATGTCAAACCTGCTGTGGAAGGAGGGGTCCATTGCCCATCCTAGGTACAGATGGTAATGTAGCGCAGGTAAGCTGGGCTTGGTAGCCCTCCCTAGCTTTGGAAATAAGCCAAACAAGGAGCTTTCTGGAGAATGAAATCTCTTTTCCTTCCAGAAGCACTCCTGAATTTTTGGTGATTGCCATTTGTGGCAGTGAGTTTTTGTCTGTTCTGGGGCTGGGCTGGTTTCTCTGATTGGCCCTGCCCTACAGAGCATAAAGGAAAAGTGCAAGAGGTCCCCAGCAAAAATGTGCAGATAGCCCTGGACATAAGCCACATTCTGAGAAACATGTCATGTTCTGAGAAGGCTAAGGCATCAAGTAAATCATATGGGACTGGAGGATCCCAGGGTAGGTGGGGCAGTTCAGAGCAGTGCGGGCTTCCCTGGGAATTGGGAGAGGCAGGGGTTCCAGAGGAGGGAATCACAGGGCCACCAAGGGCTCTCTTGGCCCTGGGAGAAGTCAACATAATGGATTGAACACCTGCTGGGCTTCAAGCCCTGGGCCAGGCTGGGGCATGTGGAGCTAGGAGGCAGCTCAAATTGGGAGGCAGAGAGAGAAGTGTGCTGAGACGGCGCCGTTTCTGGGTGTAATATGGTCCTGAGATTCTGTATGGGAAGTGCTTCCAGGGTTTCATATGTTATGGGGTTGCTTCCTCTCCCCAGCCTCACCCTGCAGGAATCCCAGTGACTATATCGCCACCATCTTGGAGCTCAGTGCCCTCATAATGTAACGGCAACAGCAGATCTTCCTGCACAGGGACTTTCTGTACTACGTCACTGCTGAGGGGTGGTGCTTCTGCAGGGCCTGTGTTGTGGTGCACAACTTCAGACACCATCATCCTGGAGCAGCACTGCACCCTCACTAGCCAGGGAGTTAATAACTTCCTGAAGGTCACAGCCACATTCAAGACTTTGGACTTCATTGATGTGCTTGTGCTGGACAAGGTGGGCTTCTCTGGGATCTTAATTCAGGAGGTAGGATAGAGCTTGACATAAAATTCAGATAAAAGAACTTGACCTTCATCTGGAGGGCTCTGGGGAGCCATGGAAGTTGCTGGAAGAAAGGTGGGAAAACTCAGATAAGCTTCAGTGATGCCTGTAGAAGGCTGTCTGGAAGGAATAAACAAGAGGCAGGAAACCAGGGAGGGAGCTTGTGGGGCAGATCTTGAGATAGCAAGGGAGGGTTCCTGCTTGGATGATAGTTCTTCAGGGGCTGTCTCTGTCTTCAGGTGTCTTCAGAGCTAGTGTGTTCATTGGTCTTGTCTCCAGGTGAAATTGGGAAGTTGTCAGATAAGCACATAAAAGTGGAAGCTGACATCTTCATGAGTGCTGGTGGGGGTCCTGGTGTGGGACTACTGTGGGAACAGGGATCTCTCAATCCCAGGGATGTGGTGGATGGGCCCTGGATTACTCCATCCTCTATGCTTCCTTTCCCCTCCTCCCATTCTCCCGACGGCCTCAGTGCAAAGGCACTGTTCATCCTCTGGTGCTGAAGCAGCCTAGAGTCTCAAGCCTGCTGGCGGCCTCGCAGGATATGACAGCACAGCCAGTGGCCTCTTCTGGGTCCTGTACATCTTCACAAGACAAGTAGACATCAGGAGTGCTGCCAGCACTTGGTGCAGGAGTTCTGAGGGACCACAGTCCTGAAGACATTGAATGGTGGGTGCAGGGCCTTATGTCCTGTTTCCCACCCCTTCTCATTGGTTCTGCTCCAGGTGGGGAAGGGGGAAAAAGTTTTTGCCAATTCTACCATTATTGCCTTGCAGAAAAAGGAGCAGAGGCCAGAAGCAGGGACTGGTACCCACCCGGGCTAATAAGGGAGAATTTGTAGGCTTTGTGGAAAGATCTGGGAGTCCATATCTGTTGTCCCACTAACTTGCTACGAGACATTAGTAAAATCAGTTTTTTTTATGAACTACATTTCTGCCATCTGTAAATTGGGGCGAGATTTTTCTACCCCATGGGGTTGCTTGGATAATTGGTGATGGTGTGTGTAGAGCAGGTGCCACCTGGCAGGCATTCGGTGTCCAGCCACTGCTCTTCCCCCTTGCTCTTCTGCCTAAGTTTGCATTTTCTTCTCAAGACCTTCACTCTCCCTAATTTTTCTCTTACCTCTGATTCCCACCTTATAGTCTATTCCATGGATTCACCAGGATCTAAGTAGGTGACAGTAATGTATGCATGTATGCGTATATAGGGATGTACACCCTCACACACCACACCTCAACATAGTAGGTGCTCAGTGAACATCACACTGCAGAAGCAGTGCTGGTAGATCTAGAGTTTCACCTCAACTTGCAGTTGAAAAATCTGAGTATCTGAAAGGGCAAATGGAAGGGTGAAGTCATGGTGGCCCAGTGCCCTTCCTATTTGACCTGGAACAGGTGTCTCAGGATGTTTGGACACCACATTTTCAATTTTGGGCTGGCTGCTTGGTCGGGAGGAGGTGGACAAGAATTAGAGGCTCTTCCCACACCCTCCAAGCCTTCCCCAGGGTACAAGAACAGACCAGGGCAAAGAAGTCCTGGAGCAGGGGAGAGACCTTTCCATAGCAGAAGCCATTTCTGACTCAGTCTCTCCCAGCCTTTTCCATTCTGCCTCTTCCCCTTGTTGTCCCTGGGTCTTCTATCTGCTCTCAGTCCATTTGCCCATCCCTGAGTTCTTCCTGCCCTGCCCCAGCACCTTCTCCTCTGCCCCTCTCCACCAGCCCTGCAGATCCCTGGGTCCTTTCTTGAGCCTCAGGAACTCACCTTCCATCTCATCTTCCCTGAAGAATGTCACTGCTGAGCCTGTCCTGGCTGGGTCTCAGGTGAGTGGCAGCATCCCCTTGACTGCTCCTGCTGGCTCCTGGTCTGGACCTACACTTTCTATGACAACTGCTGGTATCTCTAGTGTTTTCTGTAGCCTCTGATTTGGAACTGGTTTGGAGGTCACCTGGGCCTGGTGACTGTAGCAGCAGGCTGGCTCTAAGGTCTCAGAGTAGATCGACTTCCTGAGGGGCCAGGAGTGGAGCTCTGGGAGTTGGGGTGAGGGCATGGGCTGGCATCTGGGATGGCAGAGAAGTGAGGAAGGTGGCTTATTCATTCCTCTGCTGTGCCACTCAACACCTTTGTCACCTCCTTGTTCTCTCATCCTGGCCCATATCACTCCCTTCCTGCCCATGTTCCTCACATTCTTGTACCCCTGAGGGGCTCCATGGTTCTGCATAGAGCATGGAACCCCTGGCGTTTCTACATTGATCACTACTGGACTTGAAGCCTCCTGAGGGGCATGGTCCAGTGCCTTGGCCCATTTTCTGTTATGGGACACATGGGCTGGAAGAGCAGTGTGTGTGTTCTCCACCCTCCCTCCCAGAGCATCAAGCTCTTATCTTGCCTCTGCTCACTAAGATGTCCCCGTGTGTCCTGTTGCAGAGGCTGAACGAAAGCTGGCCACTCTCTTCCCCTTTCAGAGCCTTCTTTGGTCTTCCTTCCCTCCTCAGACCTCTGAGTCACATCTGCTCTCCCATTTTGGGGGTGTGGCCTCAGCCCATTTGTAAATGGTAGGATTGATGGGCATGCCAGTTGCAGTGGGAGGGTGCACAGCACGCACTAGTGCAGAGCCTGGCATGCAGAAACTGCTCCCAGGTGGGAGCTGCCATCCTGAGGGACAGTTACAATCAACTTGTCTCCACTGGAGGCTGCTGAGAAGGGAAGGTCCCTGGTGTATAGACCCTGCTCCCTGAGGAATCAGAGCTCATGGACACCCACAAAAACATGAAAGGATGTGGGTTCACATCCTGAGGCCACACTGCTTACCACAGTCTCATATGGCTGTCCCTGGGTTGAAACCAACCCCAGGATAAGAAAATCTTTTCCTGTAGCCAAGGTGTGTCTCCCTGTTGGAAGAGTCTTCTCTCCCTGCTCTTGGCTGTACCCTTAGGTATTGGAGGTGTCCCTGAGAGAAAAGAAGTAGGAGGAAGCAGAGATTCCCTGGATTTCTACACAATCCAGACCTGCTGTTCATTCGGAGTCTGGTCCTTCCACAGAGGCTGCAGAGGGAACCTGTGCATTACTCATGGTTTTCCTTAATCCAGAATCAATAGGATATATTTATATCTACTACCTATCTATCATTTGTCAACTATCCATCCATCTCTATACCTATCTACCTATCTATCTGTATCCATCTATGGAGAGACAAAAAAAAAGAAGAGAGAAAAAAGAATTGACTGTGGAAATGGGCTCATGTGATCATGGAAGTAGAGAAGTCCCACGATATACCATCTGTGGGCTGCAGGACCGGGGATGTTGGGGGTGTAATTCAGTCTGAATCCAGGGGCCTGAGAACCTGGACTTTTGATGTCCAAAGGCAGAAGATGGATGCCCGAAGGCAGAAGATGGATGCCCCAGCTCCAGAAGAGAGTGAGTTCTCCCTTCCTTCAACTTTTTGTTATATTCAGCTTCTCAGTGGATTGGATGATATGCGCCCACATTGGGGAGGGCAAATCTTCCTTAGTTTACTAATTTAAATGTGAAGCTTTTCTGAAACACCATCCTAGACACACCCAAAGATTGTGTTTGACCAGTGATGTGGGTATCCCTCAGCCCAGGCAAGTTGACACCTGAAATTAACCCTCACAGAATGTGACTGTCCCTGCTTTGCATGCAGGTCACCCCCACAGAGCAAGGCTTGAGGATTCTGACTCAGCTGGTGGCCACCTTCACATGAGGCTTTATGAGGTGGACAGGTCTCATCTTTCCTATCATCAGTTTGTGCCCCGACATTGGCCATCAATGCTACAGGTGCCCATGCAGAGCTTGTGGTGGTGGGCACCATGGCACATAAGAGGGCTTCTAGTTCTTTCAATCCCAAGCTTTTATGAGGCCCCTGCAGTGCCCCACCCCTCCTTTCCTCTCCTCTCTCAGCTTTCTTCCTCTTTCCTGTGTATTCGGCAACCTCCAACTCCATGGCTCCCCCATCCACTGCTATCATCCCCTGCCCTCGTGTTCTGGGTACTGCTGGGTCCTAAGTGGCCTGAATCCAAGGCCCCATCCTGGAGGAACTCCTAAGTCTGAGAAGGTGAAGCTGGACAAAGACATCTCCAATTTCACGGGGGTCAGAAATGGAGCTAAGGGAGATGGGCTCTGAGAACCAGAGGAGAATAAGGTCTCTGTGGGGGCAGGCTGGAAGGCTTTTTGGAGGAACGGTTGCTGGAGCAGGGCCTGGAATGATGACTAGGAATTGTTAAATCAGAAGGCAGGGTGATTCCACGGGCATCATTAGTGTCCCAGGCCCCCTGCCAGGACTAACATTGGCATTTCCAGTCCCCACACCCAGAACAGTAGAAGGACTTGTGGCTGCTGGAGGATCTGGGTTGCTGTTTACATAGCATCCAGGTCTGGTGGGTCAGTTTCTTCTACCCCTACCTGTGAACCTTGGTCTCCTGCCACAGGCACCAGGAATCTTTAATAGGAGACCCCTTCCCAGCCTGCTACACTTCCCTGGGAGCTAGGGACTGTACAGCCACACCGGGCCCAGCGCAGGGCCTGTTGGGAAGGCACTGGCCTCCAGGGTATGACCCCGGCCTCCTATTTAGCAACACTGCTTTTTTCCTCCGGCCTGCCTCAATGTCCCAGTGAAAGCCTGCAAGCCTGGCGTCCTGTCCCTGTCACCCGGGGAGGCTTCTTGCCACTTTGGGGTGCTCCCCATGGGCGAGACACGCACCCTGGGGTGGCAGCCAGGGACTCCATGGCCCCCCCGGGTCTGGCCCAAGGCCTGCTGGGAAGGCACTGGCCCCCGGGGGAGGACAGCAGCCTCTGCTTCGCTTTGCTGCCTTTTTACCTTGGCCTCCCTCAATGTCCCCCTGAAAGCCTGCAAGACTGGCATCCTGTTTCCGTCACATGGGGGAACTTCTTGTCGCTTTGGGATGCCCCCACATCGGAGTGACATGCACCCTGGGGTGAAAGCAAAAGACTCCACGGCGCCCCGCCCTCAGGTCTGGCGCATGGCGTGCAAGGAAGGCAGTGGTGTCCGGGGTAGGACCCCAGCCTCCTATTTGGTCTCGCCGCTCTTTTTTTCCATGTCCTGCCTCAACGTCCTCCTGAAAGCCTGCAAGCCTGATGTCCTGTCCCTGTCACCCAGGGGGAATCCTTGCTCTTTGGGATACCCCCATGGCAGAGACACGCACCCTGGGGTGGGAACCAAGGACTCCATGGCCACCCCGGGTCCAGCGCAGGGCCTGCCGGGAAGGCACTGGCCTCCGGGGGAAGACCCCAGCCTCTTCGAACTCGCTGCTTTTTTCCCCTGGCCTGCCTTTATGTCCCCCTGCAAGCCTGGCGTACTGACCCCATCACCCGGGGGGACTTATTGCCTCTTTGGGGTGCTCTCCACGCACCCTTGGGTGGGAACTAGAGACTCCATGGCCTTCTCTGATCCCGCGCAGGGCGTGCCAGGAAGGCACTGGCCTCTGGAGGATGACCCCAGCCTCCTCTTCAGCCTCACCCCTTTTTTTCCCTGGCCTGCCTCAACGTTCCCCTGAAAGCCTGCAAGCCTGGCATCCTGTCCCCATCACCTGCGGGGAAGCATTGGGGTGTTCCCCACCTACCGTGGGGTGGGAGCCAGGGACTTCACAGCTCCCCCACCCCCCTGTCTGGCGCAGCACCTGCTGGGAAGGCAATGGCCTGCGGGGGAGGAATCCAGCCTCCTATTCCGCCTCGCCGCTTTTTTTTCCCAGCCGGCCTCAATGTCCCTCTGAAAGTCTGCAAACTTGGCGTCCTGTCCCCATCACCCGGGGGGACTCCTTGCTGCTTTGGGGTGCACCCCACCCACCCTGATGTGGGAGACAGGGACTCCACGGCCCCCCTGGGCCCGGCGCAGGGCCTGCCGGGAAGGCACTGGCCTCCGGGAGAGGACCCCAGCCTCCTTTTCGGCCTTGCAGGTTTTTTGCCCTGGCCTGCCTCAGTGTCCAACTGAAAGACTGGCGTCCTCTCCCCGTCACACGAGGGGCTTCTTACCACTTTGGGGTGCCCCCCACGCACCCTGGCATGGAAGCCAGGGACTCCACGACCCCCCGGGTCCGACGCAGGGCTTGCGGGGAAGGCCCTGGCCTCCGGGGATGGACTCCAGCCTCCTCCTCAGATTCGCTTCTTTTTTTCCCCGCCCTGCCTCAACGTTTCCCTGAAAGCCTGCAAGCCTGGCGTCGTGCAATGTCACCCGGGAGGACTTCTTGCCACTTTCGGGTACCACCTGTGGGAAAAACAGGTACCCTGGGGTGGAAGCCAGGGCCTCTACACACCACTCTGCCAAGATCTGGCGCAGGGCCTGACGGGAAGGCACTGGCCTCCGAGGGACCACCCCAGCCTCCTCTTCGGCCTCTCCGCCTTTTTTCCCCAGCCTGCCTCAATGTCCTTCTGAAAGCATGTAAGCCTGGCATCCTGTCTCCGTCACCCGGGGCGACTTCATGCCGTTTTGGGGTGCCCCCCACGCACCCTGGGGTGGGAGCCAGGGACTCCATTGCTTCCAGGGTCTGCCAGGAAGGCTCTGGCCTTTGGGGGAGGACCCCAGCTTCCTCTTCAGCCTCGTCGATTTTTTCCTCGGCCTGCCTCAACGTTCCCCTGAAAGCCTGCAAGACTGGCGTCCTGCCCCCATCACTCGGAGAAATTTCTTGCTGCTTTGGGTGCCCCCCCGTAGGAGAGACACCCACCCTGGTGTGGGTGCCAGGGAGTCCACGGCCCCCCACGGGTCCAGCGCAGAATCTGATGGGAAGGCACTGGCCTTCAGGAGACGACCTCAGCCTCCTCTTCGGCCTCGCTACTTTTTATCCATGGCTTGCCTCAACGTCCCCCTGAAAGCCTGCAAGCCTGGCGTCCTGTCCCCGTCACCCAGGGGGATTTCTTGCCGCTTTGGGGTGCTCCCGTGGGAGAGATGTGCACCCTAGGATGGGAGCCAGGAACACCACAACCCCCGCCCCGGTGAACAGGGCAGGACTAGCCGGGACGGCACTGGCCTCTGGGGGGGACGATCCCAGCCTCCTCTTCAGCCTCGCCACTTTTTTTTTCTGGCCTGCCTCAACGTCCCTCTGCAAGCCTGCAAGACTGACCTCCTGTTGCTGTCACCTGGGGGGACTTCTTGTCATTTTGGGGTGCCCCTCACACACCCTGAGATGGGAGCCAGGGATTCCACGTCCCCCTTCCCCCACCCGGTCCGGCGCAGGGCCTGTTGAAAAGGCACTAGCTTCCAGGGGAGGACCCCAGCCTCCTCTATGGCCTCGCTGCTTTTTTTTCTCGGTCGGCCTCAATGTCCCCCTGAAAACCTGCAAGCCTGGCATCCTGTCCCCGTCACACCGGGAGACTTTTTGCCGCTTTGGGGTGCCCACAACCCACCCTGGCGTCGGAGCCAGGGACTCCACATTCCCCCCACGAGTCTGGCGCAGGGCCTACCAGGAAGGCACTGGCATCCAGGGGAGGACCGCAGCCTCCTCTTTGGTGGCGCCACTATTTTTCCGCGGCCTGTGTCAACGTTTTCTTGAAAGCCTGCGAGCCTGGAGTCCAGTCCCCCTCACTTGGGGGTAATTCTTGCCGCCAAGGGGTGCCCCGCTTGGGAGAGACACGCACCCTGGGGTGGGAGCCGGAAACTCCACCGATTCCCGGGTCCGACGCAGGGCCTGCCAGGAAGGCACTGGCCTCCAAGGGATGATCCCAGCCTCCTCTTCGGCCTGCCTTAACGTCCCCCTGAAAGCCTGCAAGCCTGGTGTTCTGTCCCTGTCACACGAGGGGACTTCTTGCCGCTCTGCGGTGCCCCCCAGGCACCCTGGGGTGGAAGCTAAGGACTCCAATGTACCCCAGGATCCGGCGTAGGGCCTACCAGGAAGGAAGTGGCCTCCGTGGAAAGACCCTAGCCTCCTCTTCAGATTCGCTGCTTTTTTCCCCCGGCCTGCCTCAACGTTTCCCTGAAAGCCTGCAAGGCTGACATCCTGCCCCATCACTCTGGGGGACTTCTTGCTGCTTTGGGGTGCAACGTGTGGCAAAGACAGGTACCCTGGTATGGGAGCCAAGGACTCCGCAGCAACCCCAGATCTAGTGCAGTTCCTGCTGGGAAGGCACTGGCCTCCGGGGGCACCCCAGCCACCTCTTCAGCCTCACTGCTTTTCTTTCCCGGCCTGCCTCAACGTCCCCCTGCAAGCCTGAAAGCCTGGCGTCCTGTCCCCATTACCTGGGGGGATCTTCTTTCCACTTTGGTTGCCCCACACACACCCTGGGTGGGAGCCAGGGACTCCACGGCTCCCCCGGGTATGGCACAGCGCCTGCTGGGAAGGAAGTTACATCCACGACCCTAGTCTCGTCATCCGTCTCACTGCTTTTTTCCCCAGGTCTGCCTCAACTTCCCTCTGAAAGCCTGCAAGCTTGATGTCCTGTACCCGTCACCCGGGGAGACTTCTTGCCCATTTTGGGTGCCCCCCATGCAGCCTGAGGTGGGAGTGAGGGACTCCACGGCTCCTCAGGGTCCACGCAGGGCCTGCTGGGAAGGCACTGGCCTCTAGGGGACGGCCCCAGCCTCCTCTTTGGCCTCACCACTTTCTTTCTCCGGTCTGCCTCAGTGTCCCTCTGAAAGCCTGCAAGTCTGGCCTCTTATCCCCGTCACCCGGTGACACTTTGTGCCGCTTTTGGGTGCCCACCACGGACCGCGGGGTCAGAGCGAGGAACTCCAAGGCTCCCCAGAGACCGGCGCAGGGCCAGCTGGGAAGGCACTGGCTTCCGGTGAGCGACCTCAGCTTCCATTTTGGCATCGCCGCTTTTTTCCCCAGGCCTGCCTCAACGTCCCCCTGAAAGCCGGCAAGCCTGGGGTCCCGTCCCCGTCATTCGGGAAGACTTCTTGCCACTTTGGGGTGCACTTTACGCACCCTGGGGTGAAAGCCAGAAACTCCACGGCCTTCCCAAGTCTGGGGCAGGGCCTGCTGGGAAGGCACTGGCCTCTAGGGAAAGACTCCAGCCTCCTCTTCGGCTTCTCCACTTTTTTTCTCCTGCCTGCCTCAACGTTTCCTTGAAATCATACAAGCCTAGTGTCCTGCCCCGTCACCGGGGGGGACTTCTTGCCGCCTTGGGGTACCACCCGTGGGAAAGACACGTATGCTGGAGTGGGAGCCAGGGCCCCCATGGCCCCCATGAATCTGCCGCAGGGCCTGCCACGAAGGCACTGGCCCCTGGAGGACAACCCCAGCCTCCTCTTTGGCCTCGCAGTTTTTCTTCCCCGGCCTGCCTCAACATCCTTCTGAAAGCCTGTAAGCTTGGTGTCCTGTCCCCATCATCCAGGAAGATTTCTTGCCGCTTTTGGGTGCCCCCCACCCACACTGGGGTGGGAGCGAGGGACTCCACGACTCCCCAGGGAATGGCACGGGGCCTGCCAGGAAAGCACTGGCCTCCGGGGGACAATCCCAGCTTCCTCTTCTGCCTCGTCGCTTTTTTCCCTCGGCTTGCCTCAGCGTCCCCCTGGAAGCCTGGCGTCCTGTATTTGTCACCCTATGGGACTTCTAGCTGCTTTGGGGTACCCTCGTGGGAGAGACTAGCACTCAGGAGTGGGAGCCAAGGAATCCACAGCCCCCCACCCCCCGTTAAGGTGCAGGGCGTGCCGAAAAGGCACTGGCCTCCGGGGGAGGACTCCAGCCTCCTCTTTGGCCTTGCCGCTTTAATTCCCTAGCCTGCCTCAACGTCCCCCTGAAAGGTTGCAAGGCTGGCGTCCTGTCCCGGTCAGGCGGGGGGAGTTCTTCCCGCTTTTGGGTGGGCCCCACACACCCTGAGGTAAAAGCCAGAAACTCTACAGCCCCCCAGGGTCCCGCACAGGGCCTGGCAATAAGGCACTGGCCTCCGAGGGAGGACCCCAACCTCCTCTTTGGCCTTGCCCCTTGTTTTCCCTGGCCCGTCTCAATGCTTCCCTGAAAGCTTGCAAGCCTGGAGTCCTGTCCCCATCACCCAGGGGGACTTCTTGCCACTTTGGGTTGCCTTCCACGCACCCTGGGGTGGGAGCCAGGGACTCCACGCACCCCCCCGCCCCCAGTCCAGCACAGGTCCTACCAGGAAGGCACTGGCATCCAGGGGAGGACCCCAGCCTCCTCTTCAGTCTCGCCACTATTTTTCCGAGGCCTGCCTCAATGTTTTCCTGCAAGCCTGCAAGCCTGGCGTCCTGTCCCCATCACTCAGGGGGAATTCTTGCCGCCGAGGGGTGCCCCACGCAGCACAGACACGCATCCTGGGGTGGAAGCCGGAAACGCCACCAATTCCCGGGTGCGGCGCAGGGCCTGCTGGGAAGGCACTGGCCTACGGGAGATGAACCCAGCCTCCTCTTTGGCCTCGCTACTTTGTTTCCCGGCCTGCCTTAACGTCCCCTTGAAAGCCTGCAAGCCTGGCATCCTGTCCCCTTCACCCGGGGGTATTTCTTGCCTCTCTGGGGTGCCCCCCACGCACTCTGAGGTGGAAGCCAGGGACTCCACGGTACCACAGGGACTGGCGCAGGGCCTGCCAGGAAGGAACTGGCCTCCAGGGAAAGATCCCAGCCTCCTCTTCGGAGTCACTGCTTTTCCCCCCCAGCCTGCCTCAACCTTTCCCTGAAAGCCTGCAAGTTTGACGTCCTGCCCCATCACCCAGAGGGACTTCTTGCCGCTTTGGGGTGCAACCTGTCGGAAAGACACGTAACCCCGGTGTAGGAGCCAAGGACTCCAAGCTCCCCGCTCCCTTCGGATCCAGTGCAGTTCCTGCCAGGAAGGCATTGGCCTCTGGGGAAGGACCCCAGCCTCCTCTTCTGCCTGCCTGCTTTTTTTTTCTTGGTCTGCCTCAGCGATCCCCTGAAAGCCTGCAAGCCTGGCGTCCTGTCCCTGTCTCTCGAAGGGACTTCTTGCCGCCTTGTGGTGCCCACGAGGCGCCCTGGGTTGAAAGCCAGCAACTCCACAGCACCCCGGGTTCAGGCGCAGGGCCTGCTGGGAAGGCACTGGCTTCCGCGGGACGACCCCAGCCTTCTCTTTGGCCTCACCGCTTTTTTTCCCCACCCTGCCTTGTTGTGACCAAGTGAGTTATAGAGAAACGCCACATTTTGAGACAAATTAAAGAGTCCTTTAATAGCCGGCGACCGAGAGGCAGCTAACTTTCAAAATTCTCTTGGCCCCGAGGAAGGTGCTAGTTTTGTTTTTATACCGTGGTCTAAATAGGGGATGGGGAATTTTAGCTGAAGCAATTTTTACAGGAGAACTGGCAAAAAGTTAAAAAATTAATTGGTTACAAATGCAGTTACAAAAAATAAACAGTTCCAGGTGCAGAGGCTTAAACTACCACAAAGAGATAAATGCAGGGGTTTTGGGTGCCATCCACCGAGCGCATCCCCAGGAGCTGCTGGTGCAGCTTGCCTCAATATCTTATCAGTAGATGCATTCCTGGATGTGCTTTGAGTCAGTTTTACACTAGTTATGCCTTAAGGGAGGGCGGTGAAAGGGGGTTGCAAATGAAGAAACTGAAACGGAATCTGTTCGGCTCTCTCTCTGCTAGGAGAGAGTCACTCAGTTAAAAAAAAGGTAGGGTATCACATTCCCCACTCATGTTTTGGGGAATCAAATCATTGATTCTTCAGTTATACCAAGGGGGTTATACTCGGTTCTGAGATACATAAGTTTGACAGAAGCTATGCACTGTTTTACAAAGTTAAGGAACCAATTTAACATACAAGTCCTGAAGATTAAACTTAACAAGAGGAGGAGAAGGGGTCCTGCCAGTACAGTAATCAGAATAGTTAGCCATGGATTCCAGTTGAACATGCTTTGATACCAGGGGGTGTTACTTTCTCGTTCTTGTTGGAGTCTATCTATATTTTCTCGAACTCTTTGGAGGGTATCTTTTATGACTCCAGACTGATTGGCATAGAAAAAGCAACACTCTCCTAGGGCTGCACATAATTCTCCTTGGGAAGGAAATAGTAGATCTAAGCCTTGGTGGTTTTTGAAGAACTACTTCAGCTAGAGACTCTACCTGGGTATGTAACATATTTATGGCTGACTAGAGATTGCTTAAATCAGCATCTACTTGCTGAGACAGGGACATTAATCCAGTTTCTCCCTGAACTAGGGCAGCCATGCCAATGCCTGCTGACCCAGCTATGCTAAGGCTAGCTAGGAGGGGTACTAAGAGTGGGGCAGCTTGGCGAAACTTGGAAGGCAATTCAGGGGGAGCAATAAGAAGTTCTCCTTCTGGCCCACTGTACACATAGACCTGGCGGAGTACATGAACTAACACACACAGAAGAGGTCCATGTTCAGTCCCATTGATGCAGTGAGTGAGGCCTGAAGTACAAGCCAACCAGGTGTTGTTAGGTGCCTGGTAGGAAACTGAGGTGTTTAAGGAAGTAAGTAGCGATTGATTACAGGTGGCCTGAAAGGGAGAAGCAGATAAGTTATACCCATTGCTAATTAGACAGGAGGCATTCCCCTACATGTCTCCTAATGTAAGGGCATGGGGTCGTGTATGACAAAAGAGAGAGTTAACCTTGAACATGGCCTCTACTCCTAAACCAACATTATATGGGGATTTTGCTGTCAGGCACAACCAACAATCTTGGGCTAGTTTTGGCTGGGTGAGGTTAAGGAGGTGATGCACTCCATCCAGAATGGACATCAGGCCGGGTTGGAGATGCTGTCGTTGTAATTGGGATTTAGGAACCAAGAGTGGTGGGACAGTTAAATCGACCCTGTCTGGGTGTTTTTGGAACATAGGGTCACCTAAATCAGTTAGAGGTCCGATTGGCTTAGGAGGGCTCCACGGGACCAGGACATTTTTCTGAATGGTGAACATAGTTCCAACATCAAATCCTGAGATATAAAGTCTTAATCCCCATTACATGCCATAATACCATTGAGCTGAATTAGGGTTACGGACAGTTATAGGAAGAGGGTTGCAGTTCCTTAGAGTGCACGGTCTAGGACAGGAAGAGCGAGTTATGGAGAGGGTTGAGGACTGGGTTGATCCTCCAGAGTAAGTGGCCAGGGTTACACACAAGCAGTTAGGGCAGAAAAACTGATAGGAATCTCAACAACTGGGTCAGGGTGATTTCCAGTACAGGGGTAAAAATCAACGCTCTGGAGTCCTTTTTCTGCACCTTTAGAGCTCCCTCATCCAGTCCGGCTTCCTGTGTGTCCGAATCCTGCAGCCAGGTCAATGTTTCCTGCTCCTATGACCAGCAGATTGCATTGCTTTTCATGGGTATGGGCAGGCTCTGGGAATAAGCACATAAATCAACTGCAAAAGAGACTTTTTTGGAGCTTCCTGCCTTCCAAGTAGTGTTTGCAAATACACGTCCTGTCATGAAAGAAGTAAGGAGAAAAGAGTAGGATGGAGCAGAAGGCATGACAGGCGGGAACACACAAAAGAGGTAAATAAAAGGAATTAATTTGATGGCTTCAAGTGACTTAGGTGCAGTTTTAAGGGGCCTGGCCCAGGCTTGGGGATCCATGTTTCTTGCTGGGCTTTGCTAGCCTTTTTGATGAGAGAGTGATGAATCCAGGCAGGAATGCCATCCACCTTTAGAGCTGTCAGCGTGGTGAGGATGACAGTATGAGTCCTTTCCAGGCAGGAATGAATCCTTCTTTCTGGAACTTTTTATCGTACACCAGGTCACCCGGCTGGAAAGAGTGGCAGGGTCCCATCTGGTCAGGAACTGGATTTGGGCGTGCTCCCTGGACAAGTGCCTGGATGATGTCTCGTACCTGTTGGAGAGACTGCATGTACTGTAATAAGTTAGCTTGAGAGATTTCTGCTAAATGAGTGTCTCTCAACCTAGGCAGGATAGGTGGAGCCCTTCCATACATAATTTCAAAAGGTATAAACCCAGCTCAGTAAGGGGTGCATGTTACTCTAAGAAGGGCTAAACGAAGGATTCTCACCCAATTCTCACCCATTTCTAGAATCAATTTTGTAAGAGTATTTTTTAGGGTGTGGTTCATGCGTTCTATCTATCCAGAGCTCTGGGGTCGGTAGGCACAATGGAGTTTCCATTTGATGTTTAATGCCTTGCTGACCAACTGATGTATGGACTAGGTGAAGGCTGGCCCATTATCAGACCCTATGGCAACAGGCAACCCATGTCTTGGGATGATTTCATTTAGTAAAAACTTAACTACCCTAGTGGCAGTTTTGTTTCTGGTGGCAAATGCCTCAGTCCACCCACAAAAGATGTCTACTAGCACCAGGAGGTTCTTATACCCTGCCCAGTGTGGTTTAATTTCTGTAAAGTCAATTTCCCACCTTTCTCCTGGTGAGTCTCTGCAGAGATGGTGGCCTGGGCTGGGTTTGGGACCTTGCTTGGCATTTACCTGAGCACAAGCCATACACTGGAGAGCTGCTTGGTTAGCTAAGTCCTGAGGGTGGGGGATCTTGAAACAGCTCCTTAGAAGCTGGGCCAATTTTACTCCTCCCAAATGGGTGGTAGAATGTAGACGATTGACTAGAGTTTTCCCAAGGGCTTGGGGTCTGAAGATTCTGGAATCAGGAATAATCCACCAACCTTCCTGATTTTTATTAGCCTAAAGATCTGAAGCCTGTTTGTCTTCTTCTGTGGAGTATTTTGGGTGATTTGGCAAGTCAGGCTGCAGAAAAGACATGGCGGGCAGTAGGACCAAGGGCACGACTGAGAGCTGAACAGCTTCTCGGGGCTGCAGAGTCTGCTTTGGTTACCACGGGCAATGGCTGTGTTTTCTCTTTGATGTCCTTTGCAGTGAATTACAGCCACCTGCTGAGGAAGCCAAACAGCTTCAAGAAAGGCTAAAATTTCTTCTTTGTTTTTAATAGACTTTCCTGCTGAGGTGAGTAGCCCATGCTCTTGACAGATGGCTCCATGTACATGTACAGTAGCAAAAGCATATCTGCTGTCAGTGTTAATGTTAATACATTTGTCCTTACCCCATGGGAGAGCCTGAGTGAGGGCCATCAGTTCAGCCTTCTGGGCTGAAGTATTTGCTGGCAATGCCTGGGCCCATAGCACATCCAACTCCATGGTAATGGCCGCACCAGCCTTCTGTACTCCTTGTTCAAGGACGCTGCTATCGTCTGTAAATAAGGTGACCTCCACTTTCTTTAGGGGCACATCTTGGAGATCAGGTCGGCCAGTTTTGGTAGTTTCTAACAGTTCCTGGCAGTCATGGACAGGTGTAGTGAACTCTGGATCAGGAAGTAAAGTAGCTGGATTTAAACACCTTGTGGGAGAGAAGTCAAATGAGGCTGATCTAACAGTAAACTCTGATACTGTAGGATACGAGCATTTGACATCCATTTGCTAGAAGCACTTTGTAGCAAAGTCTCTACAGCATGTGGAGCTGTAAGGGTTAAATTTTGGCCTAGAGTCAATTTGTCAGCCTCTTGGACTAGGCTTGCTGTTGCTGCCATGACTCACAGACAGCTTGGCCATCCAGAGGCCATAGGGTCCAGTCTCTCAGACAAATAGGCTACTGGGCGTCTCCAGGGTCCTAAAGTCTGAGTGAGCGCCCCCTTAGCAACTCCCTGGCTTTCATGAATAAAAAGGTGAAATGGTTTTGAGATATCAGGGAGGGCTAGAGCGGGGGCCTCAGTTAGTGCCTTTTTCAGGTTTTTGAAAGCCTGTTCTTCAGTGTCAGTCCAAACTAGTGGGCCATTCCTTCCAGTAGTGGTGTACAGGACTTTGGCAATTTCTGCAAACCCTAATATCTACAGGCGACAGTATCCCACAGCCCCCAGGAATTCACGTACCTGTCTTTTGGTGGTGGGAGTGGGGATTCGCAGAATGGCTTCCTTATAAGCACTGGTGAGTGCCCATTTTCCTTTATCTCATACCCTAGGTAGGAGACTCTGTGAAGACAAAGCTGGGCCTTTTTGGCTGAGACTCGAAACCCGAGTTCCTGAAGGAGGTAAAGTAAGTCTCTAGTATGTTGCAGGCAGCTGTCAGAGGTTTCAGTAGCTAATAAAAGGTCATCTATGTACTGAAGAAGGGTACAATTAGGGTGTCTGGCTCAAAATGGTACAAGATCCTGTTGGATGGCTTCCCCAAAAAGGGTGGGGGAATTTTTAAAACCTTGAGGTAACCGAGTCCATGTCAATTGGGTGGTGTCTCCTTAGCCAGGATCTGTCCATTCAAAGGAAAATATAGGTTGGCTTTTGAGGGCCAGAGGAATAGCAAAGAAATCATCTTTTAAGTCAAGGACAGTGTACACTGTGTGTTCTGGTGGGAGCAGGCTGAGTAAAGTATAAGGGTTAGGGACTGTAGGGTGGACAGTGACTGTCCATCTGTTAACTTCCTTTAAATCCTGTACAGGCTGGTAGTCATTTGTTCCGGGTTTTTGGACCAGCAACAATGGAGTGTTCCAGGTGGACTGACATGGTGTAAGTATGCCAGCCTGTAACAGTTGCTGAATATGGGGGTTGATTCCTTCCCTAGCCCATTGACTCATAGGATATGCTTTACCTGGACTGGCAAGGCAGTGGCCAGGAGTTCTACTACCACTGGCGGATGGTGCTTAGCCAGTCCCAGGAGGTTTGACTCAGCCCAGACCTGAGGAAAGAGAGTCTGTAAGCCCAGTAAGAGAGGATTAGTTTTATTCTCCAGTGGTTGTGAAGGTGAAACTAAGAGATATTCTTCTGACAGAGGGGTGGTTAGCAGGAGCTGAGCAGTGGGAGGTGTTGTGTCTCTTAGCATGAGGTGAGCTTGTTGGGCTGAGATGGAAATAGATGCCTGCAGCTTGTGGAGCA
Organism: Homo sapiens; assembly: GCF_000001405.40. Classification (NCBI taxonomy): domain Eukaryota; kingdom Metazoa; phylum Chordata; class Mammalia; order Primates; family Hominidae; genus Homo; species Homo sapiens. The sequence continues at coordinate 43,557,028 of NC_000008.11, forward strand.
TGTCTCTTCCTAGGAGGGGAAAGGGACACTCTGTGACCATGAGGAATGAGTGGGTTACTCTTTTCTGTCCTAAACTCACCTCTTGTGAGTGGGTGACAGGATATTCTTGAATCACTCCAGTAGCCCCTTGTACAGCAACTTTCTTATTAGAGACACTGCCTAGCGGAATCTGCAATACCAAGTGTTCCACCCCAGTGTCAATTAGGAAGTGTACAGGCTGGCCCCCTACTGTGGCGGTCACCATGGGCTCCCAGGGGCCAAGTGGAAAGGAGCCCTGGCCCCGTCACTCATGAGATTCCTCCACAAAAGGGAGGGTGAGGACTTTTTTCTCTTCTGGTTTTTCCTCTGGTCTTAACGGGCATTCCTTTTTCCAGTGTCCCATCTGCTTGCAATAAGCGCATTGGTTTTTCTCCAGGGGAGCCCGGTCCCCTTTCTGGCTTTTTTGGTGGGGACCTGGGGTTCCCTGACCATTTTTCTGTGACAGGGGCTTTTCTTTCTTGACTTCATGAATGGCAGCCACTATGATTTTTGCCTGTCTTTTTGATGCTTTGTCAGCAGGCTTTTCAGCTGCCTGAGCTGCCTGTTTCTGCTTTTCAAACTCTCAGTTGTCAAAAACCTTTTGGGCTATCTCTAAAAGCTGACTGATGTTCATTCCAGCAAATCCCTCTAGCTTTTGCAATTTTCTTTTAATGTCAGGGGCTGCCTGAGCCACAAATGCCAAATTAAGAGCACAGCTATTTTCGGGAGCCATTGGGTCAAAAGGGGTGTAAGTCTGATAGGCCTCCTGGAGGCTTTCCTAAAATGCTCCTGGTGACTTGTCAGGCCCCTGGACAACTTCAGTTGTCTTAGACAAATTTATGGGTTTTTGAGTGGCTCCTTTGACACCCACAAGGAGATACCGGTGAAAATCGTCTAAGGCTCTCCTTCCACCTGAGGAATTTGGGTCCTAATTAGGCTGGGTAGAGGGAAAAGCCTCTTCAATTTGGTCTCAGGCTTCCTCTTCTGGCCCACCAGCTGATGTAAGGTAATACTTTCTGGCCTCCCTTCCCATACACTCCCTCTCTTCAGAGGTGAAAAGGGTTAAAAGTAGTTGCTGACAGTCCTCCCAGGTGCGGCAGTGAGTCTGGAGCACGGACTCCATTAGTGAGGTCAAAACCTGTGGCTTTTCAGAAAAAGGGGGATTATGAGGCTTCCAGTTGTACAGGTCAGAGGTAGAAAAAGGGACAAACTAAGAAGGGAGCTGAGTGCTCTCTCCCAAATATTTTGGGTCTCTCTCAGTGGGAGGAGGGGGGCTACCTCCTCCTGCCTTGGCCACAATCGGGAAGCTATGGGTGGAGAGCCCACAGGAGATGTAGTCGAGGAAACAAGGGAAGAATCCGGGGGAGAAGGAGGGTTATAGGGTGGCAGAACTGGGAGAGGAAAACTTTCCTCTTCCTCAGAAGAAGGCAGTACAGGAGGAGCCGAGGGGACTCAGGGTCAGGGTAAAAATGTGGACCGGCTCAAAAGGACCCTGGAAATGGGATCATGAATGGCACATGAGTGGAGCCAGGGAGGAGGGCCCCGTACCAAATCCAGCCACTGATCAATGTAGGGAAACTGATTGGGGTGACCGGGACTTCCAGTAATGACCTGCCACACATCCTGAACACATGTGGGGTTAAATGACCCTTCTGTGGGCCATCTGGTTCCAAACTGTGGCCATTCTACTTCACAGAGTGTCCAGAGTTTGCCTTTCTTCAGGCAGACTCCATAATCTTCTGAGAAGTCTACAGAGAAATTCTGCAGTATACATTGGAGAGGACTCTACTCTTTACAGGGCCAGGAAGAGGAGTTTCCTATTTTGGAGGCAGTTTAACAAGGTTGAACAGAGATATTAAACCCAGCATGGACAGAGAAATTCACAACCTGGGGGACTGGCATATTGGAAGAAGGGAAATAACACAACCAGAAAGAGCAGGAAAACCACTACAGCTAAGACTTCCTGCCATATGAAGTAGGTTTTCTTAAGCTTCAAGATTTAGGGGGGAAGATTAGCAACCAACCCGAGGCCTCCTTGGCTGGCAGGACCTAGATGACCTCCTTCCTTCCCTTGACATATAGCCCAGGTATTTTTGGTGTCTCCATGATTCAAAGACAAAAAGTTCAAACTCGGCCCTTTCTTTCAAGGGTTTTAGGAGGGAGAGCAGGGCTAAATCTTGGAGGCTCTGGACTTGCTGTGACACAGGAAAATGAGATGTGTGGGGAAGGGATAAGGATGAGGGGGAAAGGGCCCACTTGGATCTCTCCTAAGGTAGGAGAGTAGCCACCGGGGAACAGAATAGGAGTCCAGATGGAGTAAAGCAGTATGAGCGTAGGCTTCTCTGCACAGTCTTCTATTCAAAGGCACGGGAAACGTTACAGGATGACAGAAAAGGTGGGCAAGGAGGCCTGCAGGGTGACTATTTTGGATCCACCACTGATCTAATCGGGAGGCTGTCCAGTCACTAGAGTGTGGGATGTGGCAATCTAAATTCCAGCAGACTTTATGGTGCCAGAAATTCCAAATGGGCGAGTGTTTCCCACACTTCTTCCCGTAACAACACTTGATTTCTTTCTGACAGAAAAGGCAGGACTGGGACGGCCAGCCCAAATGACTGATGAGGTATTTGACCTCCTGTGGTAGAAAATCAGCACTGAGGACCTTGAAGAATTTCTTTCCTAGTTGCCTTGGACAGCACTGGCGACCTGACTATGAAACTTAGACTGACACTAAACAAGACAATAGACACCGAGCAGGACAATAAACATAAAACAAACAACAGACCCTAGGGTATAAGAACAATTATGGCAGTTTTTATTAAATAGACAAGGGGAGGGGGTCCGGTGATGGGATCAGTCAGATGCCCGCCTGGCCACTCTCCCTGAGGGGACTTGGGCTCCTCTTAGCATTGGCAGGCTGGTATAAACCCCCGGCTCGGATCGAGCTATGCTCAGTGCTGCCTTAAGCCTTATGAGGTCACCATGGAACTACAGGTGCGGGCCCACTCGAACTCCATAGCTTTTGCCGTGGAGCTACAAACTGGAAGTTCAAGTGCAAGCCCTTGACTTCCCCATCCACTCACCATTCACACAAAGTTTATAATAGTTTTTTTTTTTTTGCCATAAAACAGAAGTCTTATGGAAACCTGAACGTGAAAGGGAGGAGAGATAGAGAAAGAGAGAGCAGAGAGAGAGACAGAGAGAGAGAGAGAGAGACTAGTCTTTAATGGAGAGGCCAGCCTGCCAGAAACCAGGACTCAGTCCTCCAGCATCCTGGAATATGGATTGAGTCAAGGGAGGGCCCCCGTCAGGGCCGCTTCCCTCCCAGAGAGACACAGAGGCACCTAACAGAAAATCAGGACTCTGTCCTCCAGTGTGCTGGAATGCGGGCAGAGTCAAAGAGGGAGGGCCCTGTCAGAGCCATTTCCCTCCCAGAGAAACAGAGTCAGATATGACTTACCTTCCCGGGACCAGAGGACTCAGGAGTTGAATTTTTCTGGGCACACACCAGTGGTCGATCCATTCCCCTCCAGAAGACAGGGTCTTATGGGGCCCTGGAACGTCTTCAGGGGGCGCCTCCCCTATAAGTCCACTGTCTGTCTGGGGGAACCTGGAATGAGTCCGGCTCTTGCCCAGTGGCGAATATCTCACTGGGGCCTCCAAATGTTGTGACCAAGCGAGTTATAGAGAAACGCCACACTTTGAGACAAATTAGAGTCCTTTATTAGCCAGTGACCAAGAGGCAGCTAACGCTCAAAATTCTCTTGGCCCTGAGGAAGGGGCTAGTTTTGTTTTTATACTGTGGTCTAAATAGGGGAGGGGGGATTTTAGCTGAAGCAATTTTTTACAGAAGCAGAACTGGCAAAAAGTTAAAAAATTAATTGGTTACAAATGCAATTACAAAAAATAAACAGTTCCAGGTGCAGGGGCTTAAACTATCACAAAGAGATAAATGCAGGGGTCTTGGGTGCCATCCACCCGAGCGCATCCCCAGGAGCTGCTGGTGCAGCTTGCCTCAATATCTTATCAGTAGACACATTCCTGGACACACTTTGAGTCAGTTTTACACTAGTTATGCCTTAAGGGAGGGAGGTGAAAGGGGGTTGCAAGTGAAGAAACTAAAATGGAGTCTGTTCGGCTCTCTCTCTGCTAGGAGAGTGCCACTCAGTTTAAAACAAGGTAGGGTATCACAGCCTCAACGTCCCCCTGAAAGCCTGAAAGCCTGGCATCCTGCCCCATCACTCGGAGGGGGGAACTTCTTGCTGCATGGAGTGCCCCCCAAGCACCCTGGTGTGCGAGCCAGGTACTCCACGGCCCTCCAGGGTCTGGTGCAGGGCTTACTGGGAAGGCACTGGCATCCTGGGAAGGACCCCAACCTCCTCTTCTGTCTAGCTGCTTTTTATCCTTGGCCTGCCTCAATGTTCCCCTGAAAGCCTGCAGGCCTATCGTCCTGTAACTATCACCTTGTGGGACTTCGTGCCGTGGAGTCCCCCCCGTCACCTCCGGGAGAGAGACATGCACCCTGGGGTGAAAGCCAGGGACTCCACAGCCTGCCCATGTTTAGCGCAGGGCCTGCCGGGAAGGCACTGGCCTCGGGGGGGATGAACCCAGCCTCCTCTTCTGCCTCGCTGCTTTTTTTCCCCCAGCCTGCCACAACGTCCCCTTGAGAGCCTGCAAGGCTTGCGTCTTGTCCCCGTCACCAGGGGTGACTTCTTGTCACTTTGGGGTGCCCGCCACGCACCTTGGGGTGGGAGCTATTCACTACACGGCACCCCTGGGTCCACTGCAGGGCCTGCCAGAAAGGCACTGGTTTCCGACGGAGGACCCAACCCTCCTCTTCAGATTCGCTGCGTTTTTTTCCCGACCTGCCTCAACATCCCCTTGAAAGCCTGCAAGCCTGGTGTCCTGACCCATCAATCCGGGGAAATTTCTTGCCGCTTTTGGGTACCACCCATAGGAAAGACACATACCCTGGCATGGAAGCCAGGGACTCCATGGCCCCCCGGATCTGGCCCAGGACCTGCCGGGAAGGCACTGGCCTCCAGGAGATGACTCCAGCCTCCTTTTTGCCCTCGACGCTTTTTTTTCTCTGGCCTCCCTAACGTTCCCCTGAAAGCCTACGAGCCTGGCATCCTGCCCCTGTCACCCAGGGGGACTTCTTGACGCTTTGGGGTGCTCCTCATGCACGCCGGTTTGGGAGCCAGAAACTCCACGGCCAACCCCTGTTCCAGTGCAGGGCCTGCTGGAGTCACTGGCCTCATCGGGACGGCACCAGCCTCCTTTCCTGCCTTGCTGCTTTTTTTCCCTGGCTTGCCTCAATGTCCTTATGAAAGCCTGCAAGCCTGGCGTCCTGTCCTTGTCACATGCAGGGAATTATTGCCACTTTGGGGTGCCCCCCACCCACCCTGGGGTAGGATCCAGGGACTCCACGGCCCTCCCGGGTTTGGCGCAGGGTCCACCGGGAAGGTGCTGGCCTCCAGTGGACAACCCCAGGCTCCTATTCGGCCTTGCCACTTTTTTTCCCCTGCCTGCCTCAACGTCCCCCTGAAAGCCTGCAAGACTCGCGTCCTCTCCCTGTCACCCGGGGGAATTTTTGTCTCTTTGGGGGTGCCCATAATGCACCCTGGGGTCAGAGCCAGGAACTCCACGGCCCCCTCAGGTCCAGCACAGGGCCTGTTGGGAAGGCACTGGCCTCCCTTGGTCGACCCCAGCCTCCTCTTCCGCCTCGCTGCTTTTATTCCCCCGCCTGCCTCACCGTCCCCCTGAAAGTCTGCAATCTGGCCTCCTGTCCCTGTAACAGGGGGTGACTTCTTGCCTCTTTGGGTTGCCTCCCACGCACCCTGGGGTGGAAGCCAGGGACTCCACGGCCTTCCTGAGTCTGGTGCAGGGCCTGCTGGAAAGGCACTGGCCTCTGAGGGGGGACCCCAGCCTCCTCTTTGGCCTCGCCTCTTTTCTTCTCTGGCCTGCCTCAACGTCCCCCTGAAAGCGTGCAAGCCTGGCTTCCTGTCCGCATCACTCGGGTGGACTTCTTGCTGCTTTTTGTTGCCCCCACTACGTATCTTGGGGTGGGAGCCAGGGACCCCACGAATCCCCCAAGTCTGGCACAGCATGCCCAGAAGGCAATGTCCTCCGGGGGAAGAGCCCAGCCTCCTCTTCGGCCTCACTGCTTTTTTATCCAGGCCTGTCTCAACGTCCCTCTGAAAGCCTGCAAGCTTGGCGTCCTGTCCTTGTCATCCGTTGAGGCATTTTGCCGGTTTTGGGTGCCCCTCACACACCCTCAGGAGGAAGCCAGGGACTTCCCGGCTTCCCAGGGACCAATGCAGGGCCTCCCTGGACGGCACTGGCCTCAGGGGGAAAACTCCAACCTCCTCTTCGGGGCCTCGCCGCTTTTTATCCCTGGACTGCCTCAATGTCCGCCTGAAAGCCTGCAAGCCTGGCGTCTTGTCTGTCACCCGGGGAGACTTCTTGCCGCTTTGGGGTGCCCCCGGTGAGGGAGACGCACACTGGGGTGAAAGCCAGGGACTCCACGGCCCGCCATGTTCTGTCGCACAGACTGCCAAGAAGGCACACACCTCCGGGGGAAAACCCCAGCCTCCTTTTCAGCCTCCGCTTTTTCTCCCCAGCCCGCCTCAACGTCCCCCGAAAGTCTGCAAGCTTGGGGTCCTGTCCCCATCACCCAGGGGGACTTCTTGCTGCTTTGGGTTGCCTCCCACGCACCCTGGGTTGGGAGCCAAATAATCAACAGCACTCGCGTGTCTGGTGCAAGGCCTGCCAGGAAGGCACTGGCCTCAGGGGAGAACCCCAGCTTCCTCTTCAGCCTTGCCGCTTTTTTCCTGGCCTGCCTCAACGTCCCCCTGAAAGCCTGTAAACCTGGCATCCTGTCACTGTCACCTGGGGAAACTTTGCCGCTTTGGGGTGCCCAACGTGCACCCGTGGAGCCAGGGACTCCACGGCCCCTCCGCCTCTGGCGCAGGGCCTGTTGGGAGGGCACTGGCTTCCGGGGACCACATCCTCCTCTTCGGTCTCACCACTTTTTTCCCCTGGCCTGCCTCAACGTCCCCCCTGAAAGCCTGCAAGCCTGGCGTCCTGTCTCCTTCATACAGGGGGACTTCTTGCTGCTTTGTAATGCCCCCCACGCACCCTGGGGTGGGAGCCAGGGACTCCTTGCCAACTTTATTCTCCGGCCTGAATCAACGGCCCACAGAAAGCCTGCAAGCCCGGCGTCCTGTCCCTGTTACCCGGGTGGACTTCTTGCTGCTTTGAGGTGCACCCTGTGGAACAGACACACACCTTGGGGTAGGAACCAGGGAATTCACACACCCCCCACCCCCTCCCTGGGTCCGGCACAGGTTGAGTTGAACAGCCTGCGGAAAAGGTACTGGCCTCTGGGAGAGGACCCCCAACCTCCTCTTTGGCATCACCACTTTTTTTCCATGGCCTGCCTCAATGTCCCTTTGAAAGGCTGCAAGCTTGGCGTTCTGTCATCACGCAGGGGGACTTCTTGCTGTTTTGGGGTGCCCCCATGCACCATGGCGTGAGAATCAGGGACTCCACGGCCACCCCGGGTCTGGGGCAGGACCTGTTGAAAAGGCACTGGCCTCCAGGGAAGGACCCCAGCCTCCTCTTCAGCCTTGCCACTTTTTTTTCCCTGGCCTGCCTCAGCGTCCCCCTGAAACCCTGCAAGGCTAGCATCCTGTACCAGTCACATAGCGAAAATTCTTGCCGCTTTGGGATGTTCCCCCAAACCCTGAGGTGGGAGGCAGGGACTCCACGGTCCTCCCTGGTCTGGTGCAGTTCCTAATGGGAAGGCACTGGCTTCCGGAGGATGACTCCTGCCTCCTCTTGGGCCTTGCTGCTTTTTCTCCCCAGCCTGCCTCAATATTCCCCTGAAAGTTCGCAAGCCTGGCTTCCTGTCCCTGTCACCCACAGGGACTTCTTGCCACTTTGGGGTGCCCCCAGGGGAGAGACATGCACCCTGGGGTGGGAGCCAGGAACTCCATGGCCCCCTGGGTCCAAAGCAGGGCCTACCATACAGGCACTGGCCTCCAGGGGAGGACCCCAGCCTCCTCTTTGTTCTCACCACTTTTTTCCCCATCCTGCCTCAATGTCCCTGTGTTGGGGAAAGGCTGAGTGTTGGGAAAAAAACTGAGGCAGGGCTTGCATGTGTGACATAATGTAAAAGGGTCTTGGAACATGTCCGGGGTCCAGGGTCTAAAACCCCTTATGGCCTTTGGAACACCAAGCTCTGTGCCAAAGGGTGGAAGGCTGCCCTGCCACACCATAATCTAAGCCCTGGGCATGAAACCACTCGTGGCTTGCATAGAATCCAGGACTTAGGGCATAAAACCCCTCCTGGCTTCTAGAATGTGTCTAGACTTGCTGGCTCCTTGCTTCTAGCACTGCTATTATCTCAAGCAGCAGAACTTGTTCCATATGCTTCAAAGAAAATACTAAATCATCACAGCTGTAGATCATGTGCAACCCCCCTACATCCTCGCCACCTGTTTCTTTGTTTGATCACCAATGAATAGGGTGGGATCCCAGAGCTAGGGGCCTTCACATCCTCCATGCTAGCATTGGCCCCCTGATCCCACTTTATGCCTTTACTTGTCTTTTCTCATTCCTTTGATTTGGCCGGACCTCATTGCCCCCACAGCTGGGTGTTGGGTTTGATCACCTCAACAGCCCTGAAAGCCTGCAAGCATTGCAACCTGTTCTTGTCATCCAGGGAGACATCCTGCCACTTAGGGGTACTGCCCATGCACCCTATGATGAGAGCAAGAAACTCCACGGCATCCCTGGGTCCAGCACAGTGCCTGCCAGGAAGACACTGGCCACTGGAGAGGATCCCAGCCTCTTCCGCCTTGTCACTTTTTCTCCCCAGCCTGCCTCAACATCCCCCTGAAACCCTGCAAGCCTGGCGTCCTGTCCCCGTCACCTGGCAGGACATCTTGCTGCTTTGTGGTGCCCCCAATGCATGCTGGTGTGGGAGCCGGAGACTCCAAATCTCCCCTGAGGCACTGGCCTCTGGGGCAGGACCCCATCCTCCTCTTCTGCCTCACCACTTTTTTTCCTCTGCTTGCCTCAACATCCCCCTGAAAGCCTGCAAGCCTGGCGTCTTGTCCCCGTCACCTGGGGGCACTTCTTGCTGCTTTGTTGTGCCCCCTGTGGGAAAGACATCAACCCTGGTGTGAAAGCCATGGGCTCCATGGCCCCCCAGTTCTGGTGCAGGGCCTGATAGGAAGGCACTAACCTTAGGGGGATGACTCCAGCCTCCTCTTCAGCCTCGCCACTTTCTTTCCCTGGCCTGCTTCAACCCTGGTGTGAAAGCCTACCGGAAAAGCACTGGCTTCAGGGTGGGGGGACCCCAGCCTCCTCTTTGGCCTCACCTCTTTTTTTCCCCAGACTGCCTCAATGACCTCCTGAAAACCTAAAAGCCTGGCGTCCTGTCCCCATCACCCGGGGGGCACTTCTTGCCGCTTTGGGGTGCCCCCCACTCACCCTGGGGTGGGAGCCAGGGACTCCTCTGCCCGCCCCCCCTGTTCAGATGCAAGGCATGCTGAAAAGGCACTTGCCTTTGGGGGAGGACCCTAGTCTCCTCTTTGGCCTTGCCGCTTTTTTCCCTTGGCCTGCCTCAAAGTCCCCCTGAAAGCCTGCAAGCCTAGCGTCCTGTCCCGTCACCTGGGGGAAATTATTGCCCCTTTGGGGTGCCACACGCACCCTGGGGTGGAAGCCAGGGACCCCGTGCCCCCCCCCCGGGTCGGGGCAGGCCCTGCCAAAAGAACCCCGGACTCAGAGGGAGGATCCCAGCCTCCTCTTCAGCCTTGCTGCATTTTTTTTTCCGGCCTGCCTCAAGGTTCCCCTGAAAGCCTGGCCGCCTGTCCCTATCTCCTGGGGTACTTCTTGCCTCCTTGTGCTGCCCCCGTGGGGAGAGGAACATGCCCTTGTTGGGAGCCAGGGTCTCCACAACTCCCACGGGTAGGGCATAGGAACTGCCGGGAAGGCACTGACCTCCTGCGAGGGACCCCTCCCTCCTCGTCAGCCTCGCCGATTTCTTCCCATGCCTGCCGCAACCTCCCCCTGAAGGCCTGGCCTCCTCTCCTTCCACGGGGGACTTCTTACCACTTTGGGGTACTCCAGGAGGAAAGACACGCACCCTGTGTGGGAGCCAACAACTCCACGAAGCCCCTGGGTTAGGCACGAAGGCTGTCGGGAAGGCTTTGACCTCTGATGGGGGATCCTGACATCCTCCTTGGCCTCGCTGCTTTTTTCCTGGGCCTTCCTCAACCTCCCCATAAATGCCTGGCTGCCTGTCCCTGTATCCCGGGGGACTTCTTGCTGCTTTGGTGTGCCCCCGGGGGAAGAGACACGCACCCTGGTTGGCAGCCAGGGACTTCACGACCCCCCTCCCCCAGGTCCGGTGCGGGGGCTGCCGGGAAGGCACTGACCTCTGGCGGGGGACCCCGGCCTCCTATTCAACGTCGATGTTTTCTTCCCGGGTCTGCCTCAACCTCCCCCTGAAGGCCTGGACGCCTGTCCCCATCCCCCGGGGTACTTCTTGCCACTTTGGGGTGCCACAGGAGGGGAGACTCGCACCCTGGGTGGTAGCCTGTGGCTTCACGAACCTCCCTCATGTTGGTCGCGGGGGCTGCCGGGAAGGCAATGACCTCCAGTGGGAAACCACGACCTCCTTTTTGGCCTCCCTGCTTTCTTCCCAGGTCTGCCTCAACCTCCCCCGAAGGCCTGGCCACCTGTTCCATTGCCCTGGGGGACTTCTTGCCGCTTTGGGGTCCCCATGGGGGGACCTCTGCACTGACCCCTGGCAGGGGACCCTGGCCTCCTCTTCGGCCTTGCCGCTTTCTTTCCAGGCCTGCCTCTACATCCTCCTGAAGGCCTGGCTGACTGTCCCCCTCCCCCTGGGGTCTTCTTGCTGCTTTGGGTTGCCCCCAGAGAGAAAACATGCACCTTGGGTGGGAGCCAGAGACTCCATGAACCCCTTGGTTGGGCACGGAGACTGTCGGGATGGGACTGACCCCAGGCAGGGGACACAGGCCTCCTCTTCGACCTGGCTGCTTTTCTCCCAGGCCTGCGTCAACCTAACCCTGAACGTCTGGCCGCCTGTCCTCGACACTGGGGGACTTCTTGGCGCTTTGGGGTGCCCCCGGGGAAAGAAACATGCACCCTGGTTGGGATCCAGGGACTCCACAACCACCCCTCATCAGGCTCAGGGACTGCCGGGAAGGCACTGACCCCTGGTGGGGGACCCAGGCCTCCTCTTTGGCCTTGCCACTTTCTTCCCAGGCCTGCCTCAACCTCCTCCTAAAGGCCTGGCTGCCTGTCCCCATCCACTGGGGGACTTCTTGATGCTTTGGGGTGCCCCAGGAGGGGAGACACCCACCCTGGGTGGGAGCCAGGGACTCCATGAACCCCCTGGTTCGGGCTGGAGGGCTGCCAGCAAGGCATGGACCCCCAGCGTGGGACCCCAGCCTCTTCTTCAGCCTTGCCACTTTTTTCCCTTTCCTGCCTCAACTTCCCCCTGATTCCATATAACCCCGGGTTCAGGCACGGGGTCTGTTGGGAAGGCACTTACCTCTGGCCGGGGTTCCCGGCCTCTTCTTTGGCCTCACCACTTCTTTCAGGACTCCCATGGGTTGGGCACTGGGGCTACTGGAAAGGCCCTGACCCCTGGCGGGGGATCCCGGCCTCCTCTTTGGCCTCTCCGCTTTCTTCCTGGGCCTGCCTCAATCTCCCCCTGAAGGCCGGGCCTCCTGTCCCTGTCCCTCTGGGAACTTCTTGCTGCCTTGGGGTGTCCCCGTATGGGAGAGACGCACCCTGGGTGGAAGCTAGGGACTCCATGAATGCCCCCCGGTCAGGTGCGGGGACTACTGGGAAGGTACTGACCCCTGGCGGGGGGCTTCGGCCTCCTCTTTGGCCTCGTGACTTCCTTCCCCGGCCTGCCTCAAGCTTCCCCTGAACACGTGGCCGCCTGTCCCCGTCTACCAGGGGAGTTTTTGCCAGTTTGGGGTGCCCCCGAAGGGGAGAGACATGCACCCTGGTGGGGAGGAAGCAACTCCATGACTCCCCCGGGTTGGGCGTGGGGACTGCCGGGAAGTCACTGACTGCCGGCAGGGGACCTCGGCCTCCTTTTTGGCCACATTGCTTTCTTCCTGGGCCTGCCTCAACCTCCCCCGGAAGGCCTGGCCACCTGTACCCATCCCCCCAGGGACTTCTTGCTGCTTTGGCGTGCCCCCATGGAGAGAGACACACATACTTGTTGGAAGCCATGGACTCTACGACCCCCCCAGTTTGGGCTGGGGGATGCTGAGAAGGCACTCACCTCTGGTGGGGGACCCTAGCCTCCTCTTTGGCCTCGCTGCTTTTTTTCTAGGCCTGCCTCAAACTTTCACTGAAACCTTGGCCGCCTGTCCCCGTGCCCTGGGGGACTTCTTGCCTCTTTGGGGTGCCCCAGGAGGAGAGACACACACCCTGGGTGGGAGCCAGGGACTCCACTACCCACCTGAGTCAGGTGTGGGTGCTGCCAGGAAGGCACTGACCTCCAATGGGGGACACCAGCCTCCTCTTCGGCCTAGCCACTTTTTTCTCATGCCTGCCTCAACCTCCCCCTGGAGGCCTGGCCACCTGTCCTTATCCCCCGGGGTACTTCTTGCCACATTACGGTGCCCACGGAGGGGAGACACACACCCTAGATGGGAGCCAGGGACTCCACGACCCCACGGATCAGGCATGGGGGCTGCCTAGAAGGCACTGACTTCTGACGGGGGACCCCGGCCTCCTCTTCAGCATCGCTGCTTTTTTCCTGGGACACACTCAACTTTCCCCTGAACGCCTGTCTGCCTGTCCCCGTCTTCTGAAAATCTTTTTGTCACTTTGGGGTTCCCCCAGGTGGAGAGATACCTACCCTGGTTGGGAGCCAGGAACTCCACAACCCACTCGAGTCAGGCGCAAAGTCTGCTGGAAAGGCACTGACCTTCGATGGGGGACCCCGGCCTCCTCTTCGGCCTCACTGCTTTTATCCCCGGCCTGCCTCAACCTCCCCCTGAATGCCTGGCCACCTTTCCCCATCCCCAGGGGGAGTTCTTGCCACTTTGGGGTGCCCCTGGGTGGAGAGACATGCACCCTGGTTGACAGCCAGAAACTCCACGATCCCCCAGGTTTTGGCTTGGGGACTGCTGGGAAGGCACTGACTTTAGGTGAGAAATCCTGGCCTCCTCTTTGGCCTTGCTGCTTTCTTCCCAGGCCTGCCTCAACCTCCCCTGAAGGTCTGGCAGCCTGTGCCCGTCCCCCTGGGGACTTTTGCCACTTTGGGTTGTCCCCGGGGGGAGAGACACAAATCCTGGTTGGAAGCCAGGGACTCCACGACCCCTCCAGGTTGGGCGCGGGGGCTGCTGGGAAGGCATTGACCTGTGGTGGGGGACCTCGGCCTCCTTTTTGGCCTGCTGCTTTCTTCCCAGGCCTGCCTCAACCTCCCTGCGAAGGCCTCGCCACCTGTCCTCATCCCCAGGGGGACTTATTGCCAATTTGTGGTGACCCAGGAGGGGAGACACACACCCTGGGTGGGAGCCAGGGTCTCTACAAACCCCCTGGGTTGGGTGCAGTGTTTCTGGGAAGGCATTGACCTGCCATGTGGGACCCCGGCCTCCTCTTCGGCTTCCCTGCATTTTTCCCGAGCCTTCCTCAACCTCCCCCTGAAAGCCTGGCTCCTTGTCTCCTTCTTCCAGGGAACTTCTTGCCACTTTGGTGGGCCCATGGTGGGAGAGATATGCACCCTGGTTGGGAGCCAGGGACTCCACGATCCTCCCACGTTGAGCATGGGGACTACCGGGAAGGTCCAGACCTCCGGCGGGGGAACCAGGCTTCCTCTTTGGCCTCGACGCTTTCTTCCTGGGTCTGCCCCAACCTCTCCCTGAAGGCCTGGCTGCCTGTCCCCATCCCCTGGGAGACTTCCTGCCACTTTTGGGTACCCCAGGAGGAGAGACACATACCCTGGATGGGAGAGAAGGACTCCAAGAACCCCCCATGTTGGCCGCAGGGGCTGCCAGGAAGGCACTGACTCTTAGCAGGGGACCTTTGCCTCCTCTTCGGCCTTGCTGCTTTCATCCCAAGCCTGCCTCAACCTCCCCGTGAAGGCCTGGTTGCCTGTCCCCTTCCCCTGGAAGACTTCTTGCCTCTTTGTTATGCCCCCGGAGAGGAGACACGCACCCAGGGTGGGAGCCAGGAACTCCACGACACCACCGGTTTGGGCACAAGGGCTGCCGGGCAGGCACTGAACTCTGGCAGGTGACCCTGGCCTTTTCTTTGGCTTCACTGCTTTTCTCCCAGGACTGCCTCAACCTCCCCCAGAAAGCCTGGCCACCTGTCAACGTCTGTTGGGGTACTTCTTGCACTTTGGGATGACCTCGTGGGGAGAGACATGCACCCTGGTTGGGAGCCAGGAACTCAACGAATCCCATGGATTGGGCACAGGGGCTGCCAAGAAGACCCGGACCTCTGGGGGTGGAACCCAGCCCCTTCTTTGGCCTCTCCACTTTCTTCACAGACCTGCCTCAATCTACCCTGAAGGCCTGGCCTCCTGTCCCTGTCCCCCGGGGGACTTCTTGCTACCTTGGGGAAGGCACTGACCTTCAGCAGGGGATCCCAGCCACCATTTTGGCTTTGCTGCTTTCTTCATGCACCTGCTTCACCCTCTCCCTGAAGGTCTGGCCACCTGTCCCATTCCCCCAGGGGACTTCTTGCTGCTTTGGGGTGCCCCTGCAGGGCAGACAAGCACCCTGGGTGGGAACCAGGGACTCCACGACTCCCCTGGTTTGGGAACAGGTGCTGCCTGGAAGACACTGATCTCTGGCAGGGGACCCCGGCCTCCTCTTTGGCCTTGCCACCTTTTTCCCAGGCCTCCCTCAACCTCCCCTTGAACTCCAGACAGGCTGTCCCCATCACACTAGGGAATTCTTGCCTCATTGGAGTGCCCCCAGTGGGGGAGACATACTCCCTGGTTGGAAGCCAGAGACTCCACGACCCCCTTGATTCTGGCCTGGGGGACACAGGGAAAGCACTGATCTCAGTGGGGGGACCCCGGCCTCATTTTCAGCCTCACCACTATTTTCCCAGGTGTTCTTCAACCTCCCCCTTAAGGCCTGGCCACCTGTCCCCGTTCCCTGGGGGACTTCTTGCCTCTTTGTGATGTGTGAATTCATCTCACACAGTTAAAACTTTCTCTTGATTCAGCAGGTTGGAAAAACTCTTTGTAGAATCTGAGAAAAGACATTTGAAAAATCATCGATGCCTATAGTGAAAAACCAAATATCCCCAGATAAATACTAGAAAGAAGCTATCTGTGAAACAGCTTTCTGATGTGTTTACTCATTTCACAGAGTTAAACCTTTGTTTTGATTCAGGAGGTTGAAAACACTTCTTGTAGAATTTGTGAAGGGAGAGTTGGGAGCTCATTGCGGCCTACAGTGAAAAACAGAATGTCCCCAGATACAAACTAGATAGAAGCTATCTGTGAAACTGCTTTGTGATAGGTGGATTCATTGCACAGAGTTAAAACTGTCTTTTGATTCAGCAAGTTGGAAACTCTCTTTTTGTAGAAACTGCAAGGAAACATTTGGGAGCCTATTGGGGCCTATTGGGAAATACCAAATATCCACCAATAAAAACTAGAAAGAAGCTATTTGTGAAACCACCTTGTGTGTGTGGATTTATCTCACAGAGTTCAACACTTCTGTTGACAGAAAAGATTGGAAACACTCTTTTTGTAGAATCTGCGAAGGGACATTTGGAAGCTCATTGAGGCCTATAGTTAAAAAAAAAAAAAAAGGAATATCCCCAGATAAATATTGGAAAGAAGCTATTTGAGAAACGTCTTTGTGATGTGTAGAATCATCTCACAAAGTTAAACCTTTCTCTTTATTCAGCAGGTTGGAAACACTATTTCTGTATGCACTATGAAGGGACTCTTGGGAGCCCATTGAGGCCTATAATGAAAAACTGAATATCCCCAATGTAAACTAGAAATAAGCTATCTGTGAAACTGCTTTGTGATGTGTGGATTCATCTCAGAGAACTAAACCTTTCTTTTGATTCAGCAATTGAAAGTACTCTTTTTTAGAAACTGCAGAGGGACATTTGGAAGCCTATTGAGGCCTATAGGGAAAAACTGAATTTCCCTCAATAAAAACTAGAAAGAAGCTATTTGTGGAACTGCTTTTTGATGTCTGGATTCATCTCAGAGAGTTAAACCTTTCTTTTGATTCAGCATATTGGAAACACCTTCTCTGTAGAATCTGCTGTGGGACATTTGGGAGCCCATTGAGGCCTACAGTGAAAAAAGAATATACGCAGATGAAAACTAGAAAGAAGCTATCTGTGAAACTGCATTGCGACGTGTGGATTCATCTCACAGAATTAAACTTTTCTTTTGATTCAGAAGGTTGGAAACATTCTTTTTGTAGAAACTGCAAAAAGACATTTGGGAGCCCACTCAGGCCTTATAGTGAATAACTGAATATTCCTCAATAAAAGCTAGAAAGAAGCTATCTGTGAAACTGCTTTGTGATGTGTGGATTCATCTCAGAGAGTTAAACATTTCTTTTGATTCTGCAGGTTGGGAACACTCTTTTTGAAGAATCTGTGAAGGCACATTTGGGAGTCCATTGAGGCCTATAGTGAAAAACTGAATATCCACAGATAAAAACAAGAAAGAACCTATCTGTGAAATGGTTTTGACATGTGTGGATTTATCTCACAGTGTTAAACCTTTCCATTGATTAAACAGATTGGAAACACTGTTTTTGTAAGATCTGTGAAGTTACATTTGGGAGCTCATTGATGTTTATAGTAAGAAAATTTAACATCTCCAAATAAAAATTGGAAACAAACTACCTGTGAAACGTCTTTGAAAGGTGTGGATTCATCTCACATAGTTAAACTATTCTTTTGATTCAGCAGGTTGGAAACAATCTTTTTTAGAAACTGCGAAGGGATATTTGGGGGCCCATTAAGGCCTATAGTGAATATCCCCTGATAAAAATTAGAAAGAAGCTATCTGTGAAACTGCTTTGTGATGTGTGGATTCATCTAAGACAGTAAACCTTTCTTTTGATTCAGCAGTTTGGAAACACTCTTTTTGTAGAATCAGCAAAGGGACATTTTGGAGCTCATTGAGGCCTATAGTGAAAAACTGAATATGCCCAGATAGAAACCAGATAGTAGCTATCTCTGGAACTGCTTTGCAAAGGATGGATTTATCTCCCAGAGTTAAATTTTTCTTTTGATTCAGAAGTTGGAAACACTGTTTTTGTAGAAACTGCAAAGGAACATTTGGGAGCCCATTGAGGTCTAGAGTGAAAAACTGAATATGTGCAGATAAAAACTAGAAAGAAGCTACCTTTGAAACCAATTTGTGATGCATGGATTCATCTCACAGAGTTAAACCTTCTTTTGATTCAACAGGTTGGAAACACTCTTTTTGTAGAATCTGCAAAGTGACATTTGGGAGCTCTTTGAGGCCTACAGTGAAAAACCGAATAATCCCAGATAGAAAGCAGATAGTAGCTATCTCTGAAACTGCTTTGCAAAGGGTAGATACATCTACCAGAGTTAAATCTTTCTTTTTATTCAGGAGTTAGAATCACTCTTTTTGTAGAAACTGTAAAGGGACATTTGGGAGCCCATTGAGGCCTAGATTGAAAAACTGAATATCCTCGAATAAAAACTAGAAAGAAGCTACCTTTGAAAGCAATTTTTGATGTACGGATTCATATCACAGAGATAACCTTTCTTTCTTTTGTTTCAGGAGTTTGGGAACATTCTTTTTGCAGAAATTACGAAGGGACATTTGGGAGCCCAATGAGGCCTAGAGTGAAAAACTGAATATCTACAAATAAAAACTACAAAGAATGTATTTGTGTAACCACTTTGCAATGTGTGGATTAATCTCACAGACCTAAAATTTTCTTTTGATTCAACAGGTGAAAAACTCTCTTTTTGTAGAAACCGCGAAGGGACATTTAAGAGCCTATTGAAGCCTATAGTGAAAAACTGAATATCTGTGGATAAAAACTGGAAAAATGCTATCTGTGAATGCACTTTGTGATGTGTGGATTCATCTGACAGATTTAAACTTGTCTTTTGATTTAGCAGGTTGGAAACACTCTTTTAGCAGAATCTGTGAATCGACACTTGGAATCTGATAGAGGCCTGTAGTGAATAACTGAATATCCCATGACAAAAATTAGAAAGAAGCTATTTGTGAAACTGCTTTGTGATGTGTGGATTCATCTCAGAGAGTTAAACCTTTCTTTTGATTAAACAGGTTGGAAAGAAACACTCTTTTTGTAGAATCTGCAAAGTGACATTTGGGAGCTCATTGAGGCCAATAGTGAAAAATTGAATAATCTCAGATACAAACCTGAAACCACCTTAGAAAAAGTGGATTCATCTCCTAGATTTAAATCTTTCTTTCGATTCAGAAGTTGGAAGCACTCTTTTTGTAGAAAAGTGCAAAGGGACTTTTGGGAGTCCATGGAGGACTATAGTGAATAACTGATTATCCCCAGTAAAAAACAAGTAAGAAGCTATCTGTGAAGCCAATTTGCAATGTGTGGATTCACCTCACAGGGTGAAAACTTTGTTTTGATTCAGCAGGTTGGAAACACTGTTTTTGTAGAATCCATGAAGGAATATTTGGGAGCCCATTGTGGTCTAGAGTGAAAAACCAAATATCTGCAAATAAAAAATAGAAAAATCCTGTCTGTGAAACTGCTTTGTGATGTGTGGTTTCATCTCACAGAGTTAAACCTTTCTTTGATTCAGTGGGTTTTAAACAGTTTTTTTGTAGAATCTGCAAAGGTATATTTGGAAGCCCATTGAGGCTTATACTGACAAGCTGAAAAAACCCATGTAAAAACTAGAAAGAAAGTATCTGTGAAACTGCTTTGTGATGTGTGGATTCATCTCACAGAGTTAAACATTTCTTTTGATTCAGCAGGATGTAAACACTATTTGTAGAAACTATGAAGGGACATTTGGGAGCCCACTGAGGCTTATAGTGAAAAACCAAATATTTGCCAATAAAAACTAGAAAGAAGCTGTGTGACACTGCTTTGGTATGTGTGTAGTCATCTCACAGACCTAAAACTTTCTTTTGATTCCACTGGTTAAAACCACTCTTTTTGTAGAAACTGCAAAGAGACATTTAGGAGCCCTTTGATTTCTATAATAAAAAACAGAATATTCTCTGATAAAAACAGAAAGAAGCTATTGTGAAACTGCTTTGTGATCTGTGTATTAATCTCAGAGTGTAAAAACTTTCTTTTGATTTCTCAGTTTGGAAACACTTTTTTTTGTGGAAACTGCAAAAAGACATTTGGGAGATCATTGAGGCCTGTAGTGAAAAACTGAATATCCCCAGAAAATACTAGAAAGAAACTGTCTTTGAAACTGCTTTGTGATATGTGTATTTATCTCAGAAAGTTAAACCTTTCTTTTGATTCCTCAGGTTGGAAACATCATTTTTGTAGAATCTGCAAAGGGATGTTTGGGAGTCCAATGAGACCTATAGTGAAAAACTAAATATCCACAGATAAAAACTAGAAAGAAGCTATCAGTGAAAGGGCTTTGCTATGTGTGGATTCATCTTACAGATTTAAGCCTTTCTTTTGATTCAATAGGTTGGAAACACTGTTTTTGTAGAAACTGTAAAGGGACATTTGGGACCCCATTGTGGCTTATTGTGAAAACCCATATACCTTCCAATAAAACCTCAAAAGAAGCTATCTGTGAAACTGCTCTGTGATATGTGTATTCATCTCATAGAGTTAAATCTTATTTTGATTCAGCAGGTTGGAATAACTCTTTTTTTGTGGAATCTGCAAAGGGATATTTGGGGGCTCATTGAGGCCTACAGTGAAAAACAAAATATCCAAGGATAAAAAGTAGAAAGAAGGTATCTGTGAAACCGCTTTGTGATGTGTCCATGCATCACACAGACTTAAAACTTCTCTTTGATTTCACAAGTTGGAGACACCCTCTTTGTAGAATCTGTGAAAGGACAGTTGGAAGCCCACTGAGGCCTGTAGTGAAAAGCTGAATGTTCCTAGATAAAAACTATAAAGAAGCTATCTGTGAAACATTTTTGTGATATGTGGATTCACCTCCCAGACTTAAATCTTTCTTTTGATTCAGCAGGTTGGAAACTCTCTATTTGTAGAAACTGCGACTAGACATTTGGAACCCCATTGATTCCTATAGTGAAAAACAGAATAATCATGAATAAAAACTAGAAAGAAGCATTCTGTTAAACCAGTTTATGATGTGTGTATTCACCTCACAGAGTTACACTTTTCTACTCATTCAGCAGGTTGAAACACTCTTTTTGTAGAATATGTGAAGGGACATTGGAAGCCCAATCATGCCTATACTAAAATACTGAATATTCCTACATAAAAACTAGAAATAATCTATCTGTGAAACCGCTTTATGATGTGTGGTGTCATCTCACAGAGATAAACCTTTTTTTTTGACTAAGCAGGTTGGAAACACTCTTTTTGTAAAACCTGTGAGGGGTTTTACAAACCCTTTGGGAGACCACTGAGGCCTAAAGTAAAAAACTGAATATCCACAGGTAAAAACTAGAATGAAACTTTCAGTGAAACCACTTTGTGATGTGTGGAATCATCTCACAAAAGTATATTTTTTTTAATGCTCCAGATTAAAGACTGTCTTTTTGTAGAATTTGTAAAGGGACAGTTCAGAGCCCATTGAGGCCTATGGGAAAAAAGCAGAATATTCCCAGATCAAAACTAGAAAGAAGCTATCTGTGAAACTTCTTTGTGATGCTTGGATTCATCTCACAGAGTTTAACCTTTCTTTTGATTCAACACCTTAGAAACGCTTTTTTTTGTAGAATCTATGAAGGGACATTTGTAGAATCTATGAAGGGACATTTGAAAGTTCCCATAGAGAAAAATGGGATATTTCCAGATAAAAGCTAGAATGAAGCTATCTGTGAAACCACTTTGTGATGTGTGGATACATTTCCCAGAGGTAAATCATTCTTTTGATACAGCAAGTTGGAAACATACTTTTTTTAGAAACTGCAAAAGAAAATCCTGGCACCCATTGAGGTCCACCGTGAAAAGACTGAGTATCCCCCTCAAAAAAAAATAGAAAGAAGGAGTCTGTGAAATTGCTTTGTGATGTGTGGATTTATCTCACTGAGTTAAACCTTTCTTTTGATTTCACAAGTTGAAAATACGTTCGTGTAGAATCTACGAAAGGACATTTGGAAGTCCACTGAGGCCTGTACTGAAAAACTGAATATTCCCACACAAAAAAATAAAAACTGGAAGGAAGCTATCTATGAAACCACTTTGCACTGCATGGAATCATCTCACAGACTTAAAGATTTCTTTTGATTCAGCAGGTTGGAAACACTCTTTTTGTAGACTCTGTGAAGTGGCATTTGAGAGCCCATTGAGGCCTATAGTGAAAACTGAATATCCCCAGATTAAACCTAGAAAGAATCTATCTGTGAAATGGCTTTTGGATATGTGAATTCATCTCACAGAGTTACATCTTTCTTCTGATTTAGAAGGTAGGAAACACTCTTTTTCAGGAATCTGTGAAGGGACATTTGGGAGACCATTGATGCTTATAGTGAAAAACCAAATATCCCCAAATTAATACTAGAAAGAATTTATCTGTGAAATGGCTTTTTGATGTGTAGAATCTTTTGATTTAGAAGGTTGGAAACACTCTTTTTAAGGAATCTGTGAAGGGATATTTAGGAGCCCTTTTAGGCCTATGGTTGAGAAACTAAATATCAACAGATAAAAAATAGAAAGACTCTATCTGTGAAACTGCTTTGTGAAATGTCAATTTATCTCACAGAGTTAAATGTTTCTTTTGATTCAGCACGTTAAAAACACTCTTTTTGTAAAATCTGTGAAGGCAAATTTGGAAGCCCATTGTGGCCTATGATGAAAAATCAAATATCCTCAGATAAAAACTAGAAAGAAACTATTGGTGAAACTGCTTTGTGATGGGTGGATTCATCTCACAAAGTTAAACCTTTCTTTCGATTCAGCAGGTTGGAACCCCTTCTTTTGTAGAGACTGTGAAGGGACACTTTGTAGCCCATTGAGGCCTACAGTGAAAAACCAAATATCCCTTGATAAAAACTAGAAAGAAGCTACCTGTGAAATGGATTTATGATGTGTACAATAATCTCAGAGAGTTAAACCTTTATTTTGATTCAGCAGGTTGGAATCACTCTTTTTTTAGATCCTGAGAAGGGACATTTGGCAGCTCATTGAGGCCTGTAGTGAAAAACAGAATATCCCCAGATGAAAAGTAGAAAGAAACTATCTGTCAACCACTTTGTGATGTGTGGATTCATCTTACAGAGACAAGCCTTTGTTATGTCTCAGCAGATTGGAAACACTCTTTTTGTAGAATCTGTGAAGAGACCGTTTGGGAGACCATTGAGGCTAATAGTGAAAAACTGAATATCCCCAGATAAAAACTGGAAAGATGCTATTTGTGGAGCCACTTCACAATGTGTGGATTCATCTCACAGAGTTCAACCTTTCTTTTGATTTAGCAGCTTAGAAACACTCTCTTTGTAGAATGCTTGGGACATTTGGGAGCTCATTGATGCCTATAGTGAAAAACTGAACAACCTAAGATAAAAAGTAGAAAGAAGCCATTTGTCAAACCACTTTTCAATTTGTGGATTCTTTTCACAGGGATAAAACTTTCTTTTGATTTAGCAGGTTGTAAACACTGTTTTTGCAGAATCTGTGAATGGACATTTTGGAGCCCATTAAGGCCTGTAGTGAAAAACCAAATTTTTTACTTAAAACCTAGATAATAGATATCTGTGAATCCACTTTGTGATGTGTGGATTCATCTCACAGAGTTAAACCATTCTTTTTATTCAGAAAATTGGACACACTCTTTTTGTAGAATATTCACAGGGACATTTGGAAGCCTATTGAGGTTTAATTGAAAACCAAAATATCCCAATATAAAAACTAGAAAGAATCTATGTATGAAACCTCTTTGTGATGTGTCGATTCATCTTACAGAGTTAAACCTCTCTTTTGATTCAACAGATTGGAGACACTCTTTTTGTAGAATCTGCGAAGGGACATTTGGGAGCCCATTTGGGTCTATAGTGAAAAACTGAACATCCCCAGATAAAAACTAGAAAGAACCTCTCTGTGAAACCTTTTGCAATGGGTGCATTCATCTCACAGAAATAAAGCTTTCCCTTGATGCAGCAGGTTGGAAGCACACTATTTAAAGAAATTTTGAAGGGACATTTCAAAGCCCAGTGTGGCCTATAATGAAAACTCTAGTGTCCATGAATAAAAAATGGAAAGAAACAATCTGTGAAACAACTTTGTGATAGGTGGATTAATCTCACAGAGTTAAACCTTTCTTGTGATTCAGCAGGTTGGAAACATTCTTTTTGTAGACTCTGTGAAGGGACATTAAAAGTCCATTGATGCCTATACTAAAAAACTGAATATTCCTACATAAAAACGAGAAAAACCTATCTATCTGTGAAAGCACTTTGTGATGTGTCAATTCATCTCAGAGAGTTAAACCTTTCTTTTGATTCAACAGTTTTCCATACTTTTTTTTGTGGAAACTGGGAAGAGATATTGAGGAGACCATTGAGTTATATAGTGATAAACCAAATATCCACTGATAAAAACTAGAAAGAAGCTGTATGTGAAATTGTTCAGTGATATGTGGATTCATATCAGAGAGTTAAACTTTCTTTTGATTCAGCAGACTGGAAACTCTGTATTTGTAAAAATTGCAAAGGGACATGTGGGAGCCAATTGGGGCCTAGAGAGAAAAACAGAATATTCATGGATAAAAACTAGAAGAAAGCTAGCTGTAAAATGGCTTTCTGATGTGTGGATTCATCTCACAGAAATTAAACTTTTTTTTTGATTCAGCAGGTTGGAAACACTCTTTTTGAAGAAACTGCAAATGGACATTTTGGAGCCCCTTGAGCTCTATAATAAAAAAGTGAATATCCCCAGATAAAAACTAGAAAGAAGCTATTTGTGAAACTGCTTCATGATGTGTTTATTCATCTCAGAGATTTAAACTTTCTTTTGATTCAGCAGGTTGCAAACACTCTTTTTTGTGGAATCTGTGAAGGGACATTTTGGAGTCCATTGATGTCAAGAGTGAAAAACTGAATATCCATGGATGAAAACAAGAGAGACGCTGTCTGTGAAGCCATTTTGCAATGTGTGGATTCATCTCACAGAGTGAAACCTTTCTTTTGATTCAGCACGTGGAATCACTCTTTTTGTAGAAACTTGAAGGAGTATTTGAGAGTCCATTGAGGCCTATGGTGAAAAACCGTATATCCCTCAATAAAAACGGGAAAGAAGTGATCTGTGAAACTGCTTTGCAATGTGTGGATTCATCTCACAGGGTTAAACCTTTCTTTTGATTCAGCAAATTGGAAACACTCCTCTTTTAGAATTTGTGAAGGGACATTTGAGAGCCCATTGAGGCCTATAGTGAAAAACCAAATATTCCCCAATAAAAACTAGGAAGAAGCTACCTGTGAAACCACTTTGCAATGTGTGGATTCATCTCACAGAGTAAAAACTTTCTTTTGATTCAACAAGTTTGAAACCCTCTTTTTGAAGAAGCTATTAAGGGATATTTGGAACCCTGGAGGCCTATACTGAGGAACTGAATATCACCATATAGAAGCTAAAAAGAAGCTATCTGTGGAAACGCTTTCCTAAGTGTGGATTCATCTCACAGAGTTAAATTTCTCTTTTGGTTCAGCAGGTGGGAAACACTGTTTTTGTAGAAACTGCGAAGGGACATTTGGGAGCCCATTAAGCCTGTAGTGAAAAACTGAATAGCCCTTGATAAAAACTAGAAAGAAGCTATCTGTGAAACTGCTTTTTGATGTGTGGATTCATCTCACAGAGTTAAACTTTTTTTTTGATTCAGCAGGTTGAAAAGACTCTTTTTATAGAAACTGCAAAGGCACAATTGGGATCTCATTGAGGTCTACAGTGAAGAACAAAATATCTGCAGATAAAAACTAGAAAAAAACTGTCTGTATAACTGCTTTGTGATGTGTGGATTCATCTCACAGAATTCTTTCTTTTGATTCAGAAGGTTGGAAACAGGCTTTAGTAGAATCTATGAAGGGACATTTGGCAGCTCATTGAGGTGTATAGTGAAAAATTGAATATCCCAAAATGAAAACTCAAAAGAAGCTATTTTTGAAACGTCTTTTTGATGTAAGAATTCATCTCACAGAGTAAAACCTTTGTTTTGATTTAGCAGGATGGGAACACTATTTTGTAGAATCTGTGAAGGGACATTTGGGAGACCATTGAGGCCTATACTGAAAAACTGAATATCCACATGTAAAAACTACAAAGAAGCTATCTGTGAAGCCGCTTTGTGATGTGTGGATTTAACTCACAGAGTTAAACCTTGCTTTTGACTCAGCAGGTTGGAAACTTTCTTTTTGTAGAAACTATGAAGGGACATTTCAGGCCCATTGAGGCCTATAGAGAAAAATCAAATATTTCCTGATACAAACTGGAAGCAATCTATCTATGAAATTGCTTTGTCATGTGTGGATTTGTCTCACAGCATTAAACCTTTTATTTTGATTCAGCAGGTTGGAAGCACTCTTTTTGTACAATCTGCAAAGGGAATTTTGGAGCTCACTGAGGGTTTTAGTGAAAAACAGCATATCAGTGAATAAAAACCAGAAAGAATCTATCTCTGAAACTGTTTTGCAAAGTGTGGATTCATCTCACATAGTTAAATCATTCTTTTGATACAGCAGGTTGGAAACACTCTTTTTGGAGAATCTGCGAAGGAACATTTGGGAGCCCCTTTAGGTCCATAATAAAATACCTAATATCCCCCAATAAAAACTGGAAAAAAGCCATCTGTGAATCTGCTCTGTGACTTGTGCAATCATCTCTGAGAGTTAAACCTTTCCTTTGATTCAGCATGTTGAAAACACTATTTTGTAAATCCTGTGAAGGGGCATTTGGGAGCAAATTGAGTCCTATAGTGAAAAAAGACATATCCTTGGATAAAAACTAGAAGAACCTATCTGAGAAACCGCCTTGTGAAGTGTGGATTCATTGCACAGGGTTAAACCTTTCTTTTGATTCAGAAGGAAGAAACTGTGAAGGGGCATTTTGGAGAACATTCAGACTTATACTGAAAAACTAATTATTCACAGATAAAAACCAGAAACAAGCTGTCTGTGAAACTACTTTCTGATGTATGGATGCTTCTCAGAGACTTAAACCTTTCTTTTAATTCAGCAAGATGGAAACATTCTTTTTATAGAATCTGATAAGAGACATTTGGGAGCCCATTGAGGCCTAGAATGAATAACTGAATATCTGCAGAAAAAAATAGAAGGAAGCTAACAGTGAAACCACTTTGTGATGTGTGGATTCATCTCATGGAGTTAAAACTTTCTTTTGATTCAGCAGGTTGGAAACACTCCTTTTGTAGAAACTGCAAAGGGACTTTTGGGAGCCCACTGAGGCCTATAGTGACAAACTGATTATCCCCCAGTAAATACTGGAAAGAAGCTATCTGTGAAACTACTTTGTGATGTGTTGATTTATTTCAGAGAGGTAAACCTTTCTTTTGAATCCTCAGGTTGGAAATGCCCTTTTTTGTAGAATCTGGGAATGGACATTTTTTACCCATTAAGCCTGTAATGAAAAATCAAATATCCACAGATAAAAGCTAGGATAAATCTATCAGTGAAATTGCTTTGCAATGTGTGGATTCTTCCCACAGAGTTAAAACTTTCTTTTGATTCAATAAGGTAGGAAACACTCTTTTTGTTGAAGCTGCTAAGGAACAAATAGAAGCCCATTGAGGGCTTTACAGGAAAACAGAATATTACCATATAAAAACTAGAAAGAAGCTATCTGTGAAACCACTTTGTGACATGTGGATTAATCTCACAGAGTTAAACCTTTCTATTGATTCAGCAGGATGAAAATACTCTTTTTGTAGAATTTGCAAAGGGAAATCTGGGAGCCCATTGAGGCCTATAGTGAAAAAGAAAATATCCACAAAAAAAAAACTAGAAAGAAGCTATCTGTAAAACCACTTTGCAATATGTGGACTCATCTCCCAGAGTTAAGTCTTTCTTTTGACTCAGCAGTTCAGAAACACTTTTTTTGTAGAAACCATGAAAGGACATTTGGAAGCCCATTGAGGCATAGAGAGAAAAACTGAATATCTGTGAATGAAAACTAGAAAGAAGCTACCTGTGAAACCACTTTGTGATACGTGGACTCATCTCCGAGAATTAAGTCTTTATTTTGATTCAGCAGTTCAGAAACTTTTTTTTTTTTGTAGAAACCATGAAGGAACATTTGGGAGCCCATTGAAGCATAGAGAGAAAAATCAAATATCTGCACATAAAATCTAAAAAGAAGCCATCTGTGAAACCATATTATGATGTGTGGATATTTCTACAGAGTTAAACCTTTCTTTTGATTCAGCAAGTTGGGAACACTTTCCTATAGAATTTGTGAAGGGACATTTGTGAGCCCCTTGAGGCCTAAAGTGAAAAACTGAATATCCGCAGATAAAAACTAGAAAGAAGACACCTGTAAAATTGCTTTGTGATGTGTGGGTTTATCTCTCAGAGTTCAACCTTTCTTTTGATTCAGGAGGTTGGAAACACTCTTTTTGTAGAATCTGTGGAGGGATATTTGGGAGCTTTTTGATGCTTATGGTTGAAAAACCCAATATCAACAGACAAAGTCTCGAATGAAGCTATATGTGAAACTGCTTTGTGATGCCTATATTCATCTAACAGAGTTAAGCCTTGTTTCAGCAGATTCAGAACATTCTTTTTGTAGAATCAGTGAAGAGACATTTGGGAGCATATTGAGGTCTATTGTGAAAAACTGAATATCCCCAGATAAACACTGGAAAGAACTATCTGTGAAACTCCTTTGTGATCCATCTCACAGAGTTAAACCTTTCTTTTAATTCATCAGGTTGGAAACACTTCTCTTTTGTAGAATATGTGAGGGGACATTTGGAAGCCCACTGAGGCCTACGGTGAAAAACTGAATATTTCCAGGGAAAAACTAGACAGAATCTACGTGTGAAACTGCTTTGTGATGTGTGGATTCATCTTACAGAGTTAATTTTTACTTGTGATTCAGAAGGTTGGAAACACTCTTCTTGTAGAATCTGCAAAGGGACATTTCAGAGCCTATTGGGGCCAATGGTGAAAAATCAAATATTCCAGATAAAAATGAGAAGGTAGCTATCTGTGAAACTGTTTTGGGTTGTGTGGATTGATGTCATAGAGTTAAACCTTTCTTTTTATTCAGCAAATGGGAAAGACTCTTTTTGTAGAATTTGCAAAGGGACATTTGGGAGCCCATTGAGGCCTACATTGAAAAATGGATATCACTAGATAAAAACTGGAAAGAAGCTATCAAAGAGTCTGCTTTGTGATGTGTGGATTCATGTCACAGAGTTAAATGTTTCTTTAGATTCTGCGGGTTGGAATCATTCTTTTTGTAGAATTTGCGAAGGGTCATTTGGTAGTCCATTGGGGCCTATGGTGAAAAACTGAGTATCTCCAGATAAAAACTGGAAAAAAGCCATCTGTGAAACTGCTTTGTGATGTGTCAATTCATCTCACAGAGTAAAATTTTCTTGTAATTCGTCATGTTGGTAACGCTGTTTTTGTAGAATCTGTGATGGGACGTTTGGGAGACAATTTAAACCTACAGTGAAAAACAGAATATCCCCAGATTAAAAATAAAAAGAAGCTATCTGTGAAACTGCTTTGTGATGTGTGCATTCAGCAGGTTGGAAACTCTCCTTTTGCAGAATCTGCAAAGGGACATTTGGGAGCCCATTGAGGCCTTTGGTGAAAAACTGAATATCCATACATAAAAACTAGGAAGAAGTTTTGCGTGAAACTGCTTTGTGTTGTTTGGATTCATCTCGCAGAATTAAACGTGTCTTTTGATTCAGCAGGTTGGAAACCCTATTTTGTAGAATCTGCAAAGGGACATTAGATGGGAGCCCATTGAAGCCTAGGGTGAAAAACTGAATCTCCCCAGATAAAAACTAGAAAGAAGCTATCTGTGAAAGTGCTTTGTGATGTGTGGATTCATCTCACAGAGGTAAACCTTTCTTTTGGTTCAGCCAGTTGGAGACTCTTGTTTTGTGGAAGCTGCAAAGAAACATTTTGGAGCCCATTGAGGACTATGGTGAAAAAAACGAATATCCACAGATAAAAAGTAGAAAGAAGCTATCTGTGAAACTTGTTTATAATGTGTGGATTCCTCTCACAGAATTAACTTTTTTTTTTTATTCAATAGGTTGGAGACACTCATTTGGTAGAATCTGTGAAGGGACAATAGGGAGCCCATTGAGGCCTACAGTGAAAAACCAAATATCACTAGATGAAAATGAGAAAGAAGCTATCTGTGAAACAGCTTTGTGATGTTTGGATTCATATCACAGAGTTAAACGTTTCTTTTGATTTAGCATGATAGGAAACATTCTTTTTGCAGAATCTGTGAAGTGATATTTGGAAACATGTTCAGGCCTATGGTGAAATACCAAATATTCCCTGATAAAAACTAGAAAGAAGTTATCTGTTAAACTGCTTTGTGATGTGTGGATTCACCAAACAACAAAAAAAACTTTCTTTTGAGTCAGCAGGTTGAAAACACTCTTTCTGTAGAATCTGTGAAGGGACGTTTGGGACCCCATTGAGGCCTATAATGAAAACAAAAATATCCCCAAATAAAAACTAGAAAGAGGCTACCTGAAAAACTGCTTTGGTTTAAATGGATTCATCTCACAAAATTAAATCTTTCTTTAGATTTAGCAGTTGGAAACACTCTTTTTGTAGACTCAGCAAAAAGACATTTGGGGGCCCTTTGAGGGCTATACTTAAAAAACCAAATATCAAAAGATAAAAACTAGAATGAAGCCATCTGTGAAGTTGTTTGTGATGTGTGGATTCATCTCACAGAGTTAAACCTTTCTTTTATTTCAGGAGATTGGAAATGGTCTTTTTGTAGAATCTGCAAAGAGACATGTGGGAGCCTATTGGGGCCTATCATGAAAAATGGAATATCTTTAGATAAAAACTAGAAACAAGCTATCTGTGAAACTGCTTTGTGAAGTGTGTATTTATCTCACAGAGTTAAATTTTTTTTTATTCAGCACGTTGCAAACCCTCTTTTTGCAGAATCTGTGCAGGTACATTTGTAAGCCCATTGAGGCCTATGGTGAAAAACAAAATATTTCCTGAAAAAAAAAAAAACTAGGAAAAGGCTATCTGTGAAACTGCCTTGTGATGTGTGGATTCACCACACAGAGATAAACCTTTCCTGAAACATTCTATTTGTAGTATCTGCTAAGGGACATTTGGGAGACTACAGTAAAAAGCTGAATATCCCCAGAGAAAAACTAGGAAGAAGCTGTCTGTGAAACTACTTTGTGATGTGTGGATTCATCATACAAGTTAAAACTTTCTTTGATTCATCATGTTGGTAACACTCATCTTGTAGAATCAGTGAAGGGACATTTGGGAGCTCGTTAAGGGCTAAGGTGAAAAACAGAATATCCCCAGATAAAAACAAGAAAGAAGCTATTTGTGAAACAGCTTTGTGTTGTGTAGATTCAAGTCACAGAATTAAATCTTTCTTTTGATTCAAAAGGTTGGAAACACTCTTTTTCCAGAATCTGCAAAGGGGTATTTGGGATCCCATTGATGCCTATGGTGAAAAACCGAGTACCTTTAGATAAAAACTCGAACAAAACCTATCTGTAAAACTGCTTTATGATGTGTGGATTCAGCTCACTGAGTTAAACCATTTTTTTGATTCAGCAAATTGGAACCTATCTTTCTGTAGAACCTACAAAGGGACATTTTTGAGCCTATTGAGGCCTAAGGTGAAAAACTGAATATCCCCAGATTAAAACTAGAAATAAGCTATCTGTGAAACTGCTTTGTGATGTGTGGATTCACCTTACAGAGTTAAACCTTTCTTTTGATTCATCAGGTTGGTAACACTCTCCTTGTAGAATTTGCAAAGGGACATTTTGGAGCTCATTTAGGCCTAAGGTGAAAAATCGAATATTTCCAAATAAAAACTAGAAAAAAGCTATCTGTGAAACTGCTTTGTGCTGTGTGCATTCATCTGACAGAGTTAAAGCTTTCTTTTGATTCGGCAGGTTGGAAAAAGTCTTTTTGTAGATTCTGTGAAGGGACTTTGGGGTCCCATTGAAGCCTACATTGAGAAACAGATAATCCCCAGATACAAAGTAAAAAGAAGCTATCTGTGAAATTTCTTTGTGATGTATGGATTTATCTCACAGAGTTAAAACAATCTTTTGATTCAGCAGGTTGGAAACACTTTTTTTGTAGAGCCTGCAAAAAAACATTTGAGAGCCCATTGAGGCCTTTGGTGAAAAACTGAATATCCCCAGATAAAAACTAGAAAAAAGTTATTTGTGAAACTGCTTTTTGATGTGTGGATTCATCTCACAGATTTAAACCATTTTTTATTTAGTAAGTTGAAAACACTCTTTTTGTAGAATCTGTGAAAAGACATTTGAGAGTCCATTGAGGCCTACAGTGAAAAACCGAATATCCTTAGAGAAAAACTAGAAAGAACCTATTTTGAAACTGCTTTATGTTGTGTGGATTCATCTCCCAGAGTTAAATTTTTCTTTTCATTCAGCAGGTTGGACATACTCTTTTTGTATAATCTATGAAGAGACATTTGGGAGCTCATTGAGGCCTATGGTGAAGAACCGAATTTCCCCAATTAAAAACTAGAAAGATTCTATTTGTGAAAATGCTTTGTGATGTGTTGATTCATCTCACAGAGTTAAATCTTTCTTTTTACTCAGCAGGTTGTAAACACTCTTTTTGCAGTATCTGTGAAGGGACACTTGAAAGCCCATTGAGGCCTCTGGTGCAAAACCAATTTCTTTGGATAAAAACTAGATAGAATTTATCAGTGAATGTGCTTTGTTATGTGTGGATTCCTCTCACAGAGTTAAACCTTTTTTTTTTTTTTAGTTCAGAACATTGAAAACATTCTTTTTGTAGAACTTGTGAAGGGACATTTGGGAGCCCATTTTGGCCTATGGGGAAAAATGGAATATCCCCAGATAAAAACTAGAAAGAAGTTATTTGTGAAACTGCTTTGTGATGTGTGGATTTATATCACAGAGTTAAACCTTTTTTTTCATTCAGCAGGTTGAAAACACTTTTTTTTTTTTTTTTAGAATCTGCAAAAGGATATTTGGGAGCCCTATGTGGTTTATGGTTAAAAAAACTAATATAAACAGATGAAAACTAGAATGGAACTACCTATGAAACTGCTTTGTGATATGTGGATTCATCTCACAAAGTTAAAACTTTTTTTTCAGAAGGTTGGAAACACTGTTTTTGTAGCATCTGTGAGGGACATTTGGGAGCCCATTGAGGGCTATTGTGAAAAACCTAATTTCCCTAGATAAAGACTAGAAACAAGCTATGTGTGAAACTGGTGTGTGATGTGTGGATTCATCTCACACAGTTAAAACTTTCTTTTGAATCAGCACTTTGGAAACACTCTGCAAGTAGAATTTGTGAAGAGACATTTGGGAGCCCATTGAGGCCTATGGTGAAAAACCGAATATTTCCAGATAAAAACTAGAAAGACACTACTTGTGAAACTGCTCTGTGAGGTGTGAGATTCATCTCACAAAGTTGAAACTTTTTTTGGATTAAACACATCGGAAACACTCTTTTTGTAGAATCTGTGAAGGAACATTTGGGAGCCAATTGGGGCCTGCGGTGAAAAGCCGAATATTCCCAGAAAAAAACTGGAAAGACGCTATCTGTGAAACTGCTTTGTGATGTGTGGATTCATCTCACACAGTTAAACTTTTCTTTTGATTCAGCCTGTTGGGAAAACTCTTTTTGTACAAGTGGCAATGGGACATTTGGGAATGTTTTGAGGCCTGTGGTAAAAAACTGAATATCCCCAGGTAAAAACTAGAAAGAAACTCTCTGTGAACTTGCTTTCTGATGTGTGGATTCATTACAGAGTTAAACATTTCTTTTGATTCAGAAGGTTGGAAACACTGTTTTTGTATACTCTGCGATGGGACATTTTGGAGCTCATTAAGGCCTATGATGAAAAACCAAATATCTCAAGATAAAAACTAGAAAAAAGTTATCTGTGAAACTGCTTTGTAATGTGTGGATTCATCTAACAGAGTTAAACCTTTCTTTTCATTCAGCAGCTTGAACGCACTCTTTTTGTAGAATCTGCAAAGGGACATTTGGGAGCCCATTGAGGCTTATGGTGAAAAACTGAATATCCCCAGGTAATAACTAGAAAAAACTTATCTGTGAAACTGCTTTGTGTGGTGTGGATTCATCTCCCATAGATAAATCTTTCTTTTGATTCAGCACATTGGAAACACTTTTTTTGTACACTCTCTGATGGGACATTTGGGAGCTCATTGAGGCCTATGGTGAAAAACTGAATCTCCCCAGGTAAAAACGAGAAAGAAGCTATTTGTGAAACTGCTTTGTGAAGTGCGGATTGATCTCACGGAGATCAACTTTTCCTTTCATTCAGCATGTTGGAAACACTTTTTTTGTAGAATCTGTGAAGGGACATTGGGACCTCTTTGAGGCCAATGGTGAAAAACTGAATATCTCCAATTAAAACCTAGACAGAATCTTTCTGTGAAACTGTGTTGTGATGTGTCAATTCATGCCACAGAGTTAAACCTTTCTTTTTATTCAGCAGGTTGTAAACACTCTTTTTGTAGAATCTGCAAAGGGACATTTAGGAGCCCATTGATGCCTATGTTGAAAAATTGAATATCCCCATGTAAAAACTAGAAATAAGCTATCAGTGAAACTGGTTTGTGATTTGTGGATTTATCTCACAGATTTAAACGTTTGTTTTTATTCCACAGGTTGGAAACACTCTTTTTGTAGAATTTGCGATGAAACACTTGAGAGCCTTTTGAGGCCTATGGTGAAAAACAGAAGAGCCCAAGATAAAAAACTAGAAGAAATGTATATGTGAAACTGCTCTGTGATACGTGGATTCACCACACGGAGTGAAACCTTTCTTTTGATGCAGTAGGTTTAACACACTCTGTTTGTACAATGTGCATAGGGACATTTAGAAGCCCATTGAAGCCTATGCTGAAAAACCAAATATTCCCAGATAAAAACTAGAAAGAAGTTATCTGTGAAACTGATTTGTGATGTGTAAATACAATGCAAAGAATTAAACCTTTCTTTTAATTCAGCATGTTGGAAACGCTCTTTTTGTAGTATCTGTGATGGGATATTTGAGAGCCCATTGGGGCCTATATTGAAAAATCGTATATAAACCTTTCTTTTGATTCAGCAGGTTGGAAACACTCTTTTTGTAGGATCTGTGAGGGGACATTTGGGAACCCTTGGAGGTATATGGTGAAAAAATGAATGTCCCCAGATAGAAACGAAAATGAAACTAACTGTGAAAATGCCTGTGACCTGTGGATTCATCTCACAGAGTTGAAACTTTCTTTTGATTCAACAGGTTGAAAACACTGTATTTGTAGAATCTGCAAAGGGACATTTGGGAGCCCATTGATGCCTATGGTGAAAAACTGATACTCCCAGATAAAAACTGGGAAGAATGTATCTGTGAAACTGCTTTGTGATGTGTGGATTCACCTTACAAAGTTAAAACTTTCTTTTGATTCATAAGGTTGGTAACACTCTCCTTGTAGACTCTGTGAATGGACATTTGAGAGCTTATTGAGAACTAAGGTGAAAAACTGAAAATCCCCAGATAAAAACTAGAAAGAAGCTACCTGTGAAAGTGCTTTGTGATGGGTGGAATCATCTCGCAGAGTTAAACCTCTCTTTTGATACAGCAGAGTTGGAAACACTCCTTCTGTAGGATCTGCAAAGGGAAATTTCAGATCCCACTGAGAACTATGGTGAAAAAATGAACATCTCCACTAAAAAACCGGAAAGAAGCTATGTGTGAAATGGCTTTGTGATGTGCCAATTTATCTCACAGAGTTAAACCTTTCTTTAAATGCAGCAGGTTGGAAACACTTTTTTTGTAGAATCTGTGAAGGGACAATTGTGAGTCCATTGGGGCCTATGGAGAAAAACTGAATATCCCCAGATGAAAACTAGAAAGAAGCTATCTGTGAAACTGCTTTGTGATGTGTGAAATCACTTCACAGAATTAAACCTTTCTTTTCATTCAACAGATTGGAAACACTCTTTTTGTAGAATCTGCAAAGGGATATTTGAGAGCCTATAGTGGCCTAAAATAAAAAATTGATTATCTAAAGTTAAAAACTAGAAAGAAACTATCTGTGAAACTGCTTTGTGATGTGTGAATTCATCTTACAGATTTAAAACTTTGTTATGATTCAGAAGGTTGGAAACACTCTTATTGTAGAATCTGCTAAGGGGCATTTGGAAGACCACTGAAGCCTAGGATGTAAAACAGAATATCCCCAGATAAAAACTAGAAAGAAGATATGTGTGAAACTGCTTTGTGATGTGTGGATTCACCTCACAGAGTTAAAAGTTTCTTTTAATTCAGCAGGTTGGAAACACTATTTTTGTAGAATCTGCGAAGGGACATTTGCGAGTCCATTGAGGCCTATGGTGAAAAACCAAATATCCCCAGATAAATACTAGAAAGAAGCTATCTGTGATGGGTGGATTCATCTCACAGTGTTAAACCTTTCTTTTGATTCAGCAGGTTGGAAACGCTCTTTTTGTAGAATCTGCCAAGGAACGTCTGGGGGCCCATTGAAGCCTATGATGAAAAACCACATATCTCTAGGTAAAAACTAGAAAGAAACTATCTGGGAAACTGCTTTGTGATGTGTGGATTCATCTCACAGCGTTAAATCTGTCTTTTGGTTCAGCAGGATGAATACATTCTTTTGTAGCCTCTTCAAAAACACATTTTGGAGCACATTGAGGCCCTTGGTGAAAACTGAACATCACTTGGTAAAAACTAGAAAGAAGATATCTGGGAAACTGCTTTGTGATGTGTGGATTCATCTAAGAGATTTAAACCTTTCTTTTTATCCAGCAGTGTTTTATCAACACTCTTTTTGTTGAATCTGCAAAGAGACATATGGGAACCCATTGAGGCATAGGATAAGAAACAGAATATCCCCAGATAAAAATGGAAAGAAGCTATATGTGAAGCTGCTCTGTGATGTGTGAACTCATCTTACATAGTTAAAACTTTCTGTTGACTCATCTAGCTGGAAACTCTCTTTTTGTAGAATCTGCAAAGAAACATTTGGGAGCCCATTGAGGTGTAAGATAAGAAACAGAATATTCCCACATAAAAACTAGAAAGAAGCTATATGTGAAGCTTCTCTATGATGCGTTAATTCATCTTACAGAGTTAAAACTTTCTTTTGATTCATCTAGCTGGAAACTCTCTTTGTGTAGGTTCTGCAAAGACACGCTTGGGAGCCCATTAAGTCTTATGTTGAAAAACAGAATATCCCCAAATAAAAACTAGAAAAAAGTTTGATGTGAAACTGCTTTGTGATGTGTTGATTCATCTCACAGAGATAAATCTTTCTTTTGATTCAACAGGTTGCAAACACTCTTTTTGTAATATCTGTGAAGACACATTTGGGAGCCCATTGAGCCCTATAGTGAAAAACTGAGCATCCCTAGATAAAAACTATAAAGAAGCTGTCTGTTCAACCAGTTTGTGATATATGGATTCATCTCACAGATTTAAACATTTGTTTTGATTCAGCAAGTTGAAATCCCTCTTTTTGTAGAATCTGCAAAGGGGAAACTGGAGGCCATTGAGGATTCTGCTGAAAAACAGAATACCCCAGTTTAAAAATAGAAATTATCAACCTGTGAAACGTCTTTGTGATGTGTGGATTCATTTCATAAATTAAACCTTTCTTTTGATTCAGAAGGTTGGAAACACTCTTTCTGTAGAAACTGCAAATTGACATTTGGGAGCCCATTGGGGCCTGTAGTGAAAAACTGAATATCCCCAGATAACAGCTAGAAAGAAGCTATCTATTGCTTTGTGATTTGTGGATTCATCTCACAGAGTTAAACCAGTCTTTATATTCAGTAAGTAGGAACACTGTTTTTGTAGAATCTGTGAAGGGACATTGGGGATCCCATTGAGGTCTATAATAAAAAACCCAATATCCCCAGATAAAAACTAGAAAGAAATTATCTGTGAAACTGCTTGGTGATGTGTGGATTCATCTCACAGTGATGCACCTTTATTTTGATTCAACAGGTTGGAAACACTCTTTTTGTAGTAACTGTGAAGGGACATTTGGGAGCTTATTTTCTTATGCTGAAAAACTGAATATTCTCAGATAAAAACTGCAGAGAAGCAATCTGTGAAACTGGTTTGTGATGTGTGGATTCATCTCATATAGTCAAATCTTACTTTTGATCACCAGGCTGGAAACACATTTTTTTTTGTAGAATCTATGAAGGGACATTTGAGATCTTATTGAGGCCTTTGGGGAAAAACTGAATAATCCCAGACAAAATCTAGAAAGAAGCTCTCTGTGAAACTGCTTCATGATGTGTGGAGTCATCTCACAGAGTTAAACCTTTCTTTTGATTCAATAAGTTGGAAACACTCTTTTTGTGGAATTTGTGAAGAGACATTTGGGAGCCCATTGAACCCTACTGGGAAAAACCAAATATCCCCAGATAAAAACTAGAAAGACATTATCTGTGAAACTGCTTTTTATGTTTGGATTCATCTCACACAGTTAATAATTTTTTTTTTGATTCAGCATTTTGGAAACACTTGTTTGCAGAACCTGCAAAGGGACATTTGGGAGCACATTGAGGCCTGTGGTGAAAAACTGAATATCTTTAGATAAAAAAGAAGCTAGTTTTGAAACTGCTTTGTTAGGTGTGGATTAATCTCACAAAGTTAAATCTTTCTTTTGATTTAACAAGTTGGAAAAACTCTTTTTGTAGAATCAGTGAAGGGACATTTGAGAGCCATTTGAGGCCTATGGTGAAAAACCGAATATCCCCAGAGAAAAACTAGAAAGAAGATATCTGTGAAACTGCTTTGTGGTATTCTCACAGTGTTTTCCCTTTCTTTTGATTCAGCAGGTTGGAAACGTTCTTTTTGTAGAATCTGCAAAGGGACATTGGGAAGCCCATTGAGGTCTACAGTGAAAAATTGAGTATCTTCAGATAAAAACTAGAAAGAAGCTACTTGTGAAACTTATTTGTGATGTGTGGATTCTTCTCCCAGTGTTAAACTTTTCTTTTGATTCAAGAGGTTGAAGACACTTTTTACAGAATCTGCAAATGGACATTTAAGAACCCATTGAGGCCAATGTTGAAAAACATAATATCCCCAGATAACAACTGGAAAAAAGCTATTCGTGAAACTCCTTTGTGATCGGTGGATTCATCTCACAGAGTTAAACCTTTCTTTTGATTCAGCAGGTTGGAAACACTCTTTTGCAGAATTGGCAAAAAGACAATTGGGAGCGCATTGAGGCCTATGGCAAAAAACCAAATATCCTCAGATTAAAACTACAAAGACCTTATCTGTGAAACTCCTTTGTGATACGTGGATTCTTCTCCCAGAGTTCAACCTTTCTGTGGATTCAGCAGGTTGGAAACACTCTTTTTGTAGAATCTGCAAAGGGATATTTGGAGCTTATTGAGGCCTATGGTGAAAAACTGAATAACCCCAAATAAAATCTAGAAAGTAGCTCTCTGTGAAACTGCTTTGTGCTGAGTGGATTCGTCTTACAGAATTAAACCTTTCTTTTGATTCAGCAAGTTGGAAACACTCTTTTTGTGGAATCTGCAAAAAGACATTTGGGAACCCATTGTATGCTGTGGTGAAAAATCGAATATCCCCATATAAAAGCTAAAAAGAAGGTATCAGTTAAACTGCTTTTTGATGTTTGGATTCATCTCACTCAGTCAAATCTTTCTTTTGATTCAGCAAATTGGAAACACTCTTTGTAGAACCTGAAAAGGGACATTTGGGAGCCCATGGAGGCCTTTGGTGAAAAACCAAAAATCCCTAGATAAAAACTAGAAAGAAGCTATCTTTGAAACTGCTTTGCTATGTGTGGATTCATCTCACAAAGCTAAACCTTTCTTTTGATTCAACAAG
Source organism: Homo sapiens (assembly GCF_000001405.40). Lineage (NCBI taxonomy): Eukaryota > Metazoa > Chordata > Mammalia > Primates > Hominidae > Homo > Homo sapiens. Next base: position 43,596,318 of record NC_000008.11, read on the forward strand.
TCAGAAAAACTCTTTTTGTAGAATCAGTGAAGGGATATTTTAGAGCCCTTTGAGTTCTATTGAAAAACAGAATATGCCCAGAGAAAAACTAAAAAGAAGCTATCTGTGAAACTGCTTTGTGATATGTGGATTCATCTCATAGAGTTTAACATCTCTTTTGATTCAGCAGGTTGGAAATACATTTTTGCAGAAAATGTGAAGGGAGATTTGGATCCCATTGAGGGCTATGTGGAAAAGCCAAATATCCTCAGTTAAAAGCTTGAAATTAGCAATCTGTGGAAAGTCTTTGTGATGTGTGGTTTCATCTCAGAAAGTTAAAACTTTCTTTAGATTCAGCAGATTGGAAACGTGCTTTCTGTACTATCTGTGAAGGGAGGCTTGGGAGCACATTGTAGCTTATAGTGAAAAATCAAGTAATCCCTGATACAAACCAGAAAGCAGCTATCTGTGAAACTGCTTTGTGATGTGTAGATTCATCACAAAAAGTGAAATATTTCTATTGATTCTGCAGGTTGAAAACACACTTTCTGGAGAATCTTTGAAGGGACATTTCAAAGACCTCTGAGATCTGTGGTGCAAAACTGAATATCCCCAGATAAAAACCAGAAGGAAGCTATCTGTGAAACTGATTTGTGATGTGTGGATTCATCTGACAAAGTTAAACCTTAATTTAGATTCAGTAGGTTGGAGACACTATTTTTGTAGAAACTGCGAAGGGACACTTTGGAGCCCATTGAGGCCTATGGTGAAAAACCAAATATCCCTAGATAAAAACTGGAAAGAAGCTATCTGTGAAACTGCTTTGTGATGTGTGGATTTATCTCACAGAGTTAAACCTTTGTTTTGATTCATCAAGTTGACAACACTCTTTTTGTAGACTCTGCAGAGGAACATTCGGGATCCCATTGAAGCCTGTGGTGAAAAACCAAATATCCCCAGAGAAAAAAAAATAGAAAGAAACTATCTGTGAAAGTGCTTTGTGGTGTGTATATTCATCTCAGAGAGTTAAAACATTCTTTTGATTAAGCAAGTTGGATAAACACTTTTTGTAGAATCTTCAAGGGACATTTTAGAGTCCATTGAGGCCTATGGTAAAAATCCGAATATCTCCATATGAAAACCAAAAAGAAGCTATATGTGATACTGCTTTGTGATGTGTGAATTCATCTCACAGAGTTAAAACTTTCTTTTGATTCAACAGGTTGGAAACACTCTTTTTCTGGAATCTGCAAAGGAGAATTTGGCAGCCCATTGATGCCTACAGTGAAAAACCAAATCTCCCAAGACAAAAACTAGAAAGAAGATATCTGGGAACTGGTTTGTGATGTGTGGATCTATCTGACAGAGTTAAAGGTTTCTTTTGATTCAGCATGTGGGAAACCTCTTTTGTAGAATCTGCAAAGGGAAATTTGTGAGCCCATTGAGGCCTATCATGAAAACCCAAATATTCCCAGATAAAAATGCAAAAGAAGCTATGTGTGAGTCTGCCTTATGATGTGTGGATTCCTCTCACAGAGTTAAATCTTTTTTTGATTCAGCAGGTTGGAAAAACTATTTCTGTAGAATCTGTGGAGAAACATTTGGGAATCCATTCCGGCCTATGGTGGAAAATGCAATAACCTCTCATAAACACTAGAAAGAAGCTATCTGTGAAACTGCTTTGTGATGCTTAGATTCATCTCACAAAGGTAAAACTTTCTTTTGATTCAGCATTTCTGAAACACTCTTTTTTTATCATCTGCAAAGGGACATTTGGGAGACCATTGAGGCCTATGGTGAAAAACAGAATATCCCCTGATAAAAACTAGAAAGAATCTAGCCGTGAAACTGCTTTGTGACGTTATCAACTTATCTTGCAGAGTTAAATGTTCCTTTTGATTCAGCACGTTAAAAATACTCTTTTTGTAAAATCTGTGAAGGCACATTTGGAAGCCCATTGAGGCCTATGTTGAAAAACAGAATATCCTTTGATACAGACTAGAAAGAAGCTATCTGTGAAATTGCTTTGTGATTTGTGGATTCACCACACAGAGTTAAACCTTTCCTTTGATTCCACAAATAGGAAATACTCTTTTGTAGAATCTGTGAAGGAATATTTAAGAGCCTTTGGAGGACTATGGTAAAAAACTGAACATCACTGCATAAAATCTTAAAAAATGTTAACAGTGAAAATGCTTTGTGATGTGTGGATTCATCTCACAAAGTTAAAATTTTCTTTTGATTCAACAGGTTGGAAATGCTCTATTTGTAGAATCTGTGAAGAGATATTTGGGATCCCATTGAGACCTATGGTGAAAAATTGAATATCCCCAGAAAAAAAAATTAGAAAAAAGCAATCTGTACAAGTGCTTTGTGCTGTGTATATTCAACTCAGAGAGTTAAAACTTTCTTTTGATTAAGCAGGTTGGAAAAACTCTTTTTGTAAAATCTGTGAGGGATATTTGGGAGTAAATTTAGTCCTAAGGTAAAAATCCTAATATCCCCATAAAAAAACTTTTTTTGTGATACTGCTTTGTGATGTGTGGATTTATCTCAGAGTTAAAACTTTCTTTTGATTCAACAGGTTCGAAACACTCTTTTTCTAGAATCTTCAAAGGAACATTTGAAAGCACATTGATGCCTATGGTGAAAAACTGAATATACCCAGAGAAAAACTAGAAAGAAGCTCTCTGGGAACTGCTTTGTGATGTGTGGATTCATCTCACAGAGTTAAATGTTTCTTTTGATTCAGCATTTTGGAAACAGTTTTTTGTAGAATTTGCAAAGGGACATTTGGGAGCCCATTGAGACCAATGGTGAAAAAGCAAATATCCCCAGAAAAAAAAGTAGAAAGAATTTATCTATGAAACTGCTTTGTGATGTATTGATTCATCTGGCAGAATTAAACCTTTCTTTTGATTCAGCAGGTTGTAAACATTCCTTTTGTAGAATCTGCAAAGGAACATTTGGGAGTCTATTGTGGCTTATGGCAAAAAACTGAATATTCCAAGATAAAAATGCAAAAGAAGCTATGTGTGAGTCTGCCTTATGATGTGTGGATTCCTCTCACAGAGTCAAACCTTTTTTTGATTCAGCAGGTTGGAAACACTCTTTCTATAGAATCTGCTAAGAGACATTTCAGAGTCCATTGAGGCCCATGGTGAAAAACTAAATAAACCCTGATAAACGCTAGAAAGAAGCTATCTGTGAAACTGCTTTGCGATGTTTGGATTCATCTCACAAAGGTAAACCTTTCTTTTTATCCAGCAGGTTTGAATCACTCATTTTTTTTTTTTAGAATCTACAAAGGTAAATTTTTAGACCACTGTGGCTTGTGCTGAAAAACAGAATATCCCCCAATAAAAACGAGAAAGAAGATATTTGTGAAACTGCTTTGTGAAGTGTGATTTATCTCAGTGAGATAACTTTTCTATTGATTCAGCAGGTTGGAAACACTCTTTTTGTAAAATCTGTGAAGGAACATTTAAAGGCCACTGAAGCCAATGGTGAAAAACCAAGTGTCCTCAGATAAAAGCTAAAAAGAGAGGTTACCATAAAACTGCTTTAGTTTGAATGGATTCTTCTAAAAGAGATAAACATTTCTTTGCATTTAGCAGGTTGGAAACACTCTTGTAAAATCTGTGAATGGACATATGGGAGCCCTTTGAGGTCTATTGTTGAAAAACTGAATTATCAACAGATAAAAAATAGAAAGTATCTATCTGTGAAACTGTTTTGTGAAAGAGGATTTGTCTTACAAAGTTAAACATTTCTTTTGATTCAGCATGTTGATAGCACTTTTTATAGAATCTGTGAAGGCACATTTGGAAGTCCATTGAGGCCTAAGGTGAAAAAGTAAATACCCTTTGATTAAAAACTAGAAAGAAGCTATGTGTGAAACTGCTTTGTGATGTGTGGATTCATCACACAGAGAAAAGACTTTCCTTTGATTCAGCAGATTGGAAACACTCTTTTCATAGAATCTGCAAAGGGATATTTAAGAGCCCTTGGAGGACTGTGGTAAAAAACTGAACATCCCCAGATAAAATTTAAAAAGAAGCCAACAGTGAAAATGCTTTGTGATGTGTGGATTCATCTCACAGAGTTAAATCTTTCTTTTGACTCAACTGGTTGGAAACACTCCATTTGTATAATCTGAGAAGGGACATTTGTAATCCCATTGAGGCCAATGGTGAAAAACTGAATATCTTCAAATAAAACCTGGAAGAAGCTCTCTGTGAAACTGCTTTGTGATGTGTGGATTCATCTTACAAATTAACCCTTTTTTTGATTCATCAGGTTGGTAACCTTCTCCTTGTAGAATCTGCAAAGGGATATTTGGGAGCTCTTTGAGGCCTAAGGTGAAAAACAAAATATCCCCAATTAAAAACTATAAAGAATCTATCTGTAAGACTGCTTTGTGATGTGTTCATTCATCTCACAAAGTTAAACCTTTCTTTTTATTCAGCAGGTTGTACACTCTTTTTGTAGAATCTGCGAAGGGACATTTGGGAGCCCATTGAGGCCTATGATGAAAAACTGAATACCCACAGATAAAAATTATAAAGAAGTTATGTGTGAATCTGCTTTGTGATGTGTGGATCCCTTTAACATATTTAAACCTTTTTTTTTTATTCAGCAGGTTGGAAACACTCATTTTGTAGAATATGCAAAGGGACACTTGGGAGCTCATTGAGGCCTATGGTGCAAAACTGATGTCTTCAGATAAAAACCAGATAAAAGCTATGAGTGAATCTGCTTTGTTATGTGTGGATTTCTCTCACAGAGTTTAACCTTTCTTTTATTTCAGCAAATTGGAAACATTCTTTTTGTAGAATCTGTGAAGGGACATTTGGAAGCCCACTGAGGCCTACAGTGAAAGATGGAATATCTCCAGGTAAAAACTAGAAAGAAATTATTTGTGAAACTGCTTTGTGATGTGTGTATTTATCTCAAAGAGTTAAACCTTTCTTTTCATTCAGTAGATTGAAAACAGTCTTCTTGTACAATCTGCAAAGGGACATTTGGGAGCCCTTTGAGGCTTATGTTTAAAAAACTGAATAACAACAAATGAAAACTAGAATGAAGTTATCTGTGAAATGCTTTGTGAAGTGTGGATTCATCTCACAGAATTAATTAACCTTTCTTTTGTTTCAGCAGGTTGGAAACATTGTTTTTGTAGTATCTGCGAGGGACTCTTGGGAGCCTATTGAAGGCTATCATGAAAAACCTAATATCCATAGATAAAAACTAGAAACAAGCCATCTTGAAACTGCTTTGTGATGTGTGGATTCATCTCCCACAGTTAAAACTTTTTTTGATTCAGCAAGTTGGAAACACTTTTTCTAGAATCTGTGAAGGGACATTTGGGAGCCTCTGGAGACTTATTTTGAAAGAGGGAATAATCCCAGATAAAAACTAGAAAGAATCTATTTATAAAACTGCTTTGTGATGTGTGGATTCATCTCACAGAGTTAAGACTTTCTTTTGATTCAGCAGGTGGGAAACACTCTGAATGTGGAATTTGCAAAGGGACTTTTGGGAGTCCATTGAAGCCTGTGGTAAAAAAAAAAAAAAAAAAAAAGAATATCCTAAGATAAAAACTAGCAAGAAGTTATCTGTGAAACTGGTTTGTGATGTGTGGATTCATCTCACAGAGTTAAACCTTCCTATTGATTTAGCAGTTTGGAAAAACTCTTTTTGTAGACTCTGCAAAGAAACATTTGGGAGCCCTCTGAGTCTGAAAATGAAAAACCTACTATCTCCAGATAAAAACTAGAAAGAAGCTATCTGTGAAACTTCTTTGTGATGGGTAGATTATCTCACAAATTTAAACCTTTCTTTTGATTCAGCGGATTGGAAACACTATTTTGGAGAATCTATGAAAAGACATTTGGGAGGCCATGGAGGCCTATAATGAAAAACTGAACATCGCCAGATAAAAACTGGAAAGAAGCTATCTGTGAAACTGCTTTGTGGTGTCTGGGATCATCTCACAGAGATAAAACTTTCTTTTGACTCAGCAGGTTGGAAGCACTCTTTTTGTAGAATCTGTGAAGGGACGTTGGAAACCTCATGGAGACCTATGGTGAATAACAGAATAGCCCCCCAAAAATACTAGAAAGAAGCTATCTGTGAAACTGTTTTATGATGTGTGGGTTCATCTCACAGGAGTTAAACCTTTCTTTTGATTTAGCAGGCTGAAAACACTCTTTTTGTAACCTCTGTGAAGGGACATTTGGGAGTCCATTGAGACCTATGGTGAAAAACCACCTATCCCCAGATAAAAACTAGAAAGAAGCTAGGTGTGAAACTGCCTTGTGATGTGTGGACTCATCTCACAGAGTTAAACATTTCTTTTGATTCAGCAGGTTGGAAACACTCTTTTTGTAGAATCAGTGAAGGGACACTCAAAAGCCCATTGAGGCCTATCATGAAAAACCAATATCCCAAGATGAAAAATAGAAAGAAGCTATCCATGATTCTGCTTTGTGATGTGTGGATTCCTCTCACAGAGTTAAATCTTTATTTTGATTCAGCAGGTTGGAAATATTCCTTTTTTCTTGATGGAGTCTCATTCTGCCACCGAGGCTGGAGTGCACTGGCATGATCTCGGCTCACTGCAAGCTCTGCCTCCCAGATTCATGCCATTCTCCTGCCTCAGCCTCCCAAACATCTGTGACTACAGGCACCCGCCACTAAACCCAGCTAATTTTTTTTTGGTGTTTTTGTAGAGATGCGGTTTCACCATGATAGCCAGGATGGTCTCCATCATCTCCTGAATTTGTGATCTGCCCACCTCAGCCTCCCAAAGTGCTGGGATCGCAGACATGAGCCACTGCAACTGACAGAAATATTCTTTCTGTAGAATCTGTGAAGGTATATTTGAAACCCTGTTGAGGCCTATGGTGAAAAACTGAATATCCCCAGATAAAAACTGGAAAGAAGCTATAGGTGAAATTGATTTATGATGTGTCAATTCATCTCACAGAGTAAAAGCTTTCTTTTGATTCAGCACTTTGGGAACACTCTTTTTGTAGAATCTGCAAAGGGACATTTTTGAGCCCATTGAGGCCATGGTGATAAACTGAACATCTTCAGATAGAACTAGAAAGAAGTTATCTGTGAAATTGCTTTGTGATGTTTGGATTCATCTCAAACAGATAAATACTTCCTTAGATTCAGGAGGTTGGAAACACTTTTTTTGTAGAATCTGCGAGTGGACATTTGGAAGAGCATTGAGGCCTATGGTGAAAAACCCGATATCCCCAGATGGAAACTAGAAAGGAGGTATCTGTGAAGCTGCTTTGTGATGTGTGGATTCATCTAACAAAGTTCAACCTTTCTTTTGTTTCAGCAGGTGCAAAACACTCTTTTTTTTAGAAACTACAATGCAACATTTGAGAGTGTTAGGGGACTCTAGTGAAAAATGAAATATCTTTAGATAAAAGCTAGAAACAAACTATCTGTGAAATGGCTTTGTGATATCTAGATTCATTTCACAGAGGTAAATTTTTCTTTTGATTCAGCAGGTTGGAAACACTCTGTATGTGGAATTTTCAAAGGAATATTTGAGAGACCATTGAAGCCTATGGTGAAAAACCAAATAGCTCCAGATGAAAACTAAAAAGACACTATTTGTGAATCTGCTTTGTGATGTGTGAATTCATCTCACAGAGTTAATCCTTCCTTTTGATTTAGCAGGTTGGAAGCACTGTTTTTGTAGAATCTGTGAAGGGACATTTGGGAGCCCATTGAGGCTGATGTTAAAAAATAGATTATCCCCAGATAAAAACTCAAAAGAAGCTATCTGTGAAATTTTGTGATGTGTGGATTCATCACACAGAGTTAAACCTTTCTTTTGATTCAGCAGGTTGAAAACACTTTTTTTGCTGAATCTGTGAAGAAAATTTCAGGAGCCTATTGAGGCCTATGGTGAAAAACTGAATATCCCCAGATATACACTAGAAAGAAGCTATCTGTGAAAGTGCTTTCTGATGTGTGGAATCATTTCACAGATTAGACCTTTCTTTTTATTCAAAAGGTTGGAAACACTTACTTGTAGAATCTGCCCATTGATGCCTAGGGTGGATAACCAAATTTCCCAAGAGAAAAACTAGAACAAAGCCATCTGTAAAAGTCCTTTGTGATGTGTGGACTCATCTCACAAAGATATACCTTTCTTTTGATTTAGCAGGTTGGAAACACTCTTTTTGTAGAATCTGCAAAGGGACATTTGGAAGCACATTGAGGCCAGTGTTTAAAAACTGAGTGTCTTCAGATACGAATGAGAAAGAAGCTGTCTGTGAATTTTTTTTTTTGTTGTGTGAATTCATCTCACATAGTTAAACGTTTCTTTTGATTTAGCAAGATGGAAACACTCTTTTTGTAGAACCTGCAAAGGGACATTTTGAAGCCCATTGAGGCCAGTGGTTAAAAACTGAATATCTTCAGATAAAACTAGAAAGAAGCTATCTGTGAAGCTGCTTTGGGATGTGTGGATTCATCTCACAGAGTTAAAGCTTTCTTTTGGTTAAGCAGGTTGGAAACACTCGTTTTGTAGAATCTGTGAAGGGACATTCAAGAGCCCATTGAGGCCTATCATGAAAAACTGACTATCATCAGATAACAACTAGAATGAAGATATCTGTGATTCTGTTTTGTGATGTGTGGATTCCTCTCACAGAGTTAAACCTTCCTTTGATTGAGTGGGTTGTGTAGAATCTGTGAAGGGACATTTGTGAGCACTTTGTGGCCGAGGGTGAAAAACCTAATATACCCAGAGAACTTGAAAGAAGCTATCTGTGAAACTGCTTTGTGATTTGTACATCCATCTCGCAGAGTTAACACATTCTTTAATTCAGCAGGTTGGAAACACTCGTTGTGTAGAATCAGTGAAAGGACATTGGAAAAAATAGTGAAGCCTATGGTGAAAAAGTGAATATCCCCAGATAAAAAATATAGGGAGTTATTTGTGAAACTGCTTTGTGAAGTATGGATTCATCTCATAGTGTTAAAACTGTCTTTTGTTCAGCAGGTTGGAATACTCTTTTTGTAGAATCCACAAAGAAACATTTTGGAGCCCATCGAGACCTATGATAAAAATCGAATATCTCCAGATTAAAAACTAGAAAGAAGGTATCAGTGAAACTGCTTTGTGATGTGTGGCTATATCTCACACAGTTAAACCTCTCTTTTGATTCAGCGGGTTGGAAACACTCTGTATGTAGAATCTGCACAGGGACATTTGGGAGCCCCTTTGAGGCTTATGGTGAAAAACCAAATATCCTCAGATAAAAACTGGCAAGAAGGTATCTGTGAGACTGCTTTGTGATGTGTGGATTCATCTCAGAGTTAATCCTTTTTTCTGATTCAACATGTTGGAAACACTGCTTTTGTAGAATCTGTGAAGGGACATTTTGGAGTCCATTGAGGCCTAATGTCAAAAACTGATATCAAACTGATATTTTGACCTAATGTCAAAAACAGACAAAAACTAGAAAGAAGCTTTCTGTGAATTTTCTTTGTCATGTGTGGATTCCTCTGATAGAGTTAAACCTTTCTTTTGATTCAGCAGGTTGTAAATATTCTTTTTGTAGAATCTGTGAAGGGTCATTTGGGAGCCCATTTGGGGCTATTTTGAATAACCGAATATCCCCAGAAAAAAACTGAAAAGAAGTTATCTGTGAAACTGCTTTGTGTTGTATCCATTCATCTCACAGAGTAAAAGCTTTATTTTGATTCAGCAGGTTAGAAACACTTTTTTTGTGGAATATGTGAAGGGACATTTGGGGGCCCATTGAGGCTGATGGTGAAAACCAGAATATCCCCAGAGAAAAACTAGAAAGAAGCTATCTGTGAAATTATTTTGTGATGATTGGATTCATCTCACACAGATAAATTTTTCCTTAGATTCAGCAGTTGGAAAGACTTTTTTCATAGAATCTGTGAAAGGACATTTGTGAGCCCATTGAGGCCTACCTTGAAAAATTGAATATTCAAAGATAAAAACTATAAAGAAGCTCTCTGTGAAACTTCTCTGTGATGTTGGCTCCATCTCACAGAATTAAATCTTTCTTCTCATTCAGCAGGTGAGAGACACTCTTTTTGTAGAATCTGCGAAGGGACTTTTGAGAGCCTAAGGAGGACTATCGTGAAAAACCGAATATCTTTAGACAAAAACTGAAACAAGCTATCTGTGAAATGGCTTTGTGATGTGTGGAGTCATCTCACAGAGGTAAACATTTCCTTTGAATCAGCAGGTTGGGACACTCTGCATGTAGAATTTTGGAAAAAATATTTGAGAGACCATCAAGGCCTATAGTGAAAAACTGAATATTCCCAGATAAGAACTAAAAAGACGCTATTTGTGAAACTGCTTTTTGATGTGTGAGTTCAACTTACAGAGTTAAATCTTTCTTTTGATTTAGCAGGTTGGAAACACTCTTTTTGTAGAATCTGAGAAGGGACATTTGGGAACTGATTGAAGCCTATGGTGAATAACAGAATATCCACAGATAAAAACTGGAAGAAAGCTATCTGTGAAACTGCTTTGTGATGTGTGGATTCATTTCACAGATTAGACGTTTCTTTTGATTCAAAATGTTGGAAACGGTTTTTTTTGTAAATTCTGTGAAGGGACAACTGGGAGCCCACTAATGCCTAGGGTGGAAAACCGAATATCCCCAGAGAAAAACCAGAAAGGAGTTCTCTGTGAAACTGCATTGTGATGTGTGGACTCATCTCACAGAATCAAAGGTTTCTTTTGACTTAGCAGGTTGGAAACCCTCTTTTTGTAGAATCTGTGAGAAGACATTTGAAAGCCTATCATGGCCTATGGTGAAGAACTGAATATCCCCAGATAAAAGCTACAAAGAAGCTATCAGTGAAACTGCATTGTGGTGTGTGGAATCAACTCACAGACTTAAACTGTTGTTTTGATTTAACACGTTGCAAACACCCTTTTAAATATTAAAAAATTAAATTAAATAAATTAAATTAAATTAATAATTTAAATAAATAATTTAAAAATTAAATAAAATAAATTAAATTAAATATTTAACAATTAAATTAAATAAATATTTAAAAGCTGATTGAGGACTTTAATGATCCCAGATCAAAACTAGAAAGAATCTAACTGTGAAACTGCTTTGTGAAGTGCACATTCATTTCACGGAGTTAAACCTTTCTTCTGATTCAGCAGGTTGGATAAACCCTTATTGTAGTATCTGCAAAGGGACATTTGGGTGCCCATTCAGGCCTATGGTGAAAAATCGAATATCCCAAGATAAAACAGGGAAGAATTTATTTGAGAAACTACTTTGTGATTTGTAGACTCATCTCACTGAGTTAGACCTTTCTTTTGATTCAGCAGATTGGAAACAATCTTTTTGTAGAATCTGCGAAGAGATATTTGGGAGCTTATTGATGCCAATGGTTAAACACTGAATATCTCCAGATCAAAACTAGAAAGTAGCTATCTGTGAAACTGCTTTGTGATGTGTGGATTCATCTCACAGTGTTAAAACTTTCTTTTTTTAAGCAGGTGGGAAAAACTATTTTTGTAAAATCTGTGAAAGGACATTTGAGAGCCTATGGAGGAATATCATGAAAAACTGAATATCCCTACATAAAAACTAGAAACAAGCTCTCTGTGAAACTGCTTTTTGATGTGTGGATTCACCTCACAGAGTTAAACCTTTCTTTTGATTAACCAGGTTAGAAACACTCTGTATGTAGAATTTGTGAAGGGATATTTGGGAACCCATTGAGGCCTATGGTGAGAAAGCAAATATCCCCAGATAAAAAACTAGAAAGACACTATTTGTAAATCTGTTTTGTAATTTGTCAATTCATCTCACAGAGTTAAACCTTTCTTTTGATTCAGGAGATTGGAAGCAATTTTTTTGAAGAATCTGTAAAAAACGTTTGGGAGCCCAACAATGCCTATGGTGATAAACAGAGTATCTTCAGGTAAAAACTAGAAAGAAGCTATCTGTGAAACCGCTGTGTGATGTGCCTATTTATTTCAAAGATTAGACCTTGCTTTTGATTCAAAAAATTGGAAACACCCTTTTTGTAGATTCTACAATGGAACAATTGGGACACCATTGAAGCCTTGAGAGGAAAACTGAATATCCCCAGAGAAAAAACAGAAATAAGCTATCTGTGAAAGTGCTTTGTGATGTGTGGATTCATCTCACAGAGATAAACCTTTCTTTTGTTTCAGCACGTGGAAAACCCTTTTCTTGTGGAATCTGTGAAGGGACATTTTTGAGCACGTTGAGGCCTATGGTGAAAAATCGAGTCTCCCCAGATACAAACTAGAAAGAAGCTATCTCTGAAATTGCCCTGTGATGTGTGGATTTATCTCACAGAGTTAAACCTTTCTTTTGATTCAGCAGGTTGAAAACACTCTGTATGTAGAATTAGTGAGGGGACATTTTGGAGGCCATTGACGCCTATTGTGAAAAACCAAATATCCCCAGATAAAAACTAGAAAGACAATATTTGTGAATCTGCTTTTTGATGTGCACTTTCATCTCACAGAGATAAACCTTCCTTTTATTCAGCAGGTTGGAAACACTCTTTTTGTAGAATCTGTGAAGGTACATTATGGAGTCCATGGGGCCTAAGGTGAGAAAACTGAATATCCCCAGATAAAAACTGTAAAGCAGCTATATGTGATACTGCTTTGTGATGTGTGGATTCATCTCACAGAGTTAATCCTTTCTTTTGATTCTTCAGATTGGAAACACTTCTTTCATAGAATCTGTGAAAGGACATTTGGGAGTCCAAAGAGGCCTATGGTGAAATACCAAATATCCCCAGAGAAAAACTAGAAAGAAGCTATCTGTGAAACTGATTTGTGATATGTAGATTCATCTTACAGAGTTAAACGTTTCTTTTGATTCAACAGATTGGAAACACAGTTTTGTATAATCTGCAAAGAGACATTGGGGAGCCCGTTGAGGCCTATGGTGAAAAACTGAATGTCCCCAGTGAAGAACTAGGAAGGAGCTATCTGTTAATTTGTAATCCGTGGATTCCTGTCACAGAGTTAAACATTTCTTCAGCAGGTTGAAAACAGCCTTTTTGTATAATCTGTGAAGGAATATTTGGGAGCTCATTGATGTCTATGGTGAAAAACAATATCCCTAGGGAAAAACTAGAAAGAAGCTATCTGTGAATCTGCTTTGTGGTGGGTGGAGTCCTCTCACAGAGACAAACCTTTCTTTTGATTCAGCAGGTTGGAAACACTCTTTTTGTAGGCTCTATGAAGGGACTTTTGGGAGCCCATTGATGCCTATGGTGAAAAACCAAATATCCCCAGAGAAAAACTAGAAAGAAGTTATCTGTGAAAGAGCTGTGTGAGAAGTAGATTAGTCTCACGGAGTTAACACTTTCTTTGATTCAGCAGGTTGGAAATTCTCCTTTTGTAGAATCTGCAAATGGACATTTGAAATAGTAGTAAGGCCTACGAATAAAAACTGAATAATATCCCCAGATAAAAACTAGAGGAAGCTATTTGTGAAACTGCTTTGTGATATGTGGATTTATCTCACAAAGTTAAACTTTTCTTTTGTTCAGCAGGTTGAAAACACTCTTTTTGTAGAATCTGCATAGTGACATTTGGAACCTCTTTGAGGCCTATGGTGAAAACCTGAATAGCCTCAGATAAAAGCTAGAAAGAAGCTACCTGTAAAACTGCTTGGGTTTGACTGGATTCATCTGACAGAATGAAACCTATTTTTTGATTCAGCAGGCTGGAAACACTCTTTTTGTAGAATCTGCTAAGAAACATTTGAAAGCCCTTTGAGGCCTATGGTTAAAAAACTGAATATTGACAGATAAAAACTACAGTGAAGCTATCTGTGAAACAACTTTGTGATGTGTGGATTCATGTCACAGAGTTAAGCCTTATTTTTGTGTTAGCATATGGGAAACACTCTTTTTGTAGAATCTGCAAAGGGACTTTTGAGAGCCTATGGAGGCCTATTGTGAAAAACCCAATATTGCTACATAAAAACTAAAAACAAGCTATCAGTGAAACTGCTTTGGATATATGGATTCATCTCACAGAGTTCAGCCTTTCTTTTGATTTAGCAGGTTGAAAACACTCTTTTTCTAGAATCTGTGAGGGGACGTTTGGGAGCCCATTGTGGCCTATGGTGAAAAACTGAATATCTGCAGATAAAAACTAGAAAGAAACTATCTGTGAAAGTACTTAGAGATGTGAATATTCATCTCAAAATAAACCTTTCTTTTGAGTCAAATGTTTGGAAACACCTTTTTGCAGAATCTGCAAATGGACAATTGGGAGCCAATTGATGCCTTGGGTGAAAAACTGGGTATCCCCATAAAGACACTAGAAAGAAGCCATTTGTGAAACTGCTTTGTGATGTGTTGGTTCGTATGACAGAGTTAAACCTTTCTTTTGATTCAGCAGGTTGGAAACACTCTTTTCATAGACTCTGTGAAGGGACTTTGGGAGCCCATTGAAGACTATGGTGAAAAAAAAAATCTCCAAATAAAAACGAGAAAGAAGCTGTCTGTGAAATTGCTTTGTAATGTGTGGATACATCTCACAGAGTTAAACCTTTCTTTTGTTTCAGGAGTTTGGAAACACTCTGTATGTAGACTCTGCAAAGGAACATTTGGGAGTTCATTGATTCTTATGGTGAAAAACTACATATTTTCAAAATAAAACTAGAAAGAAACTATCTGTGAAGCTGGTTTGTGATGTGTGGATTCATATCACTGAGTTAAACCTTTCTTTTGATTCAGCAGTTTGGGTGCATTATTTTTGTAGACTCTGCAAAGGGACATTTGAGAGCTTATTGAAGTCTGTTGTGAAAAACAGAATACTCTCGGATAAAAAGCAGAAAATATCTATCCGTGAAACTGCTTAGTGATGTGTGGATTAATCTCAGGGAGTAAAAGCTTCCTTTTGATTAAGGAGGTTGTAAACACTCTTTTTGTAGCATCTGTCAAGGGAAATTTTGTTGCCCATTGAGGCGTATGGTGAAAAATGGAATATCCCCATATAAAAACTAGAAAGAAACAATCTCTGAAACTGCTTTTTGACCTGTGGATTCATGCCACTGAGTGAGTTAAACCTCTTTTGATTTAGCATGTTTGAAACACTCTTTTTGTAAAATCTCTGAAGGGACTTGGGAGCCCTTTGAGGCCAATGGTTAAAAACTGAATATTTCCAGATTAAAAATTGAAAGAAACTATTTGTGAAAGTGCTTTGTGATGTGTGGATTCATCTCACAGATTAATCTTTTTTGATACAAAAGGTTGAAAACACTCTTTTTGTAGCATCTGTGAGGGACAATTGGGACCCCATTGATGCCCAGGGTGAGAAATTAAATATCCTCAAAGAAAAACTACAAATAAGCTATCTGTGGAAGGGCTTTGTGATGTGTGGATTTGTCTCACAGAGTTAAACCTTTGTTTTGATTCAGCAGGTTGGAAACACTTATTCTGTAGAATCTGTGAAGGGACATTTTGGAGCACATTGAGGCCTATAGTAAAAAAAGAAAAAGAAATTCCCCTGATAAAAAAAAAAAAAAAGCTGTTAGTGAAACTGCTTTGCATTGTGTGGACTCATCTGTCAGAGTTGAACTTTTATTTTGGTTCAGAAGGTTGGAAACACTTGTTTTGTAGAATCTGCAAAGGGATATTTGGGAGCTCTTTGAGGCCAATGTTTAAAAACAAAATACCTCTAAATAAAAACTCGAAAGAAGCTAACATTGAAACTGCTTCATTATGTATGAATTCACCTTACAGAGTTAAACTTTTTTTTTAATTGAGTAGGTTGTAAACAATTGTTTTGTAGAGTCTGTTAATGGACATTTGGAAGCCCATTGAGGCCTATCATGAAAAACCGAATATATTCAGATAAAAACTTGAAAGAAGCTTTCAGTGAATCTGCTTTGTGATGCACTGATTCCTCTCACAGAGTTAAAACTTTATTTTGATTTGTCAGGTTGGAAACACTCTTTTCATAGAATCTTGTGAGGAAGATTTGGGGGCCCATTGAGACCCATGGTAAAAAGCCAAATATCCCCAGATAAACACTATAAAGAAGGTATCTGTGAAACAGCTTTGTGACGTTTAGATTCATCTCACAGAGTTAAATCTTTCTTTTGATTCAGCAGGTTGGAAACATTCTTTTTGTAGTATCTGTGAAGAGACGTTTGGGAGCCCAGTGAGGCCTATGGTGAAAAACCGATTATACCCAGAGAAAAACTACAAAGAAGCTGTCTGTGAAGCTGCTTTGTGATGTATCAATCATCTACAGAGTTAAACCTTTCTTTTGATTCAGCAGGTTGGAAACACTCTTTTTGTAGAATCTGTGAAGGGACATTTGGGAGCCCTTTGAGGCCAATGGTGAAAAACTGAATATCCCCAGATAACAACTAGAAAGAAGCTGTCTGTGAAAGTGGTTTGAGATGTGTGGATTCATCTCAGATTAAAACTTTCTTTTGATTCGAATGTTTGGAAACACTCTTTTTGTAGAATCTGTGAAGGGACAATGGGGGCCCATTAAAGCTTAGGGTGAAAAAAACAATATCCCCAGAGGAAAATTAGAAAGAAGCCATCTGTGAAACTGCTTTGTGATGTGTGGCTTCATGTGACAGAGTTAAACCTTTCTTTTGATTCAGCATGTTAGAAATACTCTTTTTGTAGAATCTGTGAAGGGATATTTGGGAACCTAATGAGGACTGTGGTGAAAAACAAAATATCTCCAGATAAAAATGAGAAAGAAGCTATCAGTTAAACTGCTTTGCAACGTGTGCATTCGTCTCACATAGTTAAACCTTTCTTTTGTTTCAGTAGGTTGCAAACACTCTTTTTGTAGAATCTACAGAGGGACAATTTGGTGCCCATTGAGGCCTATGTTGAAAAACAAAATATCCTCATAAAAAACTGGTAGAAAAGTATTGGTGAAATTGCTTTGTGATGTGTCGATTCATCTCACAGAGATAAACTTTTATTTAAATTCAGCAAGTTGGAAAAACTTTTTGTAAAATCTGCAAAGGGACATTTGATAGCCCATTGAGACCTATGGTGAAAAACTGAATATCCCCAGATAACAACTAGAAAGAAGCAGTATTTGAAAGTGCTTTGTGATGTGTGGGTTTCTCTCACAGAATTAAACCTTTCTTTTCATTCCACAAGTTGGAAACACTCTTTTTTTAGAATCTATGAATGGACAACTGGGAGCCAAATAATGCTTATGGTGAAAAATTGAATATCCCCAGAGAAACAGTAGAAAAAACCTACCTGTGAAAGTGCTTTGTGATGTGTGCGTTCATCTCACAGAGATAAACCTTTCTTTTGATTCAGCAGGTTGGAAACTTTTTTTGTAGAATCTGTGAAGAATCGTTTAGGAGCCCACTGAGGCCTTTGGTGAAACACTGAATAACCCCACATAAAAACTACAAAGAAGCTATCTGTGAAACTGCTTTGTGATGTATAGATTCATCTCACAGAGTTAAACCTTTCTTTTGATTCAACAGGTTGGAAACACACTTTTTATAGAATCTGCAAAAAGACATTAGGGATCCCATTGAATTCTATGATGAAAAACTGAATATGCCCAGATAGAAACTAGAAAGATGCTATCTGTGAAACTGCTTTGTGATGTGTGAATTCATCTCCTTGAGTTAAATCTTTCTTTTGATTTAGCAGGTTTGAAACATTCTTTTGTAGAATCTGCATAGGAACACTGGGGAGCCCATTGAGACCAATGGTGAGTAACAGAAAAAAAACTAGAAAGAAGCTGTCAGTGAAACTGCTTTGTGATGTGTAAATTCATATCAAAGAGTTAAACCTTGCTTTTAATTCAGAAGGTTGGAAACACTCTTTTTATAGTGGTGATGTGTGGATTCACCACAGAAAAATAAACCTTTCTTTTTATTCAGCAGGTTGGACACAATCTATTTGTAGAATATGCAAATTTACATTTAGGAGCCCATTGAGGCCTATGGTGAAAAACCAAACATCCCCAGATAAAAACTAGTAAGAAGTTATCTGTGAAACTGCTTTGTGATGTGTGCATTCATCTCACAGAGTTAAACCTTTCTGTTGATTCAGCAGGTTGGAAACACTATTTTTGTAGAATCTGCAAATTGACATTTAAGAGCCCACTGAGGCCTATGGTGAAAAACCGAATGTTCCCAGAAAAAAACTAGAAAGAATCTGTGAAACTGCATTTTGATTTGCACATTCATCTCACCAAGTTAACATATGCTTTGATTCAGCAGGTTGGAAACACTGTTTTTGTTGAATCTGCGAAGGGACATTTGGAAGCCCATTGAGGTGTATGGTGAAAAATCGAATATTGCCAGATAAAAGCATTCTTTTTGTACAATTTGTGAGGGGTCATTTGGGAGCACATTGAGGCCTGTAATGAAAAACCAAATATCCCCACATAAAAACCAGAAAGAAGCTATTTGTGAAACTGTGCTCTAATGGGTGGATTCATCTCACAGAGTTAAACATTTCTATTGATTCAGTGGCTTGGAAACACTTTTTTCATAGAATCTACAAAGGAGCATTTGAAAGCCCTTTGTTGCATGTTTTTTAAAAATGGAATGTCTCTATTTAAAAAGTAGAAACAAGCTATCTGAGAAACTGCTTTGTGATGTGTGGATTCAACTGACAGAGTTAAACATTTCTTTTGATTCAGCAGGTTGGAAGCACTCTGTAGAAACATTTGGGAGCACACTGAGACCTGTGGTGAAAATCTGATTATCCCCAGATAAAAATTAGAAAGAAGCTATCTGTGGAAATGCTTTGTGATGTTTGGATTCACCTCACACAGTTAAACCTCTCTTTTAATTCAGTGGGTTGGTAAAAATCTTTTGGTACAATCTGCAAATTGACATTTACAAGCCTATTGAGGCCTATGGTGAAAAAAGAATATCTCAAATAAAAACTAGAAGGAAGGTATCTGTGTCACTGCTTTGTGATGTGTGGGTTCATCTCACAGAGTTAAACATTTCCTTTGATTCAGCAGTTGGAAACACTCTATTTGTAGAATCTGTGAAGGGACATTTGGGAACCCATTGAGACCTATGGTGGAAAAGTGAATATCCCCGGATAAAAACTAGAAGGAATCTATCTGTGAAACTGCTTTGTGATGTCTGGATTCACCTCACAGATTTAAACTTTTATTTTGATTCAGCAGGTTGGAAACACTTTAGATGTAGGATGTGTGAAGAGATATTTGGGAGCCCATGGAGGCCTATGGTGAAAAATAGAATATTCCCAGAAAAATCCTAAAAAGAATCTCTTTGTGATACTGTTTGTGATGTGTGCAATCATCTCACTTAGGTAAACTGTTCTCTTGATTCAGCAGATTAGAAACACTCTTTGTAGAATCTGTTAATGGACATTTGGGAGCCCATTGAGGCTTATGGTGAAAACTGAATATCCCCATATAAAAACTAGAAAGAAGTTATCTGTGAACAGTTTTGTGATGTGTGGATTCATCTCACATAGTTATACCTTTCTTTTGATTCAGCAGGTTGGAAACACTCTTTTTGTGGAATCTTTGGTTGGATATTTGGGAGTCCTTTGAGGCATAGGATGAAAAACTGAATATCTACAGATAAAAACTAGGAAGAAGCTATCTGTGAAAGTGCTTTGGGATGTGTGGATTCATCTAACAGAATTAAACCTTTCTTTTGATTTCACAAGTTGGAAACACTTTTTTGGTAGAATCTGTGAAGAAATATTTGAGACCTGATTGAGGATGATAGTGAAAAACAGAACATCCCCACATAAAAACTAGAAAGAAGTAATCTGTACACTTTCATTTTGGCGTGTGGATTCAACTCACAGAGTTAAACCATTCTTTTGATTAAGCAGGTTGGAAACACTATTTCTGTAGAATCTAGGAAGTGAAATTTGTGAGCCCATTGATACTTATGTTGAAAAACGGGATATCCACAGATAAGAATAAGAAAGAATCTATGTATGAATCTGCTTTGTGTTGTGTCAATTCATCTCACATAGTTACATTTTTTCTTTTGTTTCAGCAGGTCAGAAACACTGTTTTGTAGAATCTTTGAAGGGACATTTGGAGCCCATTGAGGCCTATGGTGAAAAACTGAATACCCCCAGATGAAAACTAGAAAGGAGCTATCTGTGAAACTGTTTTGTGATATTTGGAATCATCTCACAGAGTTAACATTTCTTTTCCCTCTGCAGGTTGGAAACACTCTTTTTGTTGAATATGTGAAGGGACATTTTGGATCCCATTGAGGACTACTGTGAAAAACAAAATATCCCCTTATAAAAACAAGAAAGAAGGTATCTGTTCAACTGCTTTGCAATGTGTGGATTCATCTCACAGAGTTAAACCTTTCTTTTGATTCATCTGTTTGGAAACACTCTTTTAGTATAATTGGTGAAGGGACATTTGGGAGCTCATTGAGACCTATGATAATAAGCTAAATATCCCCAGATAAAAGGTAGATAGAAGCTCTCTGTAAAACTGCCTTGTGAGATGTGGATTCATCTCACAGTACTAAACCTTTCTTTTTATTCAGCAAGTTGAAAACACTCTTTTTGTAAAATCTGCAAAGAAACATTTGAAAGCCCTTGAGGCCTATGTTGAAAAACTGAATATCTTCAGATGAAAACTGCAAAGAAGATATCTGTGAAACTGCTTTCTGATGTGTGCATTCATCTCACAGAGTTAAACCGTTCTTTTGATTCGGCAGGTTAAAAACACTCTTTTTGTAGATTCTGTGAAGGGAATTTGGGAGCCCATTGAGGTTTATGGTGAAAAGGTGAATATCCCCACATAAAAAGTAGAAGGAAACTCTCTGTGAAATTGCTTTGTGATGTGTGGATTCAACTCACAAACTTCATTCTTTCTTTTGATTCACCAGGTTGGAAACAGTCTTTTTGTAGAATCTGCAAAGGGACATTTTGGGGCCCTTTGAGGTCTATGGTGAAAAATCAAATATCCCCAGATAAAAACTAGAAAGAAGCTATGTGTGAAATAGCTTTGTGATGTGTGGATTCATCTCACAGAGTTAAACTTTTCTTTTGATTTAGCAGGTTGGAAGCTCTCTTTTTGTAGAATCTGCAAAGGGACATTTGGGATCCCATTGAGACCTATGGTGAAAAACCAGACATTTCCAGAAAAAACTGGAAAGAAGCTATCTATGAAACCCCTGTTTGATGCGTGCTGTTATCTCACAGATATAAACCTTTCTTTTCATTTGGATGGTTGGTAACCCACTTTTTGTAGAATCTCTGATGGACATATCAGGTCCCATTGAAGCCTATGGAAAAAAATGAACTTCTTCAGATAAAAACCAGAAATAAGCTATGTGTGAAATGGCTTTGTGATGTGTCAATTCATCTCACAGAGTTAAACCTTTCTTTTTATTCAGCATGTTGGAAACACTTTTATTGTAGACTCTGCAAAGTGACATTTTGGAGCCCATTGAGGCCTATAGTGAAAAACAGAACACACCCAGATAAAAATTAGAAAGAAGCTATCTGCGAAATGATTTCTGATGTGTGGATTTCTCTTACAGAGTTAATTTATTTTTTGATTCAGCAGGTTGCAAATATTCTTTTTTAAGAATCTGTGAAGGGTAATTTAAAAGCATTGAGGCTGGCCAGGTGTGGTGGCTCATGCTTGTAATCCCAGCACTTTGGGAGGCCAAGGCAAGTGGATCACAAGGTCAGGAGATCAAGACCCTCCTGGCTAACACAGTGAAGCCCCATCTCTACAAAAAATACAAAAAACATTAGCTGAGTGTGATGGCAGGTTCCTGTAGTCCCAGCTACTTGGGAGGCTGAAGCAGGAGAAAGGCAAGGACCAAGGAGGCAGAGCTTGCAGTGAGCCAAGATCATGCCACTTCACTCCAGCCTAGGCAACAGAGCGAGGCTCCATCTCAAAAAAAAAAAAAGCATTGAGGCCTATGGTAAAAAACAGAATATCCCTAGATAAAAACTCAAAAGAAACTATCAGTGAAACTGCTTTGTGATTGGTGGATGCATCTCACAGAGTTAAACCTTTCCTTTGATTCATCATGTTAGAAACACTCTTTTTGTAGAATCTGTGAAGGGACATTAGGGAGCCCTCTTAGGCCTATGGTGAAAAACGGAATCTCTCCTGATAAAAAAAAAAAGAAAGAAGCTATCTGTTAAACTGCTTTGTGATGTGTGGATTCATCTCACAGAGTTAACCTTTATATTTATTCGACAAGTTGGAAACACTCTTTTTGTAGAATCTGTGAAGGAACATTTTGTAGCCCATTAAGGCCCATACTGAACAACAAAATATTGCTAGATAAAAACTTGAAAGAGTCTGTCTTGGAAAGTGTTTTGTGATGTGTGAAATAATCTCTCAGATTTAAACCTTTCTTTTGATTCAGTAGGTTGGAAACACTATTTTTGTAGAATCTGCAAAGGAACATTTGAGAGATCATTGAGGCGTATGGTCAAAAATAAAATATCCCTACATAAAAACTAAAAAGAAACTATCTGTGAGACTGCTTTGTGATTTGTAGATTCATCTCACAGAGTTAAATGTTTCTTTTGATTCAGCAGTTTGGAAACACTCTTTTTGTACACAGATAAACCCTTCTGATAAATCTCACACAGGTAAGTCCTTCTGAAGATTCAGCAGGTTGGAAACACTTTTCTCTGTAGAATCTGTGAAGGGACATTTGGGAGCCCATTGAGGCCTATGGTGAAAAAGTAAATATCCCCCAGAAAGAAATTAGAAAGAAGCTATCTTTGAAAGTGCTTTGAGGTATATGGATTCTTCTCACAGATTAAACCTTTATTTTGTTCAGTAGCTTGAAACCACTCTTTTTGTAGAATCTGCAAAGGGACATTTAGGAGTCTATTTGGGTTTACCGTGAAAAACAGAATATCCCTAAATAAAACAAGAAACAAGCTATCTGTGAAACTGTTTTGTGATGTTTGGGTTCATCCCTCAGAGTTAAACCATTCTTTTAATTCAACAGGTTGGAAACACTTTGTATGTAGAATCTGCAATAGGACATATATGACACCTTTGTGGCCTATGGTGAAAAATGGGATATCCCCATATAAAAACTAGAAAGATGCTATTTGTGAATCTGTTTTGTGATGTGTGGATTCATCTCACAAAGTTAAACCTTTTTTATGATTCAGCAGGTTGGAAACAGTCTTTTTGTAGAAACTGTGAAGTGACATTTGGGAGCACAATGGGGCCTATAGTGAAAAAGTGAATACCCCAGATAAAAACTGGAAATAAGCTATCTGTGAAACTGCTTTGTGATGTGTGGATTCATCTCACAGAGTGAAAGCTTTCTTTTGATACTTCAGGTTTGAAACACTTGTTTTGTAGAATCTGCAAGGGATATTATACAGCCCACAGATGCCTAAGGTGAAAAACTGAATATTCCCAAATAAAAACTAGAAAGAAGCTATGTGTGAAACTGCTTTGTGATGTGTCAATTCATCTCACAGAGTTAAAACTTTCTTTTCATTCAGCAGATTGGAAGCACACTTTTTGAAGAATCTGTGAAGGGACATTTGAAAGCCCATTGAGGACTATGGTGAAAAACTGAATATTCTGAGATAAAAACTAGAAAGAAGTTATCTATGAAACTGCTTTGTGATGTTTGCATTCATCTCACATAGGTAAACCCTTCTTTTGATTCAGCAGGTTGGAAACAATTTTTTTAGTATCTGTGAAGGGAATTTTCAAAGTCTACTGAAGCCTAACGTGAAAAAATCAAATATCTCCAAATAAAATCTCAAAAGAAGCTATCTGTGCAGTGGGTTTGTCATATGTACATTCACCTCACAGAGTTACCCGTTTCTTTTGATTCAACAGGTAGGAAACACTCTTTTTGTATAATCTGCAAAAGGACATATGGGAGCCCATTGATGCCTATGGTAAGAAACAGAATATCCCCAGATAAACACTAGAAAGAAACTGCCAGTGAAACTGTTCTGTGATGTGTGGATTTAGCTCACTGAGTTAAAACATTTTTTGATTCAGAACGTTGCAAAGATTCATGTATAGAATCTGCAAATGGACATTTCAGAGCCTATTGAGGCCTATGGTGAAAAACATACTATCTCCAGTTCAAAACTTGAAAGGACCTATTTGTGAAACTGGTTTGTGGTCTGTTGATTCATATCACAAAGATAAAACTTTCTTTTGATTCAGCGGGTTGGAAACACTCTTTTTGTAGAACCCGAGAATAGACATTTGGGAGTCCATTGAGGCCTATGTTGAAAAACAGATATCCCAAGATAAAAACTAGAAAGAAGCTATCTGTGAATCTGCTTTTTATGTATAAATCCCTCTCACAGACTTAAACCTTTCTTTTGTTTCAGCAGGTTGGAAAAACTCTTTTTGTAGAATATGCAAAAGGACATTTGGCAGCCTATTGAAGCTTATGATGAAAAACCAAATATCCCAGATAAAAAGGTAGAAACAAGCTATCTGTGAAACTGCTTTGTGATTTATGGTTTCATATTCCAGAGAGAAGCCTTTCTTTTCATTGAGCATATTGTTAACACTCTTTATAGAATCTGCGAAGGAACATTTGTGAGCCAAATGAAAGCTAAGGTGGAAAAACAAATATTGCCATATAAAAAACCTATTTGTGAAACTAGTTTGTGATGCGTGGATTCATCTGCAAGAGTTAAATCTCTCTTTTGATTCTGCATATTTAAACACTCTTTTTGTAGAATCTGCAAAGGGGCTTTTGGGAGCCCATTGTGGCCTCTGATTAAAAGCTGAATATCCACAGATAAAAACTACAAAGAATCTATCTGTGAAACTGCTTTGTGAAGTGTGGATTTATCTCATACAGATAAAGTTTTAATTTGATTCAGCAGGTTGGAAACACTCTTTTTGTAGAATATGTAAAGGGACTTAGGGGAGCTCATTGTGCCCTGTGGTGAAAAACCGAATGTCTTCAGACAAAAACTAGAAAGAAGCTATCAGTGAAACTGCTTTGTGATGTGTAGATTCATCTCACAGTGTTAAACATTTCTTTTGATTCAGCAGATTGGAAGCATTCTGTTTTTAGAATCTGAAAAGGGACATTTTAAAGCCAATTGACACCTATAAAAAAATGGAATATCTCCAGATACAAACTAGAAAGAAGCTATCTGTGAAACTATTCTGAGATGGGTGGATTCATCTCACTAAGATAAACTTTGTTTTGATTCATCAGGTTGGAAACACTCTTATTGTAGAATCTGTGAACTGACATTTGAACGCCCATTCAGACCTGTGGTGAAAAACTGAATATTCACAGGAAAAAACTAGAAGGGAAGTATCTGTTAAACTGCTTTGTGATATGTGGATTCTGCTCACAGTGTTAAACTTTTCTTTTGACTCAGTAGTTTCAAAACAGTCTTTTTGTATAATCTGCTAATGGAAATTTGGAAGCCCACTGAGGCCTATGGTGAAAGACCAAATATCCCTAGATGAAAACTGGAAAGAGGCTACCTGTGAAACTGCTTTGGGATGTGTGGATTCATCTCTCAGAGTTAAACCTTCTTGTGATTCAACAGGTTGGAAACACATTTCTGTAGAATCTGTGAAAAGACAATTAGGAGCCCGTTGTTTCCTATGGTTAAAAACCGAATATCCCCAGAGGAAAAAAAATAAGCTATCTGTGTAACTACTTTGTGATGTGTGGATTCATCTCACAGAACTAAACTTTTCTTTTGATTGAGAAGGTTGGAAACACTTGTTTTGTAGAATCTGCAAGAAGACATTTCCGTGCCCATTGAGGCCAATGGTCAAAACCCGAATATCCCCAGTTAAAAACTAGAGGGAAGCTACCTGTGAAACTGCTTTGTGATGTGTTGATTCATCTCACAGAGTTAAATCTTTCTTTTCATTTGGCAAATTGGACACACTGTTTTTGTAGCATCTGCAAAGAAACATTTGAAAGCCCACTGAGGCATATGGTGAAAAACAATATCCCCAGATAAAAACTAGAAAGAAGTGGTACGTAAAAGTGCTTTGTGATGTGGTGATGTGTTGATTCTTCTGACAGAATGAAATGTTTCTTTTGATTCTGCAAGATGGAAACACTATTTTTGTAGAATCTGTGAAGGGTCAATTTGGAGCCAATTGATGCCTTTGGTAAAAAAATGAATATCCCCACATAAAAACTAGAATGAAGCTGTCTGTAACAGTGCTTTGTAATGTGTGGATTCATTTCACAGAGATAACCCTTTCTTTTGATTCAGTAGGTTGGAAACACTGTTATTGTACAATCTGCTAAGAGACATTTGGAAGCCCATTGAGGCTTACAGTGAAAAACTG
Organism: Homo sapiens; assembly: GCF_000001405.40. Classification (NCBI taxonomy): domain Eukaryota; kingdom Metazoa; phylum Chordata; class Mammalia; order Primates; family Hominidae; genus Homo; species Homo sapiens. The sequence goes on from NC_000008.11 coordinate 43,622,632, forward strand.
AATATCCCCAGATAAAAACAAGAAAGAAGCTATCTATGAAACTGCTTTGTGATGTGTGGATTCATTTTACAAAGATAAACTTTTCTTTTGTTGCAGCAGGTTGGAAACTCTCTTTTTGTAGAATCTGTGAAGAAACATTTGGGAGCCCATTGATGTCTATGGTGAAAACCCAAATATCCCCAGATAAAGACTGGAAAGAACCTCTCTGTGAAACTGCTCTGTGATGTGTGGATTCACCTCACAAAGTTAAACCTTTCTCTTGATTCAACAGGTTGGAACACACTTTTGGTAGAATCTGTGAAGGGAGATTTGGAGGCCCAATGAGACATATGGTGAAAAACTGAATATCCCCAAGTGAAAATTGGAAAAAAGCTATCTGTGAAACTGCTTTGTGATGTGTGGATTCGTCTCACACACTTACACCATTCTTTTGATTCCACAGGTTGGAAACACTCCTTTTGTAGAATCTGCAAAGAGACAGTTTGGAGCGAATTTATTCCTAAGGTGAAAAACCAAATATCCCCATTAAAAAAACTAGAAAAATCTATCTGTGAATGTGCTTTGGGATTTGTGAATTTATTACACAGGGATAAATTTTTTTTTGATTCAACATGTTGAAAAGAATATTTTTGTAAAATCTGTGAAGGGACATTTGAAAGCCCAATGAGGCATATGGTGACAACTTGAATATCCGCCGATAAAAACTAGAAAGAAGCTACCTGTGAAACTGCTTTGTGACGTGTGGGTTCATTTCATAGAGTTAAACCTTTCTTTTGATTCAACAAGTTGGAAACACTCTCTTTGCAGAATCTGCAAAGGGATATTTGAAAACCCTTTGAGGCCTATGGTGAAAACCAGAATATCCCCAGATATAAACTAGAAGAAGCTATTTGTGAAACTTCTTTGTGATGGGTGAATTCATGTCACAGGGTTAAACCTCTCTATTGGTTAAGGAGGTTTGCAAAACTATTTATTTTTGCAACTATTTATTATTGAAAGCTTGTGGTGAAAATCCAAATACTCCCAGATAAAAACGAGAAAGAAGCTATCAGTGAAACTGCTTTGTGATATGTGGATTCATCTCGCAGAGTTAAACCTTTCTTTTGAATAAGCAAATTGGAAACTCTATTTTTGTGGAATATGTGAAGAGACATTTAAGAGCCCATTGAGGCCTATGTTGAAAAACAGGTTATCCCTAGATAAATACTAGAAAGAAGCTATCTGTTAAGCTGTTCTGTGATGTGGGGATTCATCTCTCAGGGTTAAACCTTTCTGATGATTCAGCAGGTTGGAAACACTTCTCTTTTAGAATCTGTAAAGAGACATTTGGGAACCCATTGATACCTATGGTAGAAAACAGATTTTCCCAAGATAAAAACTAGAAAGAAGATATCTGTGAAACTGCTTTTTGATGTGTGGATTAACCACACTAACATAAACCTTTCTTTAGATTCAGCTGGTTGGAAACACAATTTTTGTAGAAACTGTGAAGGGACATTTGGGAGCCCTTTGACACCTGTGGTGAAAAACAGAATGCCAGCAGATAAAAACTAGAAAGAAGCTATCTGTGTAACTGCTCTGTGATGTGTGAATTTATCTATCATAGTGAAACCTTTCTTTTGATTCAGAAAGTTGGAATCTCTGTTTTGGAAGAATCTGTGAAAGGACATTTTGGAACTTATGGAGGCATAATGTGAAGAACTAAATATTCCCAGATAAAAACTAGAAAGAAGCTATTTGTGAAACTCCTTTGTGATGTGTGGATTCATGTCACAGAGTTAAATCTTTCTACTCATCCAGCAGGTTGTTAACACTCTTTCTGTAGTATCTGTGAAGGGACAGTTGAGGGCCCACACAGACCTGTGGTGAAAAAAATAATATTCCCAGATAAAAACTAGGAAAAGCTATCTGTGAAACTGTTTTGTGAAGTGTGGATTCATCTCAAAGATTTAAACCTTTCTTTTGATTCAGAAGATTGGAAACATTCTTCTTGTAGAATCTGCAAAGGGACATTTTGGAGCCCTTTGAGGCCAATGGTGAAAAAAGAATATCCCCACATAAAAACTAGAAAAAAGACATCTGTGAAACTACTTTGTGGTTCTTGGACTCATCTCACAAAGATAACCGTTTCTTTTGATTCAGCAGATTGGAAATTTTTTTTTGCAGAATCTGCGAATGGACATTTGGAAGCCCATTGAGGCCTATGGTAAAAAACTGATTATCCCCAGATAAAAACTAAAAATAAGCTATTTAAGAAACTGTTTTGTAATGTGTGGATTCAGCTTACCGAGATAAACCTTTTTTTTGGTTCAGCAGGTTGGAAACACTCTTTTGTAGAATCTGCAAAGGAATATTTGGAAGCCCTTTGAGGCCTATGATGAAAAACAGAATATCCCCAGATAAAAACTAAAGAGAAGCTATCTGTGAAACTGCTTTGTGCTGTGTAGATTCATCTGACAGAGTTAAGTCTTTCTTTTGATTCAGTGATTTACAAGCACTTTTTTTGAAGTATTTGTGAAGGTACCTTTGGGAGCCCATTAAGGCCTATGGCATTAAACCAAAAATCTTCAAATAAAAGTGAGAAAGAAGCTCTCTGTGAAACTGCTTTGTGATATGTGGATTTATCTCACAAAGTTAAACCTTTCATTTTTTTAAATGTGCAGTTTGAATTTTAATACATTTGTACTTATAGAAGATATAAACAATTTACAAAATGTAGAAGAGATGGAATTTACCCATCATTTAAACTAAATTTTTAATAATTTGTTTTTTCTAATTTCTTTCTTTCATATTCCAGGTAATAAAGAACTATGCTATACGGAATTCCATTGGCATTATTATACAAAATCATAGTAGATACACTGAAAGATAAAATTCCTACAATCAAATATGCTACTCTCTGGCTAAATTTTCTCAGTAGCATTTTGCAGAATGTTTACATCTTTCATAGAAGCAAATTTATTAAAATTTCAAATGGCACAGTGCTTTACAGGAATCACATTTATTAACACTCCTTTATTTATTAAAACTAATAAATAATTAAACTATTATATAGACCCTCCTCTGTATTACAACTACAAAGGACTATAAATCATGCTGCTTTAAAGACACATGCACACATATGTTTATTGTGGCACTATTCACAATAGCAAAGACTTGGAACCAACCCAGATGTCCAACAATGATAGACTGGATTAAGAAAATGTGGCACATATACACCATGGAATACTATGCAGCCATAAAAAATAATGAGTTCATGTCTTTTGTAGGGACATGGATGAAATTGGAAAACATCATTCTCAGTAAAGTATAGCAAGAACAAAAAAGCAAACACCGCATAGTCTCACTCATAGGTGAGAATTGAACAATGAGAACACATGGACACAGGAAGGGGAACATCACACTCTGGGGACTGTTGTGGGGTGGGGAGAGGGGGGAGGGATAGCATTGGGAGATATACCTAATGCTAGATGACGAGTTAATGGGTGCAGCATACCAGCATGGCACATGTATACATATGTAACTAACCTGCACATTGTGCACATGTACCCTAAAACTTAAAGTATAATAATAATAAAAAAAGAAAAAAGATACCTATTTTCTAATTGTCACCGCTAATTACCCCAAGGGCAGCTGTTCGTTCATCTACCACCAGCTCTCCTGTGTTCTGTACTGTCCATATTTTGCCTCTGATAATGCATACCACTAAAAAGAATCAGGGTACCTGGGAGGAAAATTGATTCCAGTGTTCAAGCAGGAAAAAAAATGGATTGGTCTGGAATATCCTTTTGTTGTCTGAAATGAGCTATTGCTTAAAAAATGTCAGGAGCAGTGCTAAAGGACAGAAGAGCAAACTTAACAAGGCTTCCATTGGCTAAGCTGCAAAGACCATCATCATAATTGTGATAATAATCATAGTAGTTAAAACCTTTCCTTCTATTCAGCAGGTTGGAAACACTGACTTTGTAGAGTGTTGGAAGGGATATTTTGATGCCCATTTAGCCCTATGTTAAAAAAGTGAATATTTTCATATAAAACCTTGAAAGAAGATGTCTGTGAAACTGCTTTGTGATGTGTGCATTCATTTCACAGAGTAAACAGCTTCTTTTTATTCAGCATGTTGGAAACACTGTTTTTGTAGAATCAGCAAGGAGATATTTGGGAGTCCGTTGAGGCCAATGGTGAAAAACCAAACATCTCCAGATATAAACTAGAAAGAAGCTATCTGTGAAACTGCTTTGCAATGTGTGGATTTATCTTGCAGAGTTAAACCTTTTTTTTTTTTGATCCAGCAGTGTTGAAACACTCTTTTTGTGAAAACTACAAAGGAGTATTTGGGAATCCATTGAAACCCATGGTGGAAAAAATGAGTATTTCCACATAAAAAACAGAAACAAGCTTTCTGTGAAACTGCTTTCTGACATGTGGATTTATCTCACAGAGTTGAACCTTTCTTTCGATTCAGAATGTTGTAAACACTCTTTTTGATTCAGAAGTTTGGAAACAAATGGACATTTGGGAGCTTTCTGAGGTCTATGGTTAAAAAAGGAATTTCCCAGATAAAAGTTAGAAAGAAGCTATCTGTGAAACTTCTTTGTGATGTGTGGATTCACCTCACAGGGTTAAACGTTTCTTTTTATTCAGCTGTTTGGAAACACACTTCTTGTAGAATCTGTGAAGGGACATTTGAGAGACAATTGAGGCCTATAGTGAAAAATCAAATATCCCCAGATAAAATATAGAAAGAAGCTATTTGTGAAACTGCTTTGTAATGTGTGGATTCATGTCACAGGGTTAAACCTTTCCATTGATTCAGCACGTTTGAAAACTTTTTTTTTTGTAAAATTCAGGAGAAGATATTTGAAAACCCATTGAGTTCTATGGTGAAAAACCAAATATTCCCAGAAAAAACCTTGAAAGAAGCTATCTGTGAAACTACTGTGTGATGTGTGGATTCATCTCACAGAGTTAAACCTTTCTTTTGATTCAGAAGGTTGTAAACACACTTTTCATAGAATCTGTGAAGGGAAATTTCAAAGCCATTGAGGCCTATGGTGAGAAACTGAATATCTCCACTTAAAAACTAAAAAGAAGCTATCTGTGAAACTGCTTTGTCATGTGTGGATTTATCTCACAGAGTTAAGCCATTCTTTTTATTCAGAAGGTTGGAAAAACTCTTCTTATAAAATCTGCAAAAAGACATTTGGGAATTCTTTGAGGCCTATGGTAAAAAATGGATTATCTCCAGATTAAAAAGTAGAAATAAGCTATCTGTGAAACTGCTTTGTGACGTCTGGATTCATCTCACAGTTTAAAGTTTCTTTTGGTTCAGCATGTTGGAAACAATCTTTTTTTAGAATTTGGGAGCCTATTGAGTACTATGGTGAAAAACAGAATATCCCCAGATAAAAACTAGAAAGAAGTTATCTGTGAAACCTCTTTGTGATGTGTGGATTCACGTCACAAATTTAAACCTTTCTATTGATTCAGCAGGTTTCAAACACTTTTTTTTAAAGAATCTTTGAAAAGACAGATGAAAGTTCATTGAGGCCTATGGTGAAAAACCGAATATCCCAGATAAAAACTTGAAAGAAACTATCAATGAAACTGCTTTGTGATGTGTGGATTCACTTCACAGAATTAAAGTTTTGTTTGATTCAGCAGGTTGGAAACTTTTTTTTTTTTTTTAGAATCTATGAAGGCACATTTTAGAGCCCATTGATGCCTGTGGTGAAAAACCGAATATCGTCAGATAAAAACTAGAAAGAAGTAATGTGTGAAACTGCTTTCTGAGGTGTGGATTCACAATTCACCACGTAGACTGAAACTTTTCTTTCCACTCAGCAGATTGGAAACACTTTTTTTTTTAAGAATTTAGGAGCCCATTGAGCATTGTGGTGAAAAAACCAAACATCTCCAGATAAACACTAGAAAGAAGCTATCTCTGAAATTCCTTTGTGATGTGTGGATTCATCTCACAGAGGAAAACCCTTTTTTATTTATCAGCAGGTTGGGAATATTCTTAATGCAGAATCTGCAGAAGAACATTTGTGAGACCATTGAGACTTATGGTGAAAAATTAATATCCCCAGATAAAAACGAGAAAAAATATGTTGGTGAAACTGCTTTGTGATGTGTCAATTCACCTCACAGAGTTAAACCTTTCTTTGGATTCAGCATGTTAGAAGCACATTTTTTAACATTTTGAAGCCCATTTTGGCCTACCATTAAAAACTGAATATCCACAGATTACAGAGTAGAAAGAAGATCTGTGTTAAACTGCTTTGGATACGTGGATTTATCTAACAGAAGTAAAGCTTTCCTTTAATTCTGCAGTTTGGAAACTCTTTTTTTGTAGAATCTGGGAAGGGATATTTGAGAGTCCTTTGAAAACTATCGAGAAAAACTGAACATTCCCTGATAAAACTAGAAATAATCTATACGTGAAAACTGCTTTGAGATGAGTGGATTCATCTCACAGGGTTTAACCTTTCTTTTGATTCAGCAGGTTGGAAACACTTTTTTTGTTTAATCTGTGAAGAGACATTTTGGAGCCCACTGGGAACCCAAGTGAAAAACCGAATATCCACAGATAAAAGCTAGAAAGAATCTATCTCTGAAACAGATAAAATATTTCTTCTCCCAGAGTTAAACCTTTCTTTTGATTCAGCAGGTTGGAAACTCTCTTTTTGTAGAATCTGTGAAGGGACGTTTGGGAGCCAATTGAGACCTATGGTGAAAAACTGAATATCCCATGGGAAAAACTAGAAAGTAGCTATCTATGAAGCTGCTTTGTGATGTGTGGATTTATCTTACAGAAATAAAGCTTTCTTTGGATTAAGCATGTTGGACACACTATCATTGTAGAATCTGCAAAGGGACATTTGTGAGTCCATTGAGTCCTATGGTGAAAAATGGAATATCCCCAGTTAAAAAGCAGATTAAACCTTTTTTAAATTCAACAGGTTGTAAACTCTTTTTGTTGATTCTGTGAAAGGATATTTGAGAGTCCATTGAGGCCTATGGTAAAAAACTGAACATCCAAGATAAAAACTAGAAACAAGGTATTTGTGAAACTGCTTTGTGATATTTGGATTAATCTCCCAGAGAGAAAATTTCTTTTCTTTCAACAAGTTGTTAACACTCTTTTTGTAGAATCTGCGAAAAGACATTGGGGATCCCATTGTGGTCTATTGTTAAAAATATTATTTACAGATAAAAACTAGAAAGAAGCTGTCTGTGAAACTGCTTTATGATGTGTGGATTCATCTTAAGGAGTCAAACTTTTCTTTTTATTCAGCAGGTTGGAAGCATTCTTAGTAGGATTTGGGAAGGGACATTTTGGGGCCCCTAGAGGCCTATGATGAGAAACCAAATATCTCCAGACTAAAAACTAGAAAGAGACTATCTGTGAAACTGTTCTAAGATGTGTGGATTCATTTCACAGAGTTAAAGCTGCCTTTTGATTTAGAAGGTTGAAAACACTCTTTTTGTAGAATCTGTGAAGGGACATATAGAGCCCATTATATCCTAGGGTGGAAAGTCAAATATCCCCAGATAAAAACTAGAAAGAAGCTATCTTTGAAACTGCTTTGTGATGTGTGAATTCATCTCACAGAGTTAAACCTTTCTGTTGATTCAGCAGGTTGGAAACACTCTTTTTGTGGAATCTGCTAAATACATTTGGGAGCCCATTACAGACTATGGTGAAAAACAGTATAACCCCAGTGGAAAAACTAGAAAGAAGATATCTGTGAAACTGCTCTGGACTGTGTGGATTAATCTAATAAAGTTAAACTTTCCTTTGATTTATCAGGTTGTAATCACTCTTTTTCGTAGAATCTGCAAAGGGACATTTGGAAGCCCACTGAGGCCTACAGAGAAAAACTGAATATGTGTACTATCTATGAAACTGCTTTGTGATGTATGGATTCATCTCACAGAGTTAAACCTTTCTTTTGATTCAGCAGGTTGGAAACACTTTTTGTATAATCATCAAAGGGACATTTGAAAGCCCATTGTGGCCTATGGTGAAAAACTGAATATCCCCAGATAAATACTGGAAAGAAGCTACCTGTGAAACTCCTTTGTGATGTGTGCATTCAACTCAAATATTTTAATTTTTTAAAATTCAACAGGTTGGAAATGGTTGATAAGCTTTCTTTTGATGCACCAGGTTGGCAACTCTATTATTGTAAAAGCTGTGAAAGGACTTTCAAGAAACCCTTGTGACCCATGGTGAAAAGCCAAATATCCCCTGATAAAAACTAGATAGAACCTATCTGTAAAACTGCTTTGTGATGTGTGGATTTGTCTCACTACATTACACCTTACTTTTGATTTATCAGGTTGGAAATACTCTTTTTGTAGAATCTGCAAAGAAATATTTGGGAGCCCCTTGAGGCCTGCAGAGAAAAACAGATTATCCCCAGAAAAAGCTAGAACAATGCTATCTGTGAAACTGCTTTGTGATGTGTGGATTCATCTCACAGAGTTAAACTTTTCTTTTGATTCAGCAGGTTGGAAACACTCTTTTTGTAGAATCTAAGAAGGGACATATGAAAGCCCATTGTGGCCTATGGTGAAAAACTGAATATCCTCAGATAAAACTACAATGAAGCTACCTGTGAAACTCCTTTGTAACGTGTGCATTCATCTCAACAATTTAAAAATTTCTTTTAATTCAGCAGGTTGGAAACACTGTTTTTGTAGACTATTCAAAGAAACATTTAAGGACCCATTGTGTCCTCCTGTTACAAACCAAAAATCCCCAGATCAAAACAAGAAGGAAGCAATCTTTGAAACTGCTTTGTCAGTTGTGGGTTCATCTACAAGAGTTAAAACTTTCTTTTGATTCACCAGGATGGCAACTTTATTTTTGTAAAATCTGTGAAAGGACATTTAAGAACCTTTGTGGCCTATGGTGAAAAACCGAATATCCCCAGATAAAAACTAGAAAGAAGCTACCTGTGAAATTGCTTGTTGATGTGCACTTTTATCTCAAAGATTTAAACCTTTCTTTTGATTCAGCAGGATGGAAATACTTTTTTTTGTAGAATCTGTGAAGAAACATTTGGAAGCCCCTTGCGGCCTAAAGTAAAAAACAGAATATCCCCAGATAAAAACTAGAAAGATGCTATCTGTGAAACTGCTTTTAAATGTGTGGATTCATCTCACAGAGGTAAACTTTTCTTTTCATTCAGCAAGTTGGAACCACTCTTTCTGTAGAATATGTGAAGGGCCTTTTGGAGCACATTGAGACCTATGTTAAAAAACAGAATATCCCCAGATAAAAACTAGAAAGAAGCTATCTGTGAAATTGCTTCATGATGCATGGATTCATCTCAAAGAGGTAAGCCTTCCTTTTGATTGAGCAGCATGGAAACACAGTATTTGTAGAATCTGGGAAGGGGCATTTTGTAACCCATTTTTTCATATGGTGAAAAACCGAATATCTGCAATTAAAAAATAGAATCTATCTGTGAAACTGCTTCATGATGCATGTATTCGTCTCAGAGAGTTAAACCTTTCTTTTGATTCTGCAGATTGGAAACACTCTTTTTTGTAGCAACTGGGAAGGGATCTTTGAGAGCCCATTGACTTCTATGTTGAAAAACTGAAGAACCCCAGATAAAGATAAGAAAGAAGCTATATATGAGACTGCTTTATGATGTGTGGATTCATCTCAGGGAGTTAAAACTTTCTTTTGATTCATTCGGTTTGAAACACTCTTGTTGTATAATTTATGAAGAAACATTTGGGAGCCCATTGATGACTATGGTGAAAAGCCAAATAACCCCAGATAAAAACTAGAAAGAAGATATCTTTGAAACTGCTTTGTTATGTGAGTACTCATCTTAAAGAGTTAAAACTTTCTTTTGATTCATCCAGTTGGAAATGCTCTTTTTGTAGAATTTGTGAAGAAACATTTGGGAGGCAATTGAGGCCTATGGTGATAAATGGAATATTCCAAGATGAAAAACTATAGAAAGAACTTTCCATGATACTGGTCTGGGATGTGTGGATTCATCTCTCAGAGTCAATCCTTTCTTTTGATTCAACAGGTTGGAAACACTTTTTGTAAAATCTTGGAAGGGACTTTTGGAGTTCACTGAGGCCTATGGTGAAAAACTGAATATCCCCAGATAAAAAATAGAAACAATGTATCTTTGAAACTGCTTTGTGATGGCTGTATTCTTCTCACAGAGTTAAACGTTTGTTTTGATCCAGCAGGTTGGAAAAACTCTTTTTGTAGAATCTACAAAGGGGAAATTGGAAGCACATTGAGGCCTATAATGAAAAATGGGCATTCCCAGATCAAAACTAGAAGGAAGCTATCTGTGAACATGCTTTGTTATGTGTGGCTTCATCTCACAAAGTTCAACTTTTATTTTGATTCAGCAGGTTGGAAACACTATTTTAGTGGAATCTCTGATGGGACATTTTGGAGCCCATTGAGGCCTATGGTGAAAAACTGAATATAGCTGGATGAAAACTCAAAAAGAGGTGTCTGTAAAATTACTTTGAGATGTGTGGATTTATCTCTCCATGTTAAACCATTCTATTGATTCAGCAGGTTGGGAAAACACTTTCTGTAAAATCTACAAAAGGATATTTGAGACCTGTAGTGGCCTATGGTGAAAAACTGAATATCCCCTGACAGGAACTAGAAATAAATTATCTGTGAAACTGCTTTGTGATGTGTTGATTCTTTTCACTGACTTAAACCTTTTTTTGATTCAGAAGGTTGGAAACCATTTTTTGTAGAATATGCGAAGGGACATTTGGGAGCCCATTGAGGCCTATGTTGATAAACTGAACATACCCAGATAAAAACTAGAAAGAAGCTATATTTAAACTGCTTATGAAGTGTGCATTCATCTCACAAATTAAACCTTTCTTTTGATTCAGCAGGTTGGAAACACTCTTTACGTGGAATCTGTGAAGAGACATTAGGGAGCCCATGGAGGCCTTTGGTAAAAATCTGAAAAATCCAAGATAAAAACTAGAAATAAAGCATCTGTGAAACTTCTTTGAAATGTGTGGATTCCTCTCACAGAGTTAAACCTTTCTTTTGATTCAGCTGGTTGGAATCACTCTTTTTGAAGAATCTGCAAAAGGACTTTTGGAGCCCATTGAGGAATATGGTGAAAAAGAGAATATCCCTAGATAAAAACTAGAAAGAAGGTATCTGTGGAATCCTTTGAGATGTGTGGATTCATCTCAAGTAGCTAAACCTTTCTTTTGATTCAGCAGATTGGAAACACAGTTTTTGTAGAATCTGGGAAGGGGCATTTTGGAGTCCATTGAGTCCTGTGGTAAAAAACTGAATATCCTCAATTAAAAACTAGAAAGAATCTACCTGAGACAGTCCTTCATGATACGTGAAATCATCTCACAGAGTTAAACCATTCCCTTGATTCAGCAGGTTGGAAACACTCTTTTTGTAGAATCTGGGAAGGGACATTTGAGAGCACATTGAGTTCTATGGGGAAAAACAGAATATCCCCAGATCAAAACTTGAAAGATGCTATCTGTGTAACTGCTTTATGATGCGTGGATTCATCTCAAAGAGGGAAACCTTTATTTTGATTCAGCAGGTTGGAAACACTCTTTTTGTAGAATTTGCAAAGAAACATTTGGGAGCCCTTTGAGGACTGTGGTGAAAAACCAAATATATCCAGATAAAAAACTATAAAGAATCTAAGTGTGAAACTGCTTTGTGATGGGTAGATTTATCTCACAGGGCTAAACATTTCTTTTGATCCAGCAGGTTGGAAACTATCTTCTTGTAGAATCTGCAAAGGGATATTTTGAAGCCCATTGAGGCTATGGTGGAAAACCGAACATCCCTAGATAAAAACTAGAAAGAAGCTATCTCTGAATCTGCTTTATGATGTGTGCATTCATCTCACAGAATTCAACCTTTATTTTGATTCAGCATGTTGGAAACACTCTTTTTGTGGAATCTGCAAAGGGACATTTGAAAGCCCATTGAGGCCTATGATGAAAAACTGAACATCCCCAGATAAAATCTAGAAAGAAGGTATCTGTGAAACTGCTTGATGATGTGTGAATTCAACTCACAGGGTTAAACTTTTCTTTGGATTCAGCAGGTTGGAGACACTCTTTATATGGAACATGCAAAGGACAATTGGAAGCCCATTGAGGTCTATGGTAAAAAACTGAAAAATCCGAGATAAAAACTAGAATGAAGGTATCTGGAAAGCTGCTTTGAAATGTGTGGATTCATCTCACAGAGCTAAACATTTCTTTTGATTCAGTGGGTGGAAACCACTCTCATTGTAGAATCTGTGAAGGGACATTTGGAGTTTATTGAGGTCTAAGTTGAAAAACAGAATATCCACAGAGAAAAACTAAAAGAAAAATATCTGTGAAACTCTTTTGTGATGTGACGATTCATCCCAGAGAGTTATCCCTTTTTTTGACTCAAAAGGTTGAAACCATTCTAGTGGTTGAATTAGTGAAGGGACATTTTAGAGACCACTGAAGCATATGGTGAAAAACTGAGTAACCCCAATTAAAAACTAGAAAGAATGATCTGTGAAACTGCTTCATGACGTTTGTACTCATCTGACAAAGCTAAAACTTTCTTTGGATTCAGCTGATTGGAAATGCTCTTTTTGTAGAATTTTGGAAGGGACATTTGAGAGCCCATTGGATTTTATGTTGAAAAACCGAATATCCCCAGATAAAAACCAGAAAGAAGCTATCTGTGAAACTGCTGTATAAGCTGTGGATTTATCTCAGGTAGTGAAACCTTCCTTTTCATTTGGCAGCTTGGAAACACACTTTTTGAAGAATCTGAGAAGAAACATTTGGAGTCATTTGAGAAATATGGGGAAAATCTGAATATCCCAAGATAAAAAGAAGAAAGAAGCTATCTTTGAAACAGCTTTGTGATGACTGGATTCATCTTAAAAAGTTAAACCTTTCTTTTGATTCAGCCAATTGGAAAGCCTCTTTTTTAGAATCTGCAAAGTATCATTTGGGAGCCCTTTGTGGCATATGGTGATAAACCAAATATCCCAAGACAAAAAATTAGAAAGAAGTTATCTGTGATCTTCTATGGGATTTTTGGATTCATCTCACAGAGTTAAGCTTTTCTTTAGATTCAGCGGGTTGGAAGGGCTTTTTGTAGAATCTGGACAGAGACTTTTGGAGCTCAATGAGGCCTATGATGAAAAACTGAATATTCCTAGATAAAAACTAGAAAGAAGCTCTTGGTGAAACTGCTTTGTAATGTGTGAATTCATCTTAAAGAGTTAAACCTTTCTTTTTTATTCAGCAGGTTGGAAACATTGCTTTTGTGGAATCTGCAAAGGGACATTTGAGAGCCCATTAAAGCATATGGTGAAAAACAGAATACCCCAGAAGAAAGACTAGAAAGAAAATATCTGTGAAACTGCTCTGGGATGTGTGGATTCATCTCACAAAGTTAAACTTTTTTTAAAATTCATCAGGTTGGAAACAGGTTGGAAACTTTCTTTGTAGAATCTGTGAAGGGACATTTGGAACCCATTTGAGGCGTATGTTGAAAAACTGAATATCCCAAGATAAAAAACAGAGAGAAGCTATCTTTGAAACTGCTTTGTGATGTGTGGATTCATCTCAGAGTTAATCCTTTCTTTTGATTCATCAGATTGGAAGCACGCTTTTTGTAGAATCAGGGAAGGGACATTTAAGAGACTAATGATGCCTATGAAGAAAAACAATATCAACAGAGAAAAACCAAAAATATGCTCTCTGTGAAAGTCTTTCATGATGTGTTGGTTCATCTCACAGAGTTCAACCTTTCTTCTTATTTAGCAGGTTGGAAACATTCTCTTTGTGAAATCTGAGAAAGGACATTTAGGAGTGCATTGAGGCCTATGGTGAAAAAAAGAACATCTCCAGATAAAAAGTAGAAAGCAGCTGTCTGTGAAACTGCTTTGTGATTTGTAGATTCATCTCACACACTTAAACCTTTCTTTTGATTTAGCAGGTTGGAAAAGCTCTTTTGTAGAATCTCCAAAGGGATAGTTTAGCAAAGAGGCAAATGGTAAAAAGCTGAATATCACCAGATAAAAACTATAAAGAACATTCTGTGAAACTGCTTTTTTATGTGTGGATTCAACTCACAGAATTAAAACTTTCTTTTGATTCAGTAGGTTGGGTACACTCTTTTTGTAGAATCTGGAAAGGGACATTTGGGAAGCCATTAAGGTCTATGGTGAAAAAATGAATATCCCCAGTTAAATACTAGAAAGAAGATATCTGTGAAACTTCTTCATGAGAAGAGATTTATCTCACACAGGTAAACCTTTCTTTTGATTCAGCAGGTTGGAAACACTCTTTTTGTAGAATTCTGGAAGAAATATTTGGGAGCCCATTGCATCCTATGGTGAATAATTGAATATACCCAGATAAACTCTAGAAAGAACTTTCTATGAAACTGTTTTATGATGTGTGGATTCATCTCAGAGAGTTAAACCTTTCAGTGGATTCACCAGGTTGGAAACACTTTTTTTGTAGAATCTGCAAAGAAACATTTGGGAGCCCATTGAGGTCTATGGTGAAAAACAACATATCCCCAGAAAAAAAAGTAGAAAGAAGATATCTGTGAAACTGTTTCAGATGAGTGGATTTATTTCACAGAGTTAAACTTTTCTTTTGATTCAGCAGGTTGGAAACACTTTTTGTAGCATCTGTGAAAAGACATTTGAGAGCCCACTGTGTCCTATGGTGAAAAACCGAATATCCCCAGATAAAAACTAGAAAGAAGCTATCTGTGAAACAGCTTTATGATGTGTGCATTCATCTAGAGAGTTAAACCTTTCTTTTGAATCAGTAGCTTGGAAACAATCTTTTTTTAGAATCTGTGAAGAAACATACGTGAGCCCATTGGCTTTGTGATGGGTAGATTTGTCTTAAAAAGTTAAACCTTTCTTTTGATTCATCAGGTTGGAAACACTCATTTTGTAGAACCTGTGAAGGGACATTTGGTAGCCTTTTGAGGACTATGGTGAAAAACCGAATATCCCCAGATAAAAACTAGAAAGAAGCTATCTGTGAAACAGCTTTATGATGTGTGCATTCATCTAGAGAGTTAAACCTTTCTTTTGAATCAGTAGCTTGGAAACAATCTTTTTTTAGAATCTGTGAAGAAACATACGTGAGCCCATTGGCTTTGTGATGGGTAGATTTGTCTTAAAAAGTTAAACCTTTCTTTTGATTCATCAGGTTGGAAACACTCATTTTGTAGAACCTGTGAAGGGACATTTGGTAGCCTTTTGAGGACTATGGTGAAAAACTGAATATCTCCAGATGAAAAACTAAAAAGAAACTATTTGTGAAATGGCTCTGGGATGTGTGGATTCATCACAAGAGGTAAATTTTTTTTGATTCAGCATTTTGTAAACACTCTTTTTGTAAAGTCTGGGAAGAAATTTTGGAGAAATTTGGGGCTTATGGTGAAAAATGGAATATCTCCAAATAAAATCTAGAAAGAAGCTATCTGTGAAACAACTTTGTGATGTGTGAATTCATCTCACAGAGTTAAAACTTACGTTTGATTGAGCAGGTTGGAAACACTCTTTTTGTTGAATCTGTGAAGTGACATTTGGGAGCCCATTGATGTCTATGGTGAAAACTGAATATCCCCAGATAAAAACTATAAAAAAGCTATCTGTGAGACTGATTCATGACGTGTGAATTCATCTTACAGATTTAAGCCTTTCTTTTGATTCAGCAGCTTGGAAACACTTTTTTTGTAGAATCTATGAAGAGACATTTGGGGCCCATTGAGACATATGGTGAAAATCAAATATCCCCAAATGAAAACTAGAAAAAAGCTATCTGTAAAAGTTCTATTTCAAGTGTGGATTTAGTTCACAGAGTTAAACTCTTACTTTGTTTCTGCACATTGGAAACATTCTTTTTGTAGAATCAGCAAAGGGACATTTAACTGCCCATTCATGCCTAGGGTGAAAAATCAAATATCAGGAGATAAAGACCAGAAAGAAGCTATTTTTGAAAGTCCTTTGTGATGTGTGGATTCATCTCAGAGAGTTCAACTTTTCTTTTTTTTCAGCAGGTTGGAAACATTTTTTGTGTAATCTGTGAAGGGAAATTTCAGAGTTCATTGAGGCCTATGGTGAAAAAGAGAACATCCCCCAATAAAAAGTAGAAAGAAACAATCTGTGAAACTGCTTTGTGATGTGTGGATTCATCTCACAGAGTAAAAACTTTCTTTTGATTTAGCAGGTTGGAAAAACTCTTTTTGTAGTATCTGCAAAGGGACATTTGGGAGCCCATTGAGACCTATGTTGAAATCACATATCTTCAGATAAAAACTAGAAAGAAGTTATCTTTGAAACTGCTTTTTGATGTGCAGATTCATCTGACAGAGTTAAACCTTTCTTTTCATTTAGCAGGTTGGATACACACTTCTTGTAGAATCTGTGAAGGGACATATGAAAGCCCATTGTGGCCTATGGTGAAAAACTGAATATCCCCAGTTTAATACTAGACAGAAGCTATCTGTGAAACTGTTCTGTGATGTGTGAATTCATCTTACAGAGTTAAACTTTTCTTTTGATTCAGCAGGTTTGATATACTCTTTTTGTACAATCTGCTAAGAAATTTTTGGAGACAATTAAGGCCTAAGGTGAAAAACCAAATATCCCCAGATAAATATTAGAATAAAGCTATCTGTGAAACTGCTTCGTGGTGAGTGGATTTATCTCACAAAGTTCAACGTTTCCTTTGATTCAGCAGATTGGAAACACTTTTTGTAGGATCTGTGAAGGGACATTTGGGAGCACATTGAGTCTTACGGTGAAAAACCAAATATCTCCAGATAAAAAATAGAAAGAAGTTACTTGTGAAACTGCTTTATAATGTGTGGATTCATGTCAGAGAGGTATACCTTTCTTTTGATTCAGCAGGTTAAAAACACTTTTTTTTGTAGACTCTGTGAAGAAACATTTGGGAACCCATTGAGGACTATGGTGAAAAGCAGAATACCCCAGATAAAAACTAGATAGAAGCTATGTTTCAAACTGCTTTATGATTTGTGGATTAATATTAAAAAGTTAAACCTCTCTTTACACTCAGTAGGTTGAAAACGCCCTTT
Organism: Homo sapiens; assembly: GCF_000001405.40. NCBI lineage: Eukaryota > Metazoa > Chordata > Mammalia > Primates > Hominidae > Homo > Homo sapiens. The sequence continues at coordinate 43,639,769 of NC_000008.11, forward strand.
TTTTAGAATCTGCAAAGTGACATTTGGGAGCCCTTTGAGGCCTACGGTGAAAAACAGAATATCCACAAACAAAAAACTGAAACGAACATACTGTGAAACTGCTCTGTGATGTATGGATTCACCTCACAACGTTAAACTTTACTTTTGATTCAGTAAATTATAAAAAATCTTTTTGTAGAATCTCTGAAGGGACATTTGGGAGCACATTGAGGACTATGGTAAAAAAACAAAATATCCCCATTAAAAAAAACTAAAAAAAAAAAGATTGTGAAACTGCTTTGTGACGTTTGGAATCATCTCACAGAATTAAAACTGTTTTGATTCAGCGTGTTAAAATAACTCTTTGTGTGGAATATGTGAAGGGAATTTTGGAGCCCATTGAGGCCTATGGTGAAAACAATTTTTTTCCAATTAAAAACTCAAAAGAATCTATCTGTGAAACAGCTTCATGATGCATGGATTTATCTCAGAAAGTTAAAACTTTCTTTTGATTCAGCAGGTTGGAAACACTCTATTTGTAGAATTTAGGAAGGGACATTTGAGAGCCTTTCGAGTTCTATGGTGAAGAACCCAATATCCCCAGATAAAAACTGGAAAGGTGCTATCTGTGACACTGCTTTATAATATGTGGATTCATCTCAGAGAGTTAAACATTTTCTGTGATTCAACAGATTGGAAACACACTTTTTGAAGAGTTTTTGAAGGGACACTAGGAAGCCATTTAGGCCTATGGCGTAAATCTGAATACTCCCAGATAAAAACTAGGAAGAAGCTATCTGTGAAACTGCCTTGAGATGAGTGCATTCATCTCACAGAGTTAAACCTTTCTTTTGAATTTAGTGGGATGGAAACATTCTTTTTGTAGAATCTGCAAATAGACATTTGGGAGCCTATTAAGAACTATGGTAAAAAACTGACTATCCCCAGATAAAAAGTAGAAAGAATCTATCAGTGAAACTTTTATGGAATGTGTATATTAATCTTAAAGAATTAAACGTTTCTTTTGATTCAGTAGATTGGAAACACTCTTTTTGTAGAATTCACAAAGGGACATTGGGAGCCCTTTAAGGTCTACGATGATAAAGCAAATATCCCAAAATGAAAAACAAAAAGAAGCTATCTGTGATACAGCTCTGGGATGTGTGGATTCATCTCACAGAGTTAAACGTTTCTTTTGATTCAGCAGGTTGAAAACACTCTTTTTGTAGGATCTGGGAAGGGACTGATGGAACTCATTGAGGCCTACAGTGAAAAACCAAATATCTGCAGATAAAAAAGAGAAAGAACCTACCTGTGAAACTGTTTTTTGTTGAGTGGATTCATCTCTCTGACTTAAATTTGTCTTTTGATTCAACAGGTTGCATACACTCTTATTGTAAAATCTGTGAAGATAAATTTGTCATCCCATTGAGGCCTATGGTGAAAAATCAGTATCCCCAGTTAGAAACTAGAAAGAAGCTATCTGTGAAACTGCTTTGTGATGTGTGGTTTCACCTCAGAGAGTTAAATGTTTCTTTTCTTCAGCAGGTTTGAAATATCCTTTTTGTAGAATCTATGAAAGGACATTTAGAGTGCATTGAGGCCTATGATAAAAAATCAAATATTCCTAGATAAAAAGCTAGAAAGAAGCTATCTCTAAAACTGCTTTTTTTATGTGTGGGTTAATCTCACATAATTAAACCTTTCTTTTTATTTAGAAGGTAGGAAACAACTTTTTTGTAGAATCTGTGAAATGACATTTGGGAGACCCTTGAGGCCTGCAGTGGAAATCCAAATATCCCAAGATGAAAACAAGAAAGATGTGATCTGCGAAACTGCTTTGTGATATGTGGATTCATCTTACAGAATTAAACCTTTCTTTTGATTCAGCAGGTTGGAAATACTCTATTTATAGAGTCTGTGAAGAAACACTTGGAGCTGATGGTGGCCTATGGTGAAAACTGAATATCCCCAGATAAAAACTGCAAAGAAGCTGTCTGTGAAACTGCTTTGTGATGTGTGGACTGATATCATAAAATTTAACCTTTCTTTTGATCCAGCAGGTTGAAAGCACTGTTTATGTAGTATCCTTGAAAAGACATTTTGGAGATCATTGAGGCCTAGAAACAAGAATGAAGCTATCTGTGAAACTGCTTTGTGATTTGTGGATTCACCCCATAGAGTTACCCCTTTCCTTTGGCTCAGAAGGTTGGAAACACAATTTTTGTAGAATCTATGGAGAAGCATTTGATAGCACATTGAAGCCTATGGTGAAAAACCAAATATCCCCAGATAAAAACTAGAAAGAATCTGTGAAACAGCTTTGTGATGTGTGGACTCATCTCATAGAGTTAAGCCTTTCTTTTGATTCAGCAAGTTGAAACACTCTTTTTGCAGAATCTGCAAAGGGACATTTGGAAGCTCATTGAAGTTATGATTAAAAACTGAATATCCCTGGATGAAAAGTTGAAAGAAGCTGTCTCTGAAACTGCTTTGTGATGTGTGGATTCATCTCACAGAAGTAAACCTTTCTTTTGATTCAGCAGTTCAGTAACACTTTTTTGTAGCATCTGCCAAAGTACGTTTGGGAGTCCCTTGAGGCCTTTAGTGAAAAATCAAATATCCTTAGATAGAACTAGAAAGAACATATCTGTAAAACTGCTGCTTGATGTGTGGATTCATCTCAAAGACTTAAACCTTCCTTTAGGTTCTTCAGGTAGGAAACACTGTTTTTGTACACTATTCGAAGAAAGATTTGGGGGCCCATTGAATCCTATGCTGAAAAATTGAATATCGCAAGATCAAAACAAAAAAGAAGCTATCTGGAAAACTGCTTTGTGATGTGTGGTTTTATCTCAAAGAGTTAAACCTTTCTTTTGATTCTGAAGGTTGGCAACTCTCTTTTTGTAAAATCTGTGAAAGGACATTTGGGAGCCAATGGTGGCCTATAGTAAAAAACAGATTATTCCCAGATGAAAACTAGAAAGATGCTATCTGTGAAACTACTTTGTGATGTCTGGATTCATCTTACAGAGTTAAACATTTCTATTGATTCAGCAGGTAGGGAACACTCTTTTTGTAGAATATATGAAAGTATATATGGAGTGCTTTGAGGTCTACGGCAAAAAATTGAATATCCACAGATAAAAACTGGAAACAAGCCAACTGTAACGGCTTTGCAATGTGTGGGTTCATATCACAGAGTAAAAACTTACTTTTGATCAGCAGTTTGGAAACACTCTTTTTGTAGAATCTGTGAAGGGACATTTAAAAAAACCACTGGAGTCCTACGGTGAAAAACAGAATATCCCCAGATAAAAACTAGAAACAACCTATGTGTGAAACTGCTTTGTGACGTGAAGGAATATTTGGGAGGCCATTGAGACCTATGGTGAAACACCAAATATCCTCAAATAAAAACTAGAAAGAAGCTATCTGTGAAGCTGCTTTGTGATGTGTGCATTTATCTCAAAGACTTAACTTTTTTTTTGATTCAACAGTTTGGAAACACTCTTTTTATAGAATATGTGAAGGGACATTTGGGAGCCCCTTGAGACCTAAGGTGTAAAATCAAATATCTGCAGATAAAAACTGGAAACAATTTATCTGTGAAACTGCTTTGTGATGTGTGGATTCTTTTCACAGAGTTAAAACTTACTTTTGATCAGCATGTTGGAAACACCCTCTTTGGAGAATCTGTGAAGGGACATTTGAGAGCCCATTGAGGCCTATGGAGAAATACCGAATATCAACAGATAAAAACTAGAAAGAAACACCTGTGAATTGACATTGTGATGTGTGGATTCATCTCACAGAGTTAAACCTTACTTTTTATCAGCAGGTTGGGAATACTCTTGTTGTAGAATCTGCAAAGTAACATTTGGGAACTATTTGAGGTCTATCGTGGACAACAGAATATCAACAGATAAAAAATGTAACTAAGCTATCTGTGAAACTTCTTTGTGATGTGTGAATTCATCTCATAGAGTTTAACCTTTCTTTGATTCAGCAGGTCGGAAACACTCTGTTTGTAGAATGTGTGAAGGGACATTTAGGAGACCAATGGGCCCATATGGTGAAAAACTGAATATCCTCAGATGAAAACTAGAAAGGAGCTATCTCTGAAACTGCTTTTTTATGCGTGATTCACCTCAAAAAGGTACAACTTTTTTTGTTTGTTTCAGCAGGTTAAAAACACTGTTTTTTAAAATCAGCAAGAAGACATTTGGGAGCCCATTGAGACCTATAATGAAATGCAAAATATTCACAGATAAAAACTAGAAAGAAGCTCTCTGTGAAATGGCTTTGTGATGTGTGCATTCATGTCAAAATGTTAAACCTTTCTTCTAATTCAGCATGTTGGAAACACTCTTCTTGTAAAATTTGCATAAGGATGTTTGAAACCCAGTTGAGGCCTATGGTGAAAAACAGAACATCCCTAGACAAAAACTAGAAAGAAGCTATCTGTGAAACTGCTTTGCAATGTGTGGATTCATCTCACAGAGTTAAACCTTACTTTTTATCAGCAGGTTGCAAACATCCTTTTTGTAAATCCTGCCAAGAAACATTTGGAGCCCATTGTGGCCTATGGTAAAAAACTGAATATTCCAAGATAAAAACTAGAAAAAAGCTATCTATGAAAATGCTTTCTGATGTGTGAACTTATCTCATGGAGTTAAATCTTTCTTTAGATTCAGGATTTTGGAAGAACTCTTTTTGTAGAATCTGAGGGTGCACAAACAGGGGACATTGAGGCCAATGGTGAAAAACAGAATATCTTCTAATAAAAACTCGAAAGAAGCTATCTGTGAAACTGCTTTGTGATGTATGGATTCATCTAAGACAGCTAAACCTTTCTTTTGATTCACAGCTTGAAAACACTCTTTTTGTGAAGTACGTGAAGGGACATTTGGAGACCATTTAGGCTTATGTTGAAAAACCAAATATCTTCAGATAAAAATTAAAATAAGCTATATCTGAAATTGCATGGTGATGTGTGGATTCATCTCATAGAGTTAAACCCTTCTTTTGATCAGCAAGTTGGAAACACTGTTTTTGTAGAACATGTGATGGGACATTTGGGAGCCCATTAATGCCTATGGTCAAAAATGGATTATCCCCAGATAAAAACTAGAAAGAAGCTATCTGTAAAACTGCTTCATGATGTGTTGATTCATCTCACAGAGTTAAACTGTTCTTTTGATCAGCAGGTGGGAAACAGTTTTTTCTTAGAATCTGCAAAGGGATATTTGGGAGCCCACTGAGGCCTAGGGTGAAAAATCGAATAAACCACATAAAAACTAGAAAGACTCTATCTGTTAAACTACTTTGTGATGTGTGGATTCCTATCACAGAGTTAAACCATTTTTTTTTGTTTCATGAGGTTGAAAATAATCTTTTTGTAAAAAATGCTAAGGGACATTTGTGAGCCCATTGAATCCTATGGTGAAAAACCGAATATCTTCAGATAGAAACTAGAAAGAAGATGTCTGTGAAACTTCTTTGAGATGTGTGGATCATCTCCCAGAGTTATATGTTTCTTTTGGTTCAGCAGGATGGAAACACTCTGTAGAATTTGCAAAAGGACATTTGGGAGCCTATTGAGGCATACAGTGAAAAACAAAGTATCTATGGATAAAAATTAGAAAGGAGCTATCTGTAAAACTGCTTTGTGATGTGTGGATTCATCTCACAGAGTTAAACCTTTCTATTAATTCAGAAGGTTGGAAACACACTTTTTGTAGAATCTGAGAAGGGATATGTGGAGCCCAGGAGGCCTATGGTGAAAAACGAAATATACCCAGATAAAAACTAGAAAGAAGCTTTCTGAGAAACTGTTCTGTGATGTGTGGATTCATCTCAAAGAGTTAAACATTTTTTTTTGCTTCAGTAGGTTGGAAACACGTTTTGTAGTATGTGCAAAGGGACATTTGGGAGCTTTTTGATGTCTATAGTGAAAAACCAAATATCCTCAGATAGAAACTACATAAAATCTATCTGTGAAACCAGTTTGTGACGTGTGGATTTATCTGACAGAGTTAAACCTTTCTTTTGATTCAGCAGGTTGGAAATAATCTTTTTGTAAAATCTGCAAAGGGACATAAAAGAGTGCATTGAGATCTATGGTGAAAAACAGAATATCCCCAGATAAAATCTAGAAAGAAGCTATCTGTGAAACCGATTTGTGATGTGTGCATTGATTTCACAGGGTTAAACCTTTCTTTTGATTCAGAAGGTTTGTGGCACTGTTTTTGTAGATTCTGTGAAGAAACATTTAAGAGATATTTGAAGCCTGTGGTGAAACACAGAGTATTCCAAATAAAAACTTGAAAGAAGCTATCTGTGAAACTTTTTTGTGATGTGTGGATTCATCTAACAGAGTTAAACCTTTCTTTGATTCAGCACATTGGAAATACTCTTTTTGTAGAATCTGTAAAAGGATATTTGGGAGCCCATTGAGGCCTATGGTAAAAAACAGAATATTTCCAGATAAAAACTAGAAAAAAGCTATCTGTGTAACTGCTTTGTGATGTTTGGATTCATCTCACAGAATTAAACATTTCTTTTTATTCAGCAGGTTGAAAACTCTTTTGTACAATCTGTGATGGGACATTTGAGGGCCCATTGACGCCTATGGTGAAAAACTGAATATCCTGATAAAAACTCAAAAGAAACTATCTGTGAAACTGGTTTGTGATGTGTAGATTCATCACACGGAGTTAAACATTTCTTTTTATTCAGCAGATGGGAAACACTTTTTTGTAGAACCTGTGAAGGGACATTTGAGAGCCCATTGAGGTATACAGTGAAAAACCAAGTATCCCCAAATAAAAACTAGAAAGAAGCCATCTGTGAAACTGGTTTGTGATGTATGCATTCATCTAACTGAAGTAAACCTTGCTTTTGATTCAGCAGGTGGCAAACACTTTTTCGTAGAAACTGTGAAGGGATATTTGAGTGCCCATAGAGACCTATGATCAACAACTGAAATTTCCCAGATAAAAAAATTGAAGGAAGCTAGATGTAAAACTGCTTTGTGATCTGTGGGTTAATCTCATTCCTTCTGAAACTATTCGAAACAATAGAAAAAGAGGGAATCCTCCCTAATTCATTTTATGAGGCCAGCATCATCCTGATACCAAAGCCAGGCAGAGATGCAAACAAAACAGAGAATTTTAGAGCAATATCCTTGATGAACATTGATGCAAAAATCCCAATAAAATACTGGCAAACTGAATCCAGCAGCACATCAAAAAGCTTATCCACCATGATCAAGTGGGCTTCATCTCTGGGACGCAAGCCTGGTTCAATATACGCAAATCAATAAACCTAATCCAGCATATAAACAGAACTAAAGACAAAAACCCCTTGATTATCTCAATAGAGGCAGAAAAGGCCTTTGGCAAAATTCAACAATGCTTCATGCTAAAAACTCTCAATAAATTAGGTATTGATGGGATGTATCTCAAAATAATAAGAGCTATCTATGAAAAACCCACAGCCAATATCATACTGAATGGGCAAAAACTGGAAGCATTCCCTTTGAAAACTGGCACAAGACAAGGATGCCCTCTGTCACCACTCCTATTCAACATAGTGTTGGAAGTTCTGGCCAGGACAATTAGGCAGGAGAAGGAAATAAAGGGTATTCAATTAGGAAAAGAGGACGTCACATTGTCCCTGTTTGCAGATGACATGATTGTATATCTGGAAAACCCCATTGTCTCAACCCAAAATATCCTTAAGCTGATAAGCAACTTCAGCAATGTCTCAGGAAACAAAATCAATGTACACAAATCACAAGCATTCTTATATACCAACAGACAGAGAGCCAAATCATGAGTGAACTCCCATTCACAATTGCTTCAAAGAGAATAAAATACCTAGGAATCCAACTTACAAGGGATGTGAAGGACCTCTTCAAGGAGAACTACAAACCACTGCTCAATGAAATAAAAGAGGATACAAACAAATGGAAGAATATTCCATGCTCATGGGTAGGAAGAATCAATATCGTGAAAATGGCCATAATGCCCAAGGTAATTTACAGATTCAATGCCATCCCCATCAAGCTACCAATGACTTTCTTCACAGAATTGGAAAAAACTACTTTAAAGTTCATATGGAACCAAAAAAGAGCCCACATCACCAAGTCAATCCTAAGCCAAAAGAACAAAGCTGGAGGCATCATGCTACCTGACTTCAAACTATACTACAAGGCTACAGTAACCAAAACAGCATGGTACTGGTACCAAAACAGAGATATAGATCAATGGGACAGAACAGAGCCCTCAGAAACAATGCCACATATCTACAACTATCTGATCTTTGACAAACCTGAGAAAAACAAGCAATGGGAAAAGGATTCCCTATTTAATATATGGTGCTGGGAAAACTGGCTAGCCATATGTAGAAAACTGAAACTGGATCCCTTCCTTACACCTTATACCAAAATTAATTCAAGATGGATTAAAGATTTAAACGTTAGACCTAAAACCATAAAAACCCTAGAAGAAAACCTAGGCAATACCATTCAGGACGTAGGCATGGACAAGGACTTCATGTCTAAAACACCAAAAGCAATGGCAACAAAAGCCAAAATTGACAAATGGGATCTAATTAAACTAAAGAGATTCTGTGCAGCAAAAGAAACTACCATCAGAGTGAACAGGCAACCTACAAAATGGGAGAAAATTTTCGCAACCTAGTCATCTGACAAAGGGTTAATATCAAGAATCTACAATGAACTCAAACAAATTTACAAGAAAAAAAAAACAACCCCATCAAAAAGTGGGCAAAGGATATGAACAGGCACTTCTGAAAAGAAGACATTTATGCAGCCAAAAAACACATGAAAAAATGCTCACCATCACTGGCCATCAGGGAAATGCAAATCAAAATCACAATGAGATACCAAATCACACCAGTTAGAATGGCAATCATTAAAAAGTCAGGAAACAACAGGTGCTGGAGAGGATGTGGAGAAATAGGAACACTTTTACACTGTTGGTGGGACTGTAAACTAATTCAACCATGGTGGAAGTCAGTGTGGCGATTCCTCAAGGATCTAGAGCTAGAAATAACATTTGACCCAGCCATCCCATTACTGAGTATATACCCAAGGGACTATAAATCATGCTGCTATAAAGAAACATGCACACGTACGTTTATTGAAGCACTATTCACAATAGCAAAGACTTGGAACCAAGCCAAATGTCCAACAATGATAGACTGGATTAAGAAACTGTGGCACATATACACCATGGAATGCTATGCAGCCATAAAAAATGATGAGTTTATGTCCTTTATAGGGACATGGATGAAGTTGGAAATCATCATTCTCAGTAAACTATCATAAGAACAAAAAACCAAACACTGCATATTCTCACTCATAGGTGGGAATTGAACAATGGGAACACATGGACACAGGAAGGGGAACATCACACTCTGGGGACTGTTGTGGGGTGGGGTCAGGGGGGAGGGATAGCTTTAGAAGATATACCTAATGCTAAATGACGAGTTAATGTGTGCAGCACACCAGCATGGCACATGTATACATATGTAACTAACCTGCACATTGTGCACGTGTACCCTAAAACTTAAAATATAATAATAAAAAAAAAATCTCACAGAGTTAAACCTTTCCTTTGATGCAACCGGTTGGAAACACTCTTTTTGTAGAATATGCAAAGGGACATTTGGGAGCTTAGTGAGACCTATGGTGAAAAAATGAAATGTCATCAGACAAAACTCAGAAGAAGCTATCTGTAAAACTGCTTACTGATGTATGGATTCATCTCACAGAGTTAAAAGTTTCCTTTTACTAAGATGGTTGGAAACATGCTTTTTGTAGAATATTCAAAGGGACTTTTGTGAGCCCATTGAAATCCACGGCATAAAACAAAATATCCCCAGATAAAAACTAGAAAGAAGCTGTCTGTGAAACTGCTTTGTGATGTGGGAATTCATCTCAAACAGTTAAACTTTTTTTTTGATTCAGCACATTAGAAACACTCTTGTTTTAGAATCAGAGAAGAAATAATTAAGAGCCCTTTGAGGCCTCTGTTGAAAAAGGAATTATCTCCAGATAAAAATTCGAAAGATGCTATCATCAAAGCTGCTTTGTGATGTGTGGATTCACCTCACTGATTTAAACCTTGCTTTTGATTCATTAGGTTGGAAACCTTTTTTGTTGAACCTGAGAAGAAACATTTGGGAGCCTATTGAAGCTTTTGGGAAAAAACAGAATATCTTCAGATAAAAACCAGAAAGAAGTTATACATTACATTAAACTGCTTTTTCATGTATGCATTTATCTCATAGAGTTAAACCTTGCTTTTGATTCAGCAGGTTGGCAACACTCTTTTTGTAGAATCTGTGAAGGGATATTTGGGAGCCCATTGAGGCCTATGGTGAAAGACAGAATATTCCCAGATAAAAACTAGAAGGGAGCTATCTGTTAAAATGCTTTTTGATGCATGGATTCATCTCACAGAGTTAAAACGTTTTTTTATTTAGCAGTTTGGAAACACTCTTTTTGTAGAAACTGCAAAGGGACATTTGGGAGCCAAGTGAGGCCTATGCTGAAAAACAGAATATCCCCAGATAAATAGTAGAAAGCAGATATCTGGGAAAATCCTTTGTGATGTGTGGATTCATTCCAAAGAGTTTAACCTATCCTTTGAGTCAGCAGGTTGGAAACACCTTTTTGTGGAATCTGTGAAAGGACATTTGGGAACCCATTAAAGTCTATGGTTAAAAACATAATATCCCCTGATAAAAATGGGAAGGAAGCTACCTGTAAAACTTCTTTGTGATGTGTGGATTCATCTCACAGTGTGATACATTTCTGTTGACTCAGTAAGGTGGAAACACTCTTTCTTTAGAATCTGTGAAGTTACATTTGAAAGCCTATGGTGGCCTAAGGTGAAAAACAGATTATCCCCAGATAATATCTAAAAGTAAGCTATCTGTCAAACTACTTTGTGATGTGTGGATTCATCTCACAGAGTGAAACCATACTTTTGATTCAACAGGTTAGAAACCCTCTTCTTATAGAATCTGTGAAAGGACTTCAGGACCCCATTGAGGCCTATGCTGTGGCCTATGGTCAAAAACAGAATATCCCCAGATAAAAACTAGAAAGAATCTATCTGTTATACTTCTTTGTGATGTGTGGATTCATCTCACAGTGTTAAATTGTTCTTTTGCTTCAGGAGGTTGAAAACACTCATTTTCTTAGAAAATGCAAAGAGACATTTGTGAATCCATTGAGGTCTATGGTGAAAGACAAAATATTCATGAACGAAAACTAGAAAGGAGATATCTGTAAAACTGCTTTGTGATGTTTGGATTCATCTCACAGAGTTTAACTTTCCTTTTGATTCAGCAGGTTGGAAACACTCTTTTTGTAGAATCTGCAAAGGGACATGTGAAGCCCATTGAAACCTATGGTAACAAATGGAATATCCCCAGACAAAAATGAGAAAGAAGCTATCTGTGAAACTGCTCTGTGATGTGTAGATTCATCTCACAGACGGAAACGTTTCCTTTGATTCCACAGTTTGGAAACACGTTTTGTAGTATCTGTGAAGGGACATTTGAAAGACTATTGAGGTCTAAAGTGGAAAACCTAAAATACCCAGACAAAAACTAGAAAGAATCTATATGTGAAACCGGTTTGCTATGTGTGGCTTCATCACACAGAGGTAAATCTTTCTTTTGATTCAGCAGATTGGAATCACTCTTTTTGTAGAATCTATGAAGGAACATTTGGGAGCCCATTGAGACCTTTGATGAAATACTGAATATCTGCAGATAAAAACTAGAAAGAAGCTGTCTGTGAAATTCCTTTGTGATGTGTGGTTTTATCTCACAGGGTTAAACCTTTCTTTTGATATAGGAGGTTGGTAACACTGTTTTTTTAGATTGTGAGAAGAAACACTTGGGAGCCCATTGACGCCTATGGTGAAAAACAGAATATTCCCAGATAACAACGAGGAATAAGCTATCTGTGAAACTCCTTTGTGATATATGGATTCATCTCACAAAGTTAAATTTTTCTTTGATTCAGCAGGTTGGAAACACTCTTTATGTAGAATCTACCTATGGACATTTGGGAGCCCATTGAGGCCTATGGTAAAAATCAGAATATCCCCAGATAAAAACTAGAAAAAAGCTTTCTGTGAAACTGCTTTATGATGCATAGATTCATCTTACAGGGATAAACCTTTCTTTTGATTAAGCAGGTTGGAAACCTTCTCTTTGTAGAATCTGTGAAGGGACATGTTGGTGCCATTTATGCCTATGGTGAAAAACTGAGTATCTTCAGATAAAAACTAGAAAGAAGCTGGCTCTGAAACTTGTTTGTGATGTGTGCATTCATGTGACAGAGTTAAACCTAGCTTTTCATTCAGCAGTTGGAAAACCCTTCTTTGTAGAATCTACAAAGGGACATTTGAGAGCCCATTGAGGCCTATAGTGAAGAACTTAATGTCCCCAGATAAAAAAAAATATTGAAGGAAACTATCTGTGAAACTGCTTTGTCATGTGTGGATTCATCTCACAGAGGTAAAACATTCCTTTCATCCAGCAGGTTGGAAACACACCTTTTGTAGAATCTGCAAAGAGGCATTTTGGAGCCCTTTGAGACCTATGGCAAAAAACCGAATATACTCAGATAAAACTAGAAAGAAGCTGTCTGTGAAACTGCTTACTGATGGATGGATTCATCTCAGAGAGTTGAACCTTTTGTTTTACTGAGAAGGTTGGAAAAACTTTTTCGTACAATATTTGAAGGGACAATTTTGAGGCCATAGAGGCCTATGGTAAAAAACTAAATATCCCCATATAAAAAATAGAAAGAGTCTATCTGCTTTGTGATGTCAGGATTCCTCTCAAATAATTAAATTTTTCTTTTCATTCAGCACATTGGAAACACTCTTTTTGTAGAATTGGCAACAGGACAATTAAGAGTCCATTGAGGCCTCTGGTGAAAAAGTGAATATCCGGAGATAAAAATTAGAAAGAAGCTATCTTTTAACTGCTTTGTGATGTGTGGATTCATCTCACAGAGTTAAATCTTGCTTTTGATTCATCAGGTTGGAAACAGTTTTTTTATAGAATCTGTGTAGGGACATATGGGAGCCCAGTGAAACCTATGGGAAAAAACGAATATCTTCAGATAGAAAACTAGAAAGATGCTATCTGTGAAACTGCTTTGTGATGTGTACAGTTATCTCAAGGAGTTAAAACTTTCTTTGGATTCAGCAGGTTGGATACACTGTTTTTGTAGAGTCTTCAAAAAGACATTTGGGGGCCCACTGAGGCCTAAGGTGAAAACTAGAAATAAAGTATCTGTGAAACTGCTTTGTGATGCTTTGATACATCTCACAGAGTTAAACCTTATATTTGATCAACAGGTTGAAAACACTCTTTTTGAAGTATTTGCAAAGGGACATTTTAAAGCCCATTGAGGCCTATGTTGAAACATTATATCCCCAGATAAAAACTAAAAAGAAGCTATCTGTGAAACTGCTCTGTTATATGTGCATTCTTCCCACAGAGGTAAACCTATCTTTTGATTCATAAGGTCGAAATCACCCTTTTTGTAGAATTTGCATAGGGACATCTTGGTGCCCATAGAGGCTTTGGTTAAAATCAGAGTATCTCCAGATAAAAACTAGAAAGAAACTATCACAGAAAGTGCTCTGTGGTGAGCAGATTCATCTCACAGTGTTAAACCTTTCTTTTGACTGAGCAGGTTGGATAAACTTTTTCTGTAGAATCTGAGAGGGAATATTTGGCAGCCCATTGAGGCTCATGGTCACAAAAAATCCCCAGATAAAAAGGAGACAAAGATATCTGTGAAACTGCTTTGTGATGTATGGATTTATCTCACAGAATTGAATCTTTCCTTTGATTCAGCAGGTGGGAAACACTCTTTTTGTAGAATCTATGAAGGTTATGTGGGAGGCCTTTTAGGCCTTTGGTTAAAACCAAATATCCCCCAATAAAAACTAGAAAGACACTATCTGTAAAACTGCCTTTTGATCTTTGGATTCATCTCACAAATTTAAAACTTTCTTTCAATTCAGAAGGTTGTACACTCTTTTGTAGAATCTGTGAAGAAACATTTGGAAGACAGTGAGGCATATTGTGAGAAAACAAATATTGCCAGATAAAAATTACAAAGGAGCTATCTGTGAAATTGTTTTGCAATGTGTTGATTCATCTCACAGACTTAAATAATTTTTGATTCAGCAAGTTTTTAACACTCTTTATGTAGAATCTGTGAAGGAACATTTGAAAGCCCTTTGAGTCCTATGGTGAAAAACAGAATATCCCCAGATAAAAACTAGAAAGAAGGTATCAATGAAACTACTTTGTGATGTGTGGATTCATCTCACAGAGTTAAACCATTATTTTGATTCAGCAGGTTGGAAACACTTTTTTTTGAAAAATCTGTGAATGCATATTTTGGAGACTATTGAAGCCTAGGGTGAAAAATCAAATATCCCCAGGGAAAAACTAGAAAGCAGCAATCTGTAAAACAACTTTCTTGTGATGTGTGAATTCATCTCACAGATTTAAACTTTTCTTTTCATTCAGCAGGTTGGAAACAATCTTTTTGAAGATTCTGTGACAATTTGGGAGCTCATACTGGCTTATAGTGAAAAACAGATTACCCCACATAAAACAAGAAAGAAGCTATCTCTGAAACTGCTTTCTGGTTTGTGGACTCAACTCACAGATTTAAAACATCCCTTTTACTAAGCAGATTGGAAGCACTCTTTTTGTAGAATCTACATAGAGACATTTGGGAGCCCATTGTGGCCTTTAGAGAAATACTGAATATCCCCAGATAAAAACTACAATGAAGCTATCAGTGAAACTGCTTTGTGATTTGTGGATTCATCTCATGGTGTTAAACATTACTTTGAATTCAGCACATTGGAAATACTCTTTCTGTAGAATCTGCAAAAGAACATTTGGAGCCCATGGTGGCTTACTGTGAGAAACTGAATATCCCCAGGTAAAAACTAGAAAGAAGTTATCTGTTTAACTGCTTTGGGATATGTGGATTCATCTCACAGATGTAAAACTTTCTTTTGACTCAGCATACTGGAAACACTCTATTCCTAGATGTTGCAAAGTGACATTTGAGAGTCCATTGAGGACTGTATTGAAAATTTAAATAACTGTAGATAAAAGCTACAAAGAAGATATCTGTGAAACTTGTATGTTATGCGTGGATTCATCTCACATACTTAAAACTTTCTTCTGATTCAGCACATTGGAAACACGCTATTTTTTGAACCTTTAAAGAAACATTTGGGAGCACATGGAAACACTCTATTTTTTGAATCTTTAAAGGAATATTTGGGAGCACACTGAGGCCTATGGTGAAAAACCGAAAATTTCCTGATCAAAACTAGAAAAAAGCTATCTGTGAAACAGTTTCGTATCGTGTGGAGTCATCTCCTAGAGTTAAACCTTTGTTTTGATTCAGTAGGTTATAAATACCCTCTTTGTAGAATCTGTGAAGTGACATTTGGAGCCCATTGAGGCCTACCTATGATGAAAAACAGAATATCCAAAGATAAAAACTAGAAAGAAGCAATATGTGTAACTGCTTTGTGATGTGTGGATTCATCTCACAGAGTTGAAACTTTCTTTTGATTCACCAGGCTTGAGACACTCTTTTTGTAAAATCTGTGAAAATATATTTTGGAGCCCATAGAGGCCTATGGTAAAAATTGGAACATCTTCAGATAAAAACTAGAAAGAACCTATCGGTATAACTGCTTTGTGATGTGTGGATTCATCTCAAATAGTTCAACCTTTCTTTTGATTCAGCAGATTGGAAACACTCTTTTTGAGATTCTACGTAGGGACACTTGGGAACCCATTGAGGCCTATGGTGAAAAACCTATTATCCCAAAATAAAAACCAGAAAGAAGCTATTTGTGAAAGTGCTATGTAATGTTTTGATTCATTGTACAGAGTTAAACTTCTCATTTGGCTTCTCTTTTGATTCAGCAAGTTGGAGACAATTTTTTGAAAACATTCTGTCAAGGGACATATTGGAGCCCATTGATGACTTTGATGAAAAACTGAATATCTCCAGATAAAAACTGGAAAGAAACTATCTGTAAAACTGCTTTGTGATGTGTGGATTCATCCCACAGAGTTAAAGTTTTCTGTTGATTCAGCAGGTTGGGAAGACTCCTTTTGTAGAATCTGTAAAGGGAGATTTTGGAGCCCATGAAGACCTACAGTGAAAAACAGAACATCCCCAGGTAATAATAGAAAAATGTTATCTGTGAAACTGTCTTGTGCTGTGTAGATTCATCTCAGAGAGTTAAACATTGGTTTTGAATCAGCAAGTTGTAAACACTGTTTTTGCAGTATGTGCAAAGGGACATTTGGGAAAACATTGATGCCTATGTTGAAAAAAGGGAGGTTCACAGAAAAAACTACAAATAAGCTATCTGTGAAATAGCTTTGTTTTGAGTTTATTCATTTCACTGAGTTAAAGCTTTGTTTAGATTCAGCAAGTTGGAAACACCATTTTTGTAGAATCTGTGAAGGGACATTTGAAAGCCCATTGAAACCTATGGTGAAAAATCGAATATCTTCAGTTAAAAACTAGAAAGAAACTATTTGTGAAACTGCTTTGTGAGGTATGGGTTCATCTGAGTTAACCCTTTCTTTAGATTCAGCAAGTCAGAAAACCCTCTTTTTGTAGAATCTATGAAGGGACATTTGGTACCTCATTGAGGTCCCTCGTGAAAAAAGACATATGCAGAAAAACTAGAAAGAAGCTATCTGTGAAACTGCATTTTGATCTGTGGATTCATCTCCCAGGGAAAACACTTTCTTTTGATTCGGCACATTTGAAACAGTCACTTTGTAGAACCTGTGAAGGGACATTTGGGAGCCCAATGAAACCTATTGTGAAAAACAGAACCTCCCCAAATGAAAACTAGAAAGAAGCCATCAGAAAAACTGGTTTGCATTGTGTGCATTCGTCTCACAGAGTTGAAACATTTTTTTTGATTCAGCAGGTTGGAAACACTCTTTTTTGTAGAATCTGTGAAGGAATATTTGGGAGCCCATTTAGACCTATGTTGAAAAACCAAACATCCCCAGAGTAAAACTAGAAAGAAGCTATACTTGAAACTGCTTTTTGATGTGTGAGTTCATCTCACAGATTTAAACCTTTCTTTAAATTAAGCAGGTTGGAAACACTATTTTAAAGATATCTTTAAAGGGACATTTGGGAGCCCATTGAGGCCTAGGGTGAAAAAAAAATCCCCAGTTAAAAACTAGAAAAAAAGCTATCTGTGAAACTGCCTTGTGATGTGTGGATTCATCCAATAGAGTTAAAAGTTTCAATGATTCAGCAGATTGGAAACACTCTTTTTGTAGAATCTGCAAAGAAACATTTTGGGGCCCATTGAGGCCTATGGTAAAACATCAAACATACCCAAATAAAAAGTAGAAAGAAACTATCTATGAAACTGCTTTGTGATGTTTAAATTCATCTCAAAGAGTTACATCTTTTTTTTGATTCAGTAGATGGGAAACACTCTTTCTGTAGAATCTGCAAACGGATATTTGAGAGCTCATTGAGACCTGAGGTAAAAAACTAAACATCCCCAGATAAAAACTAGAAAAAAGCAATCTGTGAAACTGCTTTGTGATCTGTGGATTCATCTGACACAGTTTAAATTTTCTATTGATTCAGCATATTGGAAATCCTCTTCTTGTAGAATCTTTGAAGGGACATTTTTGAGCACATTGAAGCCTATGGTGAAAACCCGAACATCCCCAGATAAAAACTAGAGAGAATGTATCTGTGAAACTGATTTTTGATGTGTGGATTCATCTCACAAAGCTAAACCTTTCTTTTGATTGAGCAGGTTAGAAACCCTCTTTTTGTATAATCTATGATGGGATATTTTGGAGACCATTGAGGCCTATCGTGAAAAACTGAATATCCACAGACAAAACCTAGAAAGAAGGTGTCTATGAAATTTATTGGGATGTGTGTATTCATCTCACAGAGTTAAAAGTTTCTTTTGATTCAGCAGGTTGGAAACAGTTTTTTGTAGAATCTGTGAAGGGACATTTTGGAGCCCAATTTAGCCTATTTTAAAAAACCGAACACCCTCAGTTAAAAACTATAAAGAAACTATGTGTGAAACTGGTTTGTCATGTTTGCATTCATGTCACAGAGTTGAAATATTCTTTTGATTCAGAAGTATGGAACACTCTTTTTGTAGAATCTGCATAGAGATATTTGGGAGCCCATTGAGGTCTATGGTGAAAAACAGAACATCAAAGATTAAAACTGAAAAGACACTATCTTTGAAACTGCTTTGTGATGTGTGGGATCATCTCCCATATCAAAAACATTCTTTTGATTGAACATGTTGGAAACTCCCTTTTTGTAGAATCTTTGATCAGACATTTGGGAACTAATTGAGGTATATGGTGAAAAACTGAATATTCCCAGATAAAAACTAGAAAGAAACTCTCTGTGAAACTGCTTCATGATGTGTAGATTCATCTCAAAAAGTTAAGCCTATCTTTTGATTCAGTAGGTTGGAAAAACTCTTTTTGTAGAATCTGAGAGGGGATATTTGGGAGCCCATTCAGGCATATGGTGAAAAATTGAGTACCCTCCAGATAAAAACTAGAAACTATCTGTGACACTGTTTTGTGATGTGTGGAGTTATCTCACAGAGTTATATGTTTCTTTGGACTCAGCAGTTTGAAAACACTCTTTTTATAGAATCTGCAAGGTTACATTTTAGAGCCCATTGAGGCCTTTGGTGAAAACGGACTATCCCAAGATGAAAACTAGAAAGAAGCTCTCTGTGAAACTGCTTTGTTTTGTGTAATCATCTAACAGAGTTAAACCTTTAAACCTCTGTTTTGATTAAGGAGGTTGGAAACACACTTTTTTGGAGTGTGTACACTCCAGGGAACAATTTGTAGCCCATTGAAGCCTATTGTGAAAAACCTATTATCCTCAGACAAAAACTGGAAATAAGCTAACTGTGAAACTGCTTTGTGATGTGTGGATTCATTTCACAAAGTTAAACCTTACTTTTGATCAGCAGGTTGGAAACACTTTTTGTAGAACCTGTGAAAGGACATTTGGGAGCAGTTGGGGCCCATGGTGAAACACCGAACATCCCCAGATAAAAAATGGAAAGAAGTGATCTGTGAAACTTATTGTGATGTGTGGATTCATCTCACAGAGGTAAACCATACTTTTGATACAGCAGGTTGGAAACATTTTTTTTTTTGTAGAATATGCAATGGAACATTTGTGAGCCCATTGAAGCATATATTGAAAAACCAAATATCAACTTATAAAACCAGAAGAAACCATCTGGGAAGCCGATTTTTGATGTGTGAAATTTCATCTCATGGAGTTAAACTTTTCTTTTGATTTGGCAATTTGGACAAACTCTTTTTGTAGATTCTGTGAAGAAACATTTGGCAGCCCATTCAGGTCTATGGTAAAAAAGCAAATATCACCAGATAAAAACTGGAAAGGAGCTGTCTGTGAAACTGCTTGGTGATGTGTGGATTCATCTCACTGAGTTAAACTGTTCTTTTGATCAGCAGGTTGGAAAATAGTCATTCTGAAGAATCTTTGATGGAACAATTTGGTGCTCATTGAGTCCTACACTGAAAAACCAAATACCCATGAATGAAAACTAGAAAGGGGCTGTCTGTAAAACTGCTTTGTGATGTGTGGATTTATCTCACGGAGTTAAACCCTTCTTTTGATTCAGCAGATTGAAAACACAGCTTTTGTAAAATCTGTGATGGTACAAGTGGAGCCCATTTAAGCCTATTTTGAAAAAAGGAATATCCTCAGATAAAAACTAGAAAGAAGCTATCTATGAAACTGGTTTGTGATGTGTGGACCCATTTCATAGATTTAAACCTTTCTTTTGATTCAACAGTTTAGAAAAACTTGTTATAGAATCTGCAAAGGGATATTTGGCAGCTTATTGAAACCCATGGTGAAAAACTGAAATTCCCCTAGAAAGAAGTGCTCTGTGAAATGGTTCTGTCATGTGTGGTTACAACTCACAGAATTAAACCGTTCTTTTGACTCAACAGGTTGAAAACACTCTTTTTGTAGAATCTGCTAAGGGGCATTTAGGAGGCCAAAAAGGCTTATGGTGAAAAACCAAATATTTTCTTATAAAAACTAGAAAGAAGGTATCTGTGAAACAGTTTTCTGATATGTGAAATCATCTCATGGAGTTAAACTTTTCTTTGGACTCATCAGCTTGGAGACACTCTTTTTGTAGAGTATGTGAAGGGACATTTTGGTGCCCATTGAGTCCTATGGTGAAAAACAGAATATCCCCAGATAAAAACTAGAAAAATCTAGCTGAAAACTTGTTTGTGATGTGTAGATTCATCTCACAGAGATAAATCTTGGATTTTATTCAGCAAGTTGGAAACACTCTTTGTGTAAAATCTGGGAAGTTACATTAGGCAGCCCACTGAGACCTAAGGTGAAAAACAGAATATCCATAGATTAAAAACTAGAAAGAAGCGATCTGTGAAACTGCTTTTTGATGAATGGATTCATCTCACAAAATTAAAACTTTCTTTTGACTCAGCAGGTTGGTAACACTTTTTTTGTAGATTCTGTGAGGAAACATTTGGGAGCCCTTTAAGGCCTATAATGAAAGACCGAATATCCCCAGAGGAAAACTGGAAGGAAGCTATCTGTGAAACTGCTTTGTGATGTACGGAATCATCCCACAGTTAAACCTTTATTTTGATTCAGCCAGTTTTAAACACTTTTTGTGTAAACCGTGAAGGGACATTTGGGAGCCCATTGAGGCCTATGGTGAAACTTTGAATATCCCCTGATAAATACTAGAAAAAAGCAATTTGTGAAACTGCTTTGTGATGTGTGGATTTATCTCACAGAGTCAAACGTTTTTTTTGGTACAGCAGTTTGGAAACACTCTTTGTGAAGAATCTGCAAAGGGAAATTTGGGGTCCCATTGAGGCCTAAGGAGAAAAACCAAATATTCCCAGACAAAAACTAGAAAGAAGCTATGTGTGAAAGTGCTGCATGATGTGTGGATTAATCTTACACAGCTAAAGTTTTCTTTTGATTCAGCAGGTTTGAAAAACTTCTTTTGTAGAATCTGTGAAGGGACAGTTAAGATCCCTTTGAAGCCTAGAGTGAAAAACAGAACATCCCAGATAAAAAGTAGAAAGAAGCCATCTGTGTAACTTGTTTGTGATGTGTGAATTCATCTCACAGAGTTAAAACTTTGTTTTGATTCAGCAGGTTAGAAATTATCTTTTGGTAGAATCTGCAAAGGGGCAATTTGTAGCCAATTGAGGCCTATGGTGAAAAACGGAATACCCCAAGATAAAAACTAGCAGGAAGCTATCTATGAAACTGCTTTGCAATGTGTGGATTCACCTCACACAGTTAAATCTCTCTTTTCATTGAGCAGGTCAGAAACTCTTTTTGTAGAATCTGTGAAGACACATTTGGAATCCCATTATGGCCTATGGGGAAAAACAGAATATCCCCAGAGAAAAAGAAGAAAGAAGCTATCTGTGAAACTGCTTTGTGATGTGTGGATTCATATCACAGGGTTAAAACTTTCTGTTGACTCAGCAGGTGAAAAACAGTCTTTTTGTAACTTCTGTCTTAGGACATTTGGGAGCCCCTTGATGCCTGTAGTGAAACATTGAATATCCCTAGATAAAAACTGGAAAGAAGTTATCTGTGAAACTGCTTTGTGATGTGTGGATTCATCTCACGTGGATAAACCTTTCTTTTGACTCAGCAGGTTGGAAACACTCTTTTAATAGAATCTGTGAAAAGACATTTGGAACCCAATGAGGCTTATGAGGAATGAAAAACTGAATATCCCCAGATAGAAACTAGAAAGAAGTTATCTGTGAAACTGGATTTTGTAGGGTGGACTTATCTCACAGAGTTAAGCCTTTGTCTTGACTCAGCAGGTTGGAAACACTCTTTTTGTAGCATCTGAGAAGCCACATTTGAGAGCCCATTTTTGCCTACTGTGAAAATCCAAATGATCCCAGATAAAAACTAGAAAGAAGCTATCTGTGGAACAGTTTTATGAAGTGTGGATTCATCTCACACAGTTAACACATTCTTTTGATTCAGCAGGCTGGAAACAGTCTTTTGTGGAATCTGTGGATGGACATTTGAAATCCCTTTGAGACCTGTAGAGAAAACGGAATACTCTCAGAGAAAAAGTAGAAAGAAGCTATATGTGAAACTGCTTTGTTTTACGTTGATTCATTTCAAAGAGATAAACCTTTCTTTTTATTCAGAAGTTGGAAACAGTCTTTTTGTAGGGTCCGCAAGGAGACATTTTGGAGCCCATTGAGGCTTGTAGTGAAAAATCAAATATCCCCAGATAAAAGCTAGAAAGACGCTGTCTGTGAAACGACTTTGTGATGTGTGGATTCATCTCACAGAGTTAAACCTTTCTTTTGATTCAGCTGGTTGGAAACACTTCTTTTTTTAGAATCTGCAAAAGGATATTTGGGAGCCCACTGAAGCCCTTGTTGAAAAACTGAATATTGCCAAATGAAAATTAGAAAGAAACTATCTACAAAACTCGTTTGTGTTGTGTTGGTTCACCACACTGAGTTAACTCTTTCTCTTGATTAACATGTTGGAAACACTCTTTTTTTAGAATCTGCAAAGGGACATTGCAGAGCCCATTGAAGCCTGCAGTGAAAAACGAAATATCCCCAGATAAAAACTAGAAAGAGGAAATCTGTAAAATTGCTTTGTGATGTGTGGATTCATCTCACAGAGTTAAACTTTACTTTTGATCAGCATGTTGGAAACAGTCTTTCTGAAGAATCTGCAAAGAGACATTTGGGAGCCCATTGTGGCCTTTGGTGAAAAACAGAATATCCCCAGAAAAAAAGTAGAAAAAACTATCTGTGAAACTGCTTTGTGATATGTGGATTCATCTCACAGAGTTAAACTTTAATTCAGCAGTTTCTAAACTCTGCTTTTGTAGAATATTTGAAAAGGCATTTGGGAGCCCATTGAGGCATAAGGTGAAAAATATCCCAAGACAAAAAAAGAAAGAAATATCTGTAAAACTGCTTTGTGATGTGTGGATTCATCTCAGAGAGTTATATATTACTTTTGACTCAGCAGGCTGGAAACACTCTTTAAGCACTCTTTTTGTAGAATCTGTGAAGGGACATTTGGGAGAACATTGTAGCCTATGGTGAAAAACTGAATATCCTAGATAAAAACAAGAAAGAATTTCTCCATGAAAGTACTTTCTGATGTGTGCAGTCATCTCACAGAGGTAAGCTTAAATTTTCTTTCTGCAGACCGGTAACACGTCTTTGTAGGATCTGCGAAGGGACATTGTTTAGGCCATTGAGACCTGTGGTGGAAAACAGAATATCCCCAACTATAAACTAGAAAGAAGCTAATAGTGAAATTCCTTCATGATGTTTGGATTCATCTCACAAAGATAATCCTTTCTTTTCATTCATTCGCTTTTAAGCTCTCTTTTTGTAGGATATGTTAAGGGACATTTTAGAGCTTATTGAGGCCTATAGTAAAAAACAAAATATCCTCAAATAAAAACTAGAAAGAAGCTATGTGTGAAAGTGCTTGATGATGTGTGCATTCATCTCAGAGAGTTAAACCTTTTTTTTTATTCAGTGGGTTGGAAACACTCTTTTTGTAAAACCTGCAACAGTATATCTGGGAGAGCATTGAGGCCTAAGGTGAAAAACTGAATATACAAAGATAAAAACTAGAAGGAAGTTATCTGTGAAACTGATTTTTTGAAGTTTGGATTCATCTCATGAAATTAAACCTTTCATTTGGTTCAGCAGGTTGGAAACACTCTCTTTATAGAAACTACTAAGGGACATTTGAAAGCCTATTGAGGCCTATGGTGAAAAATAGAATATCTCCAGATAAAAACGAGAAAGAAGTTATCTGTGAATCTGCTTTGTGATGTGTGCATTCATCTCATAGCGATAAAAGTTTCTTTTGATTTGACTGGTTGGAAACACTCTTTTCATAGAATCTGGGAAGAAACATTTTTGGGCCCCTTAAGGACTATGGTGAAAAATCAAATATCCCCAGGTAAAACAAAAAAGCAGTTATCTTTGAAAGTCCTTTGTGATGTGTGGATTCATCTCACAGAGTTAAGTCTTTCTTTTGATTTAGCAGTTAGGAAACACTTTTTTTGTAGAATCTGCAAAGTGACATTTGGGAGCCCATTGAGGACTATGGTGAGAAACCAAATATCCACAGATTAAAACGAGTAAGAAGCTGTCTGCGAATGTGCATTGTGATGTCTGGATTCATCACACAGGGATACAACTTTCTTAAATGCAGTAGGTTTTATGCACTCTTTTTTTAGAGTCTGCGTAGGGACAGTTGGGAACCCTTTGAAGACTGTGGTGAAAAAACATATATTCCCAGATAAAAACTAGAAGCAAGCTATCTACAAAACTGCTTTGTGATTTGTAGATTCATCTTACAGTGTTAAACCTTTCTTTTGAATCTGTACATTGGAAAAACTTTCTTTGTAGAAGCTGCAAAGAGACATTTAAGGGGCAATTGAGGCCTATGGTGAAAAACTAATTATCCCCAGAAAAAAAAAAGAAAAAAGTTATCTGTGAAACTGCTTTGTAATGTATGGATTCAAGTCACAAGGTTAAACAGATCTTTTGATTCAGCTGGTTACAAACACTCTTTTTGTAGAATCTGTGAAGAGACATTTGGTAGTGCATTGAGGCCTATGGTAAAAAAAAAGATTATCCCCCTAAAGAAAACAGAAAAAAGCTATTTGTGAAACTGCTTATTGAGGTGTAGATTCATCTCACAGAGTTAAACCTTTCTTCTGATTCAGAAGATTGGAAACACTCTTTTTGTGGAATTTGTGAGGGGACATTTGAGAGCCCGTGGAGGCCTAGGGTAAAAAATTGAATATCCCAAGATAAAAACGAGAAAGAATCTATCTGTGAAAGTGCTTTGTAATGTGTGGATTCATCTCCCAGGGTTAAACATTTCTTTTGATTCAGCATGTTGGAGACACTCTTTTGTAGAAACTGCAAAGGGAAATTTGAGAGCCCATTGAGTCCTATGGTGAAAAACTGAATATCCCAACATAAAAACTAGAAAGAAGATAGCTAAGATAGTGCTTTGTAATGTGTGGATTTATCCCACTGAGATAAACCTTTCTTTTGATTCAGTGTGTTTTAAGCACTCTTTTTGTAGCATGTGCAAAGGGACATTTGAAAGCTGATTGGGTCATATAATGAAAAACAGAATATGCCCAAATAAAAACTAGAAAGAAACTGTCTGTGACACTGCTTTGTGATGGGTGGATTCATTTCACAGAGTTAAAACTTTCGTCTTATTCAGCTGTTTGGAAACGCTCCTTTTGTAGAATGTGTTAAAGGACATTTGAGAGCCCATGGAGGCCTAAGGTGAAAAACT
This sequence comes from Homo sapiens, assembly GCF_000001405.40. Classification (NCBI taxonomy): domain Eukaryota; kingdom Metazoa; phylum Chordata; class Mammalia; order Primates; family Hominidae; genus Homo; species Homo sapiens. Next base: position 43,665,288 of record NC_000008.11, read on the forward strand.
GAGTATACCCAAATGAAAACCCTCTGTGAATCTTCTTTGTGATGTGTGTATTCATCTCAGAGGGTTACACCTTTCTTTTGATTCAGCAGGTTGGAAACACTCTTTTTGTATAATCTGCAAAGGGACATTTGGGAGCTGATTGAGGCCTAGTATAAAAAACTGTATATGCCTAGATAAAAACTAGAAAGAAGCTATCAGTGAACCTGCTTAATGATGTGTGGATTCATCTAACAGCGCTAAAAGTTTATTTTGGTTAAGTAGGTTGGAAAAACTTTTTGTAGAATCTGTGAAGAGAAATTTAAAAGCCCTTTGAGGGCTATGGTGAAAAACTGAATATCCTGAGATAAAAACAAGAAAGAAGCTATCTGTGAAACTGCTTTTGGATGTGTGGATTCATCCAAAAGAGTTAAACACTTCTTCGTGTTCAGCACGTTGGAAACACACTTCTTGGAGAATCTACAAATGGACATTTCTAAGACCATTGTAGCCTAAGGTGAAAAACCGAGTATCTTCAGATAAAAACTAGATATAAGGTATCTGTGAAACTACTTTGTCATGTGTGGATTCATTTCACAGAGTTAAAGCTTTCTTTTGATTCAGCAGGAAGAAAACACACTTTTTGTAGAATCTGCAAAGGGACATTTGGAAGCCCATTGAGGCCTACGATGAGAAACACATTATCCAGAGGTAAAACTGGAAAGAAGTTATCTGTGAAACTGCTTTTGATGTGTGGATACATCTCACAGAGTTCAATGTTTCTTTTGAATCAGGAAGTTGGAAACACTCTTTTTCCAGAATCTTCAAAGAAACACTTGGGAGCCCATAGAGGCATAGGGTGAAAAATCGAATATCCCAGTATGCAAACTAGAAAGAAGCTATCTGCGAGACTGCTTTTGATGTGCAGATACATATCACAGAGTTAAACCTTTACTTTTGATTCAGCAGGTTGGAAACATTCTTTTTGTAGAATCTGCAAAAAGACATTTCAGAACCTATTGAAGGCTATGGTGAAAAACAGAATATCCACAGGTAAAAATTGGAAAGAAACTATCTGTAAAAGTGCTTTGTGATGTGTGGATTCATCTCAGAGTTAAACGTTTGTTTTGATTCAGCAGGTTGGAAGCTCTTCTTTTGTAGAATCTGCGAAGGGAAATTTGGCAACCCAGAGAGTCTTGTGGTGAACAATAGAATATACCCAAATAAAAATTAGAAAGAAGCTATCTGTGAATCTGCTTTGTGATGTGTGGATTCATCTCACAGGGTTAAACATTTCTTTTGATTCACTAGTTTGGAAATCCTCTTTTTGTAGAATCTGTGAAGGGACATTTGGGAGCACATTGAGGCCTAAGGTACAAAACCAAGTATCCCAGTATACAAAGTAGAAAAAAGCTATCTGTTAAACTGATTTCTGATTTGTGGATTCATTTCATAGAGTTAAATTTTTTTTTTATTTAACATGTTGGAAGCTGTCTTTTTATGGAATCTGCAATAAGACATTTGGAAGCTATTTGAGGCCTACCATAAAAACCAGATATCCCCAGATAAAAACTAGAAACAAGCTATCATTTAAACTGTTTTGTGATGTGTCATTTCATCTCACAGAGTTAAAACCTTTCTTTTGATTTGGCAAGTTGGAAACACTTTTGTTGTGGAATGTGAGAAGAGACATTTTGAAGCCCATTGAGGCTGATAATGAAAAGCAGAAAATCTCCATATAAAAACTTGAAAGACACTATCTGTGAAACTGCTTTGTGATGTGTGGATTCAAGTTACAGATTTAAAACCGTCTTTTGATTCAGCTGGTTGGAAACACTCTTATGTAGAATCTGTGAAGAGACATTTTGGGGCCCTTTGAGGCCTATGGTGAAAACCAGAATATCCTCAGATAATTACTAGAAAGAATCTATCTGTGAAAATGCTTTGCTATGTGTATATTCATCTCAAAGAGTTAAAACTTTCTTTTGATTCAGTATGTTGGAATACTTTTTTTGTAGAATCTGTGAAGGAAAATTTTGGAGCTTATTAAGTCCTATGGTGAAAAACGGAATATTCCCAGATAAAAACTAGAAAGAAGCTATCTGTGAAACTGCTTTGTGATGTGTGGACTCATCTCACAGAGTAAAACCTTTCTTTTGATTCAGCAGTTTGGAAATACTCTTTTTGTAGAATCTCCAAAGGGACATTTGAGAGCCCATGATGGTCTACCATAAAAATCTGAGGATCCTCAGATAAAAACTAGAAAGAAGCTATCTGTGACACTGCTTGTGATGTGTGGATTCATCACAAAGAGTTAAAAGTTTTTTTGATTCAGCAGGTTGGAATCACTCTTTTTGTAGAAACTGTGAAGAGACATTTGAGAGCCCTTTGAGGCACACGCTGAAAAACCAATTATCCAAAGATAAAAACTAGAAAGAAACTATTTGTGAAACTGCTTGGTGATGTGTCTATTCATCTCAAAATTTAAACATATATTTTGATTCAGCAGGTTTGAAACACTGTTTTGTTAGAATCCGTGAAGGGATATTAGAGAGCCCATTTAGGCATATAGTGAAAAACCAAATATCCTCACATAAAAACTAGAAAGAAACTTTCTGTGAAATTGCTTTGTGATGTGTGGATTCATCTCAGAGAGTTTAACCTTTTTTGATTCAGCAGTTTGGAAACACTTCTATTGTAGAATCTGTGAAGAGACATTTTGGAGTTCATTTAGGCCTATGGTAAAAAACAAATATCACCAGAAAAAAGAACTAGAAATAAGCTATCGGTGAAACTGCCCTGTAATTAGTGGATTTGTCTCATGGAGTAAAACTTTTCACTTGATTCAGTAGTTTGGAAACACCCTTTTTGTAGAATATCCAAAGGAACATTTTGGAGCCCACTGAGGTTTATGTTGAAAAACCTAATATCCCCAGATAAAAACTATAAAGAAGCAAACTGTGAAGCTGCTTTGTGGTGTGTGAATTCATCTCACAGTTAAACTTTTCTTTTGATTCAGCATGTTGGAAACACCCTTTTTGTAGAAAGTCTGAAGAGACATTAGGGAGCCCTTTGATGCCTATGTTGAAAAACCGATTATCCAAAGATAAAAAGGAGAGATAAGCTATGCTTTGTGATACGTAGATTCATCTCAGAAAGTTAAACCTTTCTTTTGATTTAGCACGTTTGAAACACTCTTTTTGTAAAATGTGCAAAGGGACATTTTGGAGTCCATTGAGGCCTATGGTGAAAAACAGAATATCCCTACATGAAAACTAGAAAGAAGCTATATGTGAAAGTGCTTTGTGATGTGTGCATTCATCTCACACAGTTAAACCTTGCTTTTGATTCAGTAGGTTGGAAACACACCTTTTGTGGAATCCATGAAGGGACATTTGTGAACTGTTGGACTATGGTGAAAAAATGATTATTCCCAGATAAAAACTAGAAAGAAGCTACCTGGTAAACTGCTTTGTGATGTGTAGATTCATCACACAGAGATGAACCTTTCCTTTGATTCAGCAGGTTGGAAACACTTCTTTTGTAGAATCTATGAAGGGATCTTTGGGAGTTTATTGAGGCCTATAGTGAAAAACAGAATATCACCACATAAAAGCTAGAAAGAAGCTCTCTGTCAAATTGCTTTGTGATGTGTGGATTCATTTCATAGAGTTAAACCTTTGTTTTCATTCAGCAGTTTGAAAACACTCTTTTTGTAGAAGCTGCAAAGGAACATTTGGGAGCCTATTGAAATCTTTGGTGAAAAACCGAATATTCCCAGATAAAAACTAGAAGGAAGCTATCTATGAAGTGCTTTGTGATGTGTGGATTCATCTCACAGTGTTAAACCTTTCTTTTGACTCAACAGGTGGTAACACTCTTTTGTGAAAATCTGCAAAAAGACATTTTGGAGCACTTTGAGCCTTATGGAGAAAAACAGAGAATCCACAGATAAAAACTAGAAAGAAGCTGTTTGTGAAAGTGTTTTGTGATGTGTGGATTCATTTCACAGAGTTAAACCATTCTTTTGATTCGGAATGTTGGAAACACTCTTTTTGTAGAATCTGTGAGGGGACATTTAAGAGCATTCAGGACTACAATGAAAAACTAAATATCCCCAGAAAAACTAGAAAGATGCTATTTGTGAAAGTGCTTTGTGATTGGTGGATTTATCTCTCTGTTAAACATTTTTTTTATTCAGCAGGTGGGAAACTGTCTTTTTGTAGAATCTCCAGGGGGACATTTTTGAGCCCATTGTGGACTATGGTGAAAAACTGAATATTTCAAGATAAAAACTAGAAAGAAACTATCTGTGAAACTGCTTTGTGATTTGTGGATTTGTATCACAGAGTTAAACCTTTCTTTTGATACAGTAGGTTGGAAACACTCTTTTTGTAGACTCTGTGAACAGACACTTGAGAGCCCATTGAGGCCTATGGTGAAAAACAAATTGTCCCTAGATAAATACTAGAAAGAACCTACCTGTAAAATTGCCTTCTGATGTGTGGATTCATCTCAAAGGGTTAAACTTTACTTTTGACTCACCAGGTGGTAGCACTCTTTTTTTTTGGAATCTGCGAAGGGTCATTTTGGAGCCCTTTTGAGCCCTATGTTGAAAAACAGAAAGTCCTCAGATAAAACCTAGAGAGAAACTTCCTGTGAAACTGCTTTTTGATATATTGATTCATCACACAGAGATAAAACTTTCTTTTGATTCAGCAGGTTGGTAACACTTCTCTTGTAGAATCTGTGAATAAACAATTTGGAGCCCATTTATGCTTATGGTGAATGACCATTTATTGCCAGATAAAAAGTAGAAAGAAGCTATCTGTAAAACTGCTTTGTAAGGTGTAGATTTATCTCACAGAGTTAAACTTTTCTTTTCCATCAGCAGGTTGAAAACACAGCTTTTGTAGAAACTGCAAAGGGACATTTGGAATCCCACTGAGTCCTATGGGTGGAAAATTGTAAATCACCCCATAAAATCTAGAAAGAAGCTTTTTGTGAAACTGCTTTGTGATGTTTGGATTCAGGTCACAGAGTTAAACCTTTGTTTTGATTCAGCAGGTTGTAAACACTCTTTTAGAGAATCTGCAAAGCAACATTTTTAACCCATTGAAACCTATGGTGAAAAACTGAACGTCCCCAGATAAAAACTAGAAAGAAACTACCTGAGAAACTGCTTGTGATGTGTGGATTTTTCTCACAAAGTTAAACCTTTCTTTTGATTCAGCATGTTGGAAACACTTTTTTTGTAGAATCTGCAAAGGGACATTTTGGTGGCCATTGAGGCCTATGGTGAAAAACAGAATAACCCCAGATAAAAATGAGAAAGAAGCAATCTGTGAAACTGCTTTGTGATGTTTGGATTTATCTCACAGCATTGAACCTATCTTTTGATTCAGCAGGTTGGAAACACCTTTTTGTAGAATCTGTAAAGGGACATTTGGGATTCCATTGATGCCTAAGGTGAAAAACCGAATGTCCCCAGAGAAAAACATGAAAGAAGCTGTCTGAGAATCTGCTTTGTGACGTGTAGACTCCTCTCACAGAGTCACCCCTTTCTTTCAATTCAGCAGTTTGGAAACACTCTTTTTGTAGACTCTGCAAACGGTAATTTTGGAACCCGAGTTTGCCTATGGCCAAACACCAAATATTCCCAGATAAAAACTAGAAAGAAGCTCTTTGTAAAACTGCTTTGTGATGTGTAGATTCATCTCAAAAAGTTAAACCCTCCTTTTCATTCAGCAGGTTAAAAACACTATTTTTGTAGAATCTGCAAAGAAACATAGTGGGCTTATTGAGGCCTGTGTTGCAAAACTGAATATCCCCAGAGAAAAACAAGAAAGAAGCTACTTGTGAAACTGCCCTGTGAAGTGTAGATGAATCTCACAGAGTTAATCCTTTCTTTTAATTCAGCAGGTTTGAAACACCCTGGTTGTAGATTCTGCAAAGAGTTATTTGAGAGCATTTTGAGGCCTATGATAAAAAACCGAATATCCCTAGATGAAAACTAGAAGAAAGCTCTTTGAAAAACTGCTATGTTTTGTGTAGATTCATCTGAAAGAGTTAAACATTTCTTTTCTTTCAGCAGGTTGGAAACACTCTTTTTGTAGAATCTGCAAGGGACATTTGGGCACCTGTTGATGAGTATGGTGAAAAACCATATGTCCCCAAATAAAAACTAGAAAGAAGCTATTTGTGAAACTGCTTTGGGTTGTGTTGATTTATCTAACAGACTTGAACCTTTCTTTTGATTCAGCAGGTTGGAAACATTCTTTTTGTGGAATCAGCAAAGAGACATTTGGGAGCCCATTGTGGCCTATGGTGAAAAAAAAAAGAATATCCCCAGATAAAAACTAGAAAGAAGCTATCTGTGAAATTCCTTTGTAATGAGTAGATTTATCTTACAGAGTTAAACTTATGTTTTGATTCATCAGGTTGGAAACACTCTTTTTGTAGAATCTGCACAGGGACTTCTGGAGACCATTTAAACCTATGGTGAAAACCGTATATACCCAGATTAAAAGTAAAAAGAAGTTATATGTGAAACTTCTTTGTGATATGTGGGTTCATCTCAAGGTGTTAAACATTTCTTTTGATTCAGCTGGTTGGAAACCCTCTTTTTGTAGAATCTGCAAAGGGACACATTAACCCCCCTTGAGAACTATGGTGAAAAACAGAATATCCTCAGATAAAAACTAGAAAGAAGCCATCTGTGAAACTGCTTTGTGATAAGTGGATTCATCTCACAGAGTTAAGCCTTTCTGTTGATTCAGCAGTTTGGAAACTGTTTGTGTAGCATCTGCAAAGGGACTTTTGGAAGCCAAATGAGGCCAATGGTGAAAAAAAGAATATCCCCAGAAAAAAACTAGAAAGAAGCTGTCTGTGAAACTGCTTTGTGATGTTTGAATTCACCACACAGAGCTGAAACTTTCTTTTGATTCAGCAGATTGGAAACACTCTTTTTGTAGATCTGCAAAGGGACATTTAGGAGCCAACTGAAGCCAGTGTTGAAAAACTGGACATCCCCAAATAAAAACTAGAAAAAAGTGATCTGTTGAACTGCTTTGAGATGTGTGGATTCATCTCATAGCATTAAACATTTCTTTTGATTCAGCAAATTGAAAACACTCTTTTTGTAGAATCTGCAAAGGAAATTTGGGAGCCCATTGGGGCCTATGGTGAAAACACCATAAAAACTACAAAAAATTTATCTGTGAAAAATGCTTTGTGATGTGATGATTCATCTCACAGAGTTAAACTTTTCTTTTGATTTAAAAGGACGGAAACACTTTTTTTTAAATAAAATCTGTGTAGGGATATTTGGCAGCCCATTGAGGGCTATCATGAAAATCAAAAATCCCCAGATAAAAACTAGAAAAAAGCTATTGGTGAAACTGCTTTGTGGTGTGTGGATTCATCTCACAGAGTAAAATTTTTCTTTTGATTCAGCATGTTGGAAACACTCTTTTTTTTTTATAACAAAACCAGAAAGTTTATTGCATCAAACAACTTGATCATCAGTAGCAACCTGTGACACAATTGCAACAGTTATGTTTTTGCCATAGGCGCCCACTGGGACACCCAATCAAGAACCATTGTTGAAGCCCATCTCAAGGAGCTGGCATGCCCTATGCCAGTTATCTTTGCAAAAGCCACCCCCGTGGACAGACAAGAAACCAAATATATCTACGAGTGCCCTGTGTACAAACCAAATGGAGAGGCCCCAGCTACATCTGGACCTTCATGCTGAAGAGCAAAGGGAAGACTGCAAAATGGGTTCTAGCCAGAGTGGCTCTGCTGCAAGAAGTGTAAGATAACACTGGCATTCCTGTAGCCTCAGCTGGAGTGCAGTGAGGATTTTCTAGCATGCTGCTGCACTGTTCTCATGCACATTAATGTAGCCTACTATAACTTTTCAGTAACTCACACGTGCATTGTTTTTTAAATGCTATCCTTAGAAAGGGGAGTGGAAATCAGAAAAAATATTAGAAACTTTTTCAGGGCTGTGCATTGTAGCTTATGCCTGTAATCCAAATCCCAGCACTTTGGGAGGCTGAGGCTGGTGCATCAGGAGGTCAGGAGATTGAGACCATCCTGGATAACATGGTGAAACTCCATCTCTACTAGAACTACAAAAAAATTAGCCGGCTGTGGTAGCACTACTGTAGTCTCAGTTACTCAGGAGGCAGGAGAATCGCTTGAACCCAGGAAGCCAAGGTTGCTGTGAGCCGAGGACACACCACTGCACTCCAGCCTGGGCAACAGAACAAGACTCCATCTCAAAGAAAAGTGTGTCATACCTGAACATGCAAAAGCAATGCAGCCAGAAAGAAGGAAGGGAAATTTTAATTCTTAAACAAGAAATTAAATTAAAAATTATTAGTCCTTAATCTCTTTCAAAATATAAAAGCAGGAGGCCCCAGGTGAGTCCTGAAGGAAGAGGCTAGCACTCTGTGAGGCCTCCAGTTTCTACAGTGTTGAAGGTCCCCTTTTGTTCAGTCAAGTTTTAATAAAAATAAAACTGTTCTGCAGTTAATTGAACTTTGTTCAATGTAAATTTCCAATGACCAAGAGCAGGTTAAATGATGTGTGTGGTCTATTAAACTGTGGTCACTCGTGCTAAGGCAAACTTGACCTGGAGTTACCATTTGGGAGACCAAAGATAGATCAAGGCAGGAGCTGCTCATACAATGTTTTCTTTCTAACTTACCTGAACTTTAACCCCACCTCATTTAAATTGTGCTTTTTAATCACTGGCAGGTACTTTTAAAAGAGTTCAGCACACAAACAGGTCTGTGCATACATCTATATAGATTCCTCTGCTCTACTGTCTTCCTGAGAAATATTTGTAAGCATATGAACAATCTTTAAAAATATAGTAATTTCTGCAAAGAATTTCTGTATAAAAACACAACTGTAAAGAATCTTAGGCACAAATGGTATGCATATCTTGTTGGAGTATTCTATGTTGAGGTGACTGGTTCTGTTCTCCTCTTAATTGTCTTTTACCAGCTCCATTTGTAAGCTCTCCAGATATTCCTTAATATTGTTATAACCATAAAACTTGGCCAGATGAATGAGGATTCCTGCGGCTCAGTGTCTGTCATGCTTCCAAGAGTAGCTGCAATTGCAGATCCCATGATGGGGGGACACACCCAATCCGGGTCCAGCAATGCCAATCTGACATCCTCCCCATAGCGTTTCTGCAGGCATGGTCAACAGAACTGTCCTCACACACCACAGCAACCCTCGTTCCAACACACAGTCTTGGTGTTAATGGTCTTTTCTCAACACTGATGGCATGTGTTACCCAGAACTTTTCTTTTTGTAGAATCTATGAAGGGACATTTGAGAGCTCCTTGAGGTCTATGGTAAAAAACAAAACATCCCCAGATAAAAACTAGAAAAAAAGCTATCTGTGAAGCTGATTTTTGATGTGTGGATTCACCAAACAGTGATAAACTGTTCTTTAGATTCAGCAGGTTGGAAAACTCTTTTTGTAGGATTGCATTGGGACATTTTTGAGAACATTGAGGCCTAAGGTGAAAAACTGAATGTTGTCTGATAAAAACTAGAAAGAAGCTATCTGTGAAACTGTTTTCTGATGTGTAGATTTATCTCACAGAGTTAGACCTTTCTGTTGATTCAGCAGTTTGGAAACACTCTATTTGTAGAATCAGCACAGGGAAATTTAAGACCTCATTGAGGCCTACAGTAAAAAGCAGAATATTGCAAAGAGAAAACTGGAAATAAGCAATCTGTGAAACCACTTTATGATGTATAGATACACCACACCCAGATAAGCCTTTCTTTTGGTTCAGCAGGTTGGAAACACTCTTTTTGTAGAAGCTGCCAAAAGACATATGAAAGCTCTTTGGGGCCATATTGAAATATAAAACATCCCCAGTTAAAAACTGGAAAGAAGCTTTCTGTGAAACTGCTTCGGGTTTTCTGGATTTATCTTACCAAGTTAAACTTTTATTTGGATTCAGCAGGTTGGAAACACTTTTTTTGTAAAATATGTGAAGGGACATTTGGAGCATATTGAGACCTATGTTAAAAAAACGAATATTCCCTGATAAAAACTAGAAAGAAGCTATCTGTGAATCTGCTTTGTGATATGTGAATTCCTCTCACAGGGTTGAACGTTTCTTTTCTGTCAGCAGGTTGGGAGCATTCTTTTTGTAGAATCTGCAAAGGGACATTTGGGGGTCCTTTGGGGCCTATGATGAAATACCGAATATTCCCAGATAAAAACTGGAAAGAATCTGTCTGTGAAATTGCTTTGTGGTGTGTGGATTCATCTCAGAGAGATAAACCTTTCTTTTAATACAGCAGGTTGGAAACACTCTTTTTGTAGTATCTGGAAATAATCATTTAGGAGGCCATTGTTGCCTATGTTGAAAAACTGAATATCCCCAGATAAAAACTAGAAAGACATTCTTTGTGGAACTGGTTTGTGATGTGTACATTCATCTCACAGAGGCAAAGAGGCCTAGGGTAAAATCCAAGTACCCCCAGAAAAAAACTAGAAAGAAGCTACCTGTGAAAGTGCTTTGTGATGTGTTGATTCGTCTCACAGAGTTAAACTTTTTTTTTGAATTAGCAGGCTAGAAACACTTTGTAAAATTTGTGAAGGGACATTTGGGAGCCCATTGAGGACTATGGTGAAAAACAGAATATTCCCAGAAAAAAACTAGAAAGAAGCTGTCTTTGAAACTGCTTTGTGATGTGTGATTTCATCTCACAGAGATAAACCTTTCTTATGATTCAGAAGGTTGGAAACACTCCTTTTGAAGAATCAACAAAGGGACATTTAAGACCCAATTGACAACTATGGTGAAAAACTGAATATCATCAGACAGAAACTAGAAAGAAGCTATCTGTGAAACTGCTTTCTGATGTGTAGATTCATCTCACAAAATTACACCTTTCTTTGGATTCAGCAGTTTGGAAACATTTTTTTCATAGAATAAGCAAAAGACCATTTAAGACCCTGTTGAGGTCTATGGTGAAAATTTTAATATCGCCAGTCAAAAAGGAGAAGGAAGCTATCTGTGAAAATGTTTGCCAAAGTGTGGATTCATTTCACAGAGTTAAACCTTTCTTTTGATTCAGCAGGTTGGAAACACTCTTTTGGTAGAATCTGCAATGGACAATTGGGAGCCAATTGTGGCCTATTGTGGAAAATGAAATATACCGAGATAAAAACTAGAAAAAAGCTATCTGTGAAACTGCTATGGGTTGCATGGATTTATCTCACAGCGATAAACCTTTCTTTTGATTCAGCAGGTTGGAAAAACTTTTTTGTAGAATCTGTGGAAAAACATTTGGGAGCCCATTGGGGCCTATGTTGAATTGCCATATATACCCATATAAAAACTAGAGAGAAACTATCTGTGAAACAGCTCTGCGATATGTGGATTTTTCTCAGAGATTTAAAACTTTCTGTTGATTCATCAGGTTGGAAACACTGTTTTTGTAGAATCTCTGAAGGAATATTTGGGAGCCCATTGAGGTCTATGCTGACAAATGGAATGTCCCCAGATAAAAACTAGAAATGAGCTATCTGTGAAACTGCTTTGTGATATGTGGATTTGTCTCAAAGATTTAAACCTTTCTTTTGATTCAGCATGTTGGAATCACTCTGTTTGAAGAATCTGTGAAGAAACATTTGGGAGCCAACTGAGACCTATGGTGAAAAAATGAATATCCCTGGGTAACAAGAAAGAAGCTGTCTGTGAAACTTCTTTGTTATGTGGGGATTCATCTGACAGAGTTATAAATTTCCTTTGATTCAGCAGCTTGTAACACTGCTTTTGTAGAATCTGTGAAGGGACATTGTGAAGCCCATTGAGGCCTATGTTGAAAAAACAAATGTCACCAGATAAAAACTAGAAAGAAGCTATCTGTGAAACTGCTTTGTGATGTGTGGATACAACTCACAGAGTTAAAGGTTTCTTTTGATTCAGCATGTTGGAAACATTCCGTATGTAGAATTTAAAAAGGACATTTAGGAGTCCCTTGAGGCCTATGGTGAAAAACCAAATATCCCCAGATAAAAACTAGTAAGAAGTTATCTGTGAAACTGCTTTGTGATATCTGAATACATCTAACAGAGTTAAACCTTTCTTTTGTTACAGCAGGCTGGAAACACTCTTTCTGTAGAACCTGTGAAAATACATTTTGGAGCCCATAGAGGCCTAAGGTGAACAACAAAATATCCCCAAATAAAAATGAGAAAGAAGCTATGTGTGAAACTGCTTGGTGTTGTGTGGATTCATCTGAGAAAGTTTAACTTTATTTTTTATTCAGCAGGTTGGAAACTCTATTTTTGCATATTCTGCAAAGACACATTTGAGAGCCAATTGAGGCCTGTGGTGAAACACAGAATATCCCAAAATACTAACTAAAAAAAAAAAAAAAACCTGTCTCTGAAACTGCTTTGTGAGGTGTCGATTCAACACAGACATAAAACTTTCTCTTTTTTTTCACTTTCTTTTTTTTTTATACTTTAAGTTTTAGGGTACATGTGCACATTGTGCAGGTTAGTTACATATGTATACACGAGCCATGCTGGTGCGCTGCACCCACTAACTCATCATCTAGTATTAGGTATATCTCCCGATGCTATCCCTCCCCCCTCCCCCGACCCCACAACAGTCCCCAGAGTGTGATATTCCCCTTCCTGTGTCCATGTGATCTCATTGTTCAATTCCCACCTATGAGTGAGAATATGCGGTGTTTGGTTTTTTGTTCTTGTGATAGTTTACTGAGAATGATGATTTCCAATTTCATCCATGTCCCTACAAAGGACATGAACTCATCATTTTTTATGGCTGCATAGTATTCCATGGTGTATATGTGCCACATTTTCTTAATCCAGTCTATCATTGTTGGACATTTGGGTTGGTTCCAAGTCTTTGCTATCGTGAATACTGCTGCAATAAACATACGTGTGCATGTGTCTTTATAGCAGCATGATTCATAGTCCTTTGGGTATATACCCAGTAATGGGATGGCTGTGTCAAATGGTATTTCTAGTTCTAGATCCCTGAGGAATCGCCACACTGACTTCCACATTGGTTGAACTAGTCTACAGTCCCACCAACAGTGTAAAAGTGTTCCTATTTCTCCACGTCCTCTCCAGCACCTGCTGTTTCCTGACTTTTTAATGATTGCCATTCTAACTGGTGTGAGATGGTATCTCATTGTGGTTTTGATTTGCATTTCTCTGATGGCCAGTGATGATGAGCATTTTTTCACGTGTTTTTTGGCTGCATAAATGTCTTCTTTTGAGAAGTGTCTGTTCATGTCCAAACTTTCTTTTGATTCTGCACGTTGGAATCTCTGTTTCTGTAGAATCTACCAAGGAACATTTAGGAGCCCAATGAGGCCTATAGTGAAAAACCAAACATCCTCAGATAAAATCTAGAAAGAAGCTACGTTTGAAACTGTTTTTTAATGTGTGGATTCATCTCACATAGCTAATCCTATCTTTTGATTCAACAGGATGGAACACTCTTTTTGTAGAATTTGCAAAGGGACATTTGGAAGACTATTGAAGCCTATGTTAAAAAAACTGCATATTCCCAGATAAAAGCCAGGACAAATCTATCTGTGAAACTGCTTTTAATGTGTGGATTCATCTCACAGAGCTAATCCTATCTTTTGATTCAACAGGATGGAACACTCTTTTTGTAGAATTTGCAAAGGGACATTTGGGCGACTATTGAGGCCTATGTTAAAAAACTGAATATTCCCAGATAAAAGCAAGAACAAATCTATCCGTGAAACTGCTTTGTGATGTGAAAATTCATCTTACAGATTTAAACATTTCTTTTCATTCAGCAAGTTGGAAACCCTCTTATTGTAGAATGTGTGAGAGGAAATTTGCGAGTCCATTCAGGCCTATGGTGAAAAACTGATATCCCCAGATAAACACTAGAAAGAAGCTATCATTGAATTTTCTTTATGACATGTGAATTCCTCTCAGAGAGTCAAAACTCTCTTTTGATTCAGCAGGTTGGAAATATTCTTTTTGTAGAATCTGCAAAGGTATATTTGAAAGTCCGTTGTGGCCTACAGTAAAAAACCAAATATCCCCAGATAAAAACTCTAAAGAAGCTATCTGTGATACTGCTTTGTGATGTGTTGATTCATCACACAGAGTAAAAGCTTTTTTTTCATTCAACAGAATGGAAACAATCCTTTTGTAGTATCTGCGAAGGGACATTTTGGAGCCCATTAAGGCCTCTGGTGAAAAACCGAATATCTTCAGATAAAAATTAAAAAGATGTTTTCTGTGAAATTGCTTTGTGATGTTTGGGTTCATCTCACAGAGATAAATTCTTCTTAGATTCAGCAGGTTGGAAGCACTCTTTTAGCAGAATCAGCAAAGAAATATTTGAAAGAATATTGAAGACTATGGTGAAAAACTGAATATCCCCAGTTAAAAACCAGAGGGAGCTATTTGTGAAACTGCTTCATGAAGTGTGGATGCATCTAACAGAGTTAAAACTTTCTTTTGTTCAGTAGGTTGAAAACATTCTTTTTTTTAGAATGTATGAAGGGACTTTTGGGAGCCCATTGAGGCCTATAGTAAAAAACAAAATATCCTCAGGCAAAAACTAGAAAGAAGCTACCTGTAAAACTGCTTGGCATTCAGTGGATTCATCTCACAGAATTACACCTTTCTTTTGGTTCAGCAGGCTGGAAACACCCTTTTTGTAGAATCTGCTAAATGATATTTGGGGGACATTTGAGGCCTATGGTTAGAAAACAGAATATCAACAAATAAAATATAAAATGGAGCTATCAGTGAAACTACTTTGTGATGCGCGGATTCATCTCACAGAGTTAAAGCTTTCTTTTGTTTCATGAGGTGAGAAACACTCTTTTTGTAGAATTGGTGAAGGGACATTTGAAATCCTATTGAGGCCTATCATGAAAAAACAAATATCCTTACATGAAAACTAGAAACAATCTATTGGTGAAACTGCTTTGTGATGTGTAGATTCATTTCACAGAGTTAAACTTTTCTGTTGATTCAGCAGGTTGGAAACATTGTGTATGTATAATTTGTGAAGGGATATTTGGGAGACCATTGAAGCCTATGTTGAAAAACTGTATTTCCCCAGATAGAAACTAGAAAGATGTTATTTGGGAATTTGCTTTGTGATGTGTGGATTCATCTCACAGACTAAAACTTTCCTTTTGATTCAGCAAGTTAGAAACATTCTTTGCAGAATCTACAAAGGGACATTTGGGAGCTCACTGAGTCCTATGGTGAAACACCAAATATCCCCAGATAGAAAATGGAAAGTAACTATCTGTAAAACTGCTTAGTGATATGTGGATTCATCTTACAAATTTCAACTTTTCTTTTGATTCAGCAGCTTGAAAACACTCTTTTGTGGGTCCTGCAAAGGGGCATTTTGGATCCCATTGAGGTCTATTTTGAAAAAACGAATATTCTCAGATAAAACTAGAAAGAAGCCATCTGTGAAAATGCATAGTGATGTGTGGATTCATCTTGTAGAGCTAAACCTTTCTTTTGAATTAACAGGTTTGAAACACACATTTTGCAGAATCTTCAAAAAGACAATTGGGAGCCCCTTGATGTCTATGGTGAAAAAACAAATATTCCAAGAGAAAAACTAGAAGGAAGCTCTCTGTGAAATGGCTTAGTGATGTGTGGATTCATTTCACAGAGTTACACCTTTCCCTTGATTCAGCAGGTGGGAACACTCTTTTTGTAGAATATGTGAAGGGACATTTTGGAGCCCATTGAGGCCTATGGTGACAAACAGAATATCCTCAGATAAAAACTAGAAAGAAGTGATCTGTGAAACGGCTTTGTGATATGTGGATGCAGCTCAAAGAGCTAAACCTTTCCTTTGATTCAACAGCTTGGAAACTCTCTTTTTCTAGAATCTGCAAAAGGAGGTTGGGAATCTCATTTAGGCCTACAGTGAAAAATGGAATATAACCAGATAAAAACTGGGAAGAAACTATCCGTGAAACTGTCTTGTGATATGTGCATTCATCTCATGGAGTTAAACCTTTCCTTTGATTTAGCAGGTTGGAAACATTCTTTTTGTACAATCTGTGAAGGAACATTTGGGACCCCATTAAAGCCTAGGGTGAAAAACCAAATATCCCCAAATAAAAACTAGAAAGATGCTGTGTGTGAAACTGCTTTGTGATGTGTGGGTTCACCTCACAGAGTGAAACATTCCTTTTCATTCATTACGTTGGAAATACTCTTTTTGTAGAATCTGTGACAGGACATTTGGATGCCAATTAAGGCCTATAATGAAAAACCAAACAACCCCAGATCAAAATTAGAAAGCATCTATCTGTGAGACTGCTTTCTAATGTGTGCATTTATTTCTGAGAGTTAAACTTTTTTTTGGATTCAGTAGGATGGAAACTCTCTTTTTGTAGAATCTGTGAAGGAACATTTGAGAGCTTATTGAGGCCTATGGTTTAAAACCAAACATCCCCAGATACAAACTAGATAGAAGCTATCTGTGAAACTCTTTTGTGTGTATTTATTTATTTTACAGGGTTCAACATTTCTTTTGATTCCACAGGTGGGGAAACTCTCTTTTTGTGGAATCTGCAAAGGGACATTTGGGAGCCAATTGAGGCCTATGGTGAAAAACTTAAAATCCCCAGATAAAAACTAGAAAGAATGTATCTGTGAAACTTCTTTGGGTTGTGTGGGTTCATCTCTAAGAGTTAAACTTTTCTATTGATTCAGCAGGTTGGATACACTCTTTTTGTACAATCTGTAAAGGACATTTGGGACCCATTGAAGCCTGTAGTGAAAAACCAAGTATGCCCAGATAGAAACTAGAAAGAAGTTATCTGTGAAACTGGTTTGTGATTTGTTGATTCATCTTACAGGCTTAAACCTTTCTTTTGATTGAGAAATTCAGAAACACTTTTTTGGTAGAATATGCAAAGTGACATTTGGGAACCCATTGAGACCTATGGTCAAAAACCAAATATCCCCAGATGAAAACTAGAAAATTCTATCTGTGAAACTGTTTTTCTTGTGTATTCCTCTCACAGAGTTAAACCATTCTTTTGATTCATTAGGTTGGAAACACCTTTTTGTAGAATCTGTGAAGAGACATTTGGGAGCTCATTGAGGCCTGTGTTGAAAAACAGAATATCTCCAGATAAAAACTAGAGAGAAGCTATCTGTTAAACTGCTTATGAAGTGTGCATTTCTCTCACAGAGTTAAACCATTTTTCTGATTCAGCAGGCTGGAAACACTTTTTGTGTGGAATCTGTGAAGATTCCACAGATAGAAATAAACTACACAAATAGAAAGAAACTATCTGTTAAACTGGTTTGTTATGTAAGGATTTATCTCACAGAGTTCACCAGTTTTTTTACTCCGCAGTTTGGAAACAGTCTATTTGTAGCATCTGTGAAGGGTCGTTTGGGAGCCCATTGAGGCCTATGGTGAAAAACTGAAGAATCCCAGATAAAAACTAGAAAGAAGGTATCTGTGAAATTGCTTCATGATGTGTGGTTTCTTCTCAAAAAGAAAAACTTTCTTTTGATTCATCAGGCTGGAAACACAGTTTTTGTATAATCTGAAAAGAAGCATTTGGGAGCCCATTGAGTTCTATGGTGAAAAACCAAATATCTGCAATTAAAAAGTAGAAAGACGATATATGTGAAACTACTTTGTGATGTGTGGATTCATTTCAGTGTTAAACCATTCTTTTGATTTAGCAGGTCAGAAACACTCTTTTTGAAGTATATGCAAAGGAACATTTGAATGTCCATTGTGACATATGGTGAAAAACTAAATATTCCCAGATAAAAATTAGAAAGAAGCTGTCTGTTAAACTACTTTGTGATTTGTGGATTCATCTCACGGAATTAAACCTTTCATTTGATTCAGCAGGTTGGAAAAACTTTTTTGTAGAATCTGCGAAAGCAAACATTGAAAGCCCATTAAGGCCTAAAACAAAAAATTGAATATCCCCAGATAAAAACAAGACAGAAGCTATTGGTGAAATTGCTCTGTGATGCGTTAATTCATCTCACAGAGTTAAACCTTTTCTTTGATTCAGCAAGTTGGAAGCACTCTTTTTGTAGTATGTTTTTTTCTATTTTTTTCTTTTCTTTTTTTTTTTTTTGAGACAGAGTCTCACTTTGTAGCCCAGGCTGGACTTCAGTGGTGTGATCTCAGCTCACTGCAAGCTCTGCCAACTGGGTTCATGCCATTCTCCTGCCTCATCCTCCCAAGTAGCTGGGACTACAGGCACCCACCTCTAGAAAAAGCTGTCTGTGAACCTGCTTTGTGATACGTGTATTCATCTCTTATTGCCAAACCTCTAATTTGATTCAGGAGTATGGAAACCATCTTTTTTTGTATAATCTGTGAAGGGACAGTTGAAATCCCATTGAAGTCTATTGTAAAAAAGTGAACACACCTAGAAAAAACTAGAAAGAAACTATCTTTGAAACTGGTTTTTCATGTATGGATTCATCTCAGAGTTTACCCTCTCTTTTGATTCAGTAGGTCGAAAAACCTCTATCTGTAGAATCTGCAAGGGAACATTTGGGAGACCTTTACGGACTATGGGAAAAACTGAACATCCCCAGATAAAAACCAGAAAGAAGCTATTTGTGAAACTGCTTTGTGCTGTGTGTATTTATCTGACAGAGGTTAACCTTTCCTTTGATTCAGCAGATTGGAAATACATTTTTTTGTGGAATCTGTGAAGGAACATTTTGGAGAACTTTGAAGCCTACAGTGAAAAACTGAATATTCCTAGTTAAAAACCACAGTCAGCAAATGCACATTTTGGAGCCCAGTGGCGCTGACAGTGAAAAACTGAATTTCCCCAGTTAAAAACTATAATGAAGCTATCTGAGAAACTGCTTTGTGATGTGTAGATTCATTTCACAGAGTTAAACATTTATTTTGATTCAGCAGGTTGGAAACACCATTTTTGTATAATCTGTGAAGGGATATTTGGGAGTCCATTGAGGCCTATGGAGAAAAACTGAATATCTCCCAGTAAAAACTGGAAAGAGTCTATTTGTAAAACTGCTTTGTGAAGTTTGGATTAATCTCACAGAGTTAAACATTATTTTTGATTATCAGGTTGGAAACACTCTTTTTGTATAATCTATGAAGGGACATTGGAGCTCATTGTGGCCTATGGTGAAAAACAAGTACACCCAGATAAAAACTAGAGGTAAGTTTTCTGTGAAACTTGTTTGTCATGCTTGGAGTAATCTCACAGAATTTAACATTTATTTTGATTCAGCAGCTTGGAAAAATTCTATTTGTAGATTATGCAAAAGGATTTTGGGGAGCCCATTGTTTATTGTGAAAAACCAAACATCCCCAGATAAAAACTAGAAAGAAACTATATCTATGATACTGCTTTGTGATGAATAAATTCATCTCACAGAGTTAAACCTTTATATTGATTGAACAACTTGGAAACCCTTTTTTTGTAGTAAATGCAAAGAGACATTTGGGAGCCCACTGAGGCCTATGGTGAAAAACTGAATATCCCCAGATGAAAACTGGAAAGATCCTATCTGTGAAACTGCTTTGTGATGTGTGCACTCATCTCATAGAGTTAAAACTTACTTCTGATTAGCAGTTTGGAAACCCTCTTTTTGTACTAAATGCAAAGGGACATTTGGGAGCTTATTAAGGCCTATGGTGAGTAAACAAATATCCCCAGATAAAAACTAGAAAAAAGCTATCTGTGAAACTGTTAGTGATGTGTGGAATTATTCCACAGAGTTAATCCATTTTTTTGATTCAGCACTTTGGAAAAAGCATTTTGTAGAATTTGTGAACAGACTTTTGGAAGCCCATTGAGACTTCAAAAATAGAGTATCCCCAGGTAAAAAGTAGATATAAGCTTCTTAAAAACTGCCTTGTGATGAGTGAGTTCATCTCAGAGTGTTAAACTTTTAAATTGATTTAGCAGGATGAAAACAATCCTTTTTTGTAAAATCTGTGAAGGGACATTTGGGAGACCATTGAGGCTTTTGGTGAAAAACCCTATATCCCCAGATAAAAACTAGAAAGAAGCTATCTGTGAAAATGATTTGACATGTATGGATTCATCTCACAGAGTTTGCCCCTTATTTTGATTCAAAAGTTTGGGAAAACTATTTTCGTAGTAAATGCGAAGGGACATTTGGGAGCCCATTGAGACCTATGACGAAAAACCAAATATCCGAAGATAAAAACTGGAAAGAAGCTATCTGTGAAATTGCTTTTTCATGTGTGGATTCATCTCACAGAGTTAAACCTTAATTTTCATGAGCAGATTGGAAACACTCTTTTTGAACAATCTGCAAAGGAACATTTTGGATCCCATTAATGCCTATGGTGAAACACCAAATATTTCCAGATGAAAACTGGAGAGAAGTTATCTGTGACACTGCATTGTGATATGTGGATTCATCCCACAGAGTTAAATCTTGCTTTTGATTCAGCAGGTTGGAAACACCCTTTTTGTAGAATCTGCAAAGAGATATTTGAGAGCCAATTGAGGCCAATGGTGAAAAACCGATTATCCTCAGATACAAACCAGAAGAAAACTATCTGTAAAACTGGTTTGTGATGTGTGGAGTCATGTCACAGAGTTTAACTTTTTCCTTCATTCAGCAGGTTGTAAACACCTTTTTTGTAGAATCTGCAAAGGGACAATTGGAAGCCCATTGAGGCATACGGTAAAAAACAGAGTATCTCCACATAAAAAATAGAAAGGAACTATCTTTGAAACTGTTTTGTTATGTAAGGATTTATCTCACAGAGTTTACCAGTTTTTTTATTCAGCAGTTTGGAAACAGTCTATTTGTAGAATCTGCAAAGGGACATTTGGGAGCCCTTTGAGGCCTATGGTGAAAATCTGAATGTCCCCAGATAAAAATTAGAAATAAGCTCTCTGTGAAAGTGCTTTCTGAGGTGTGGATTCATCTCACAGGGTTAAACCTTTATTTTGATTCAACAGGTTGGAAACACTCTTTTATAGTAAATGCAAAGGAATATTTAGGAGTCCATGGAGGCCTAGGTTGAAAAACAAAATATCCCCAGATAAAAGATGAAAAGAAGCCATCTGTGAAACTGCCTTGTGATGTGTGGATTCATCTCACAGAGTTAAACTGTACTTTTTATTTTCAGGTCGGAAACACTCTTTTTTTTTAGAAACTACAGAGGGACATTTAGAATCCCATTGAGGCCTATGGTGAGGTACCGAGTGTTTCTAGATGAAAATTGGAAAGAAGCTATCTGAGAAACTGCTTGGTGATGTGTGGATTTACCCCACAGTGTTAAGCCTTTCTTTTAATTCAGCAGGCTGGAAACACACTTTTTTTTTTTTTTTTTGGAATTAGAACAATGCATGATTTGATATATTATTCTTAAAGTAATTTCATTTCTCAAGAATAAATTGATATAATCAGTATTTCAAGTACTTTGTGATTACTGTTCAATTTAAATTTAATTGTAGTGAGCATCATTGTTAGATTTTTTTTATTTTCTCCATTCTTTTTTCCATGGAGTTTCTATTTATTTATTTATTTATTTATTTATTTATTTATTTATTTATTTTTTATTGATCATTCTTGGGTGTTTCTCACAGAGGGGGATTTGGCAGGGTCATAGGACAATAGTGGAGGGAAGGTCAGCAGATAAACAAGTGAACAAAGGTCTCTGGTTTTCCTAGGCAGAGGACCCTGCAGCCTTCTGCAGTGTTTGTGTCCCTGGGTACTTGAGATTAGGGAGTGGTGATGACTCTTAATGAGCATGCTGCCTTCAAGCATCTGTTTAACAAAGCACATCTTGCACCGCCCTTAATCCATTTAACCCTGAGTGGACACAGCACATGTTTCAGAGAGCACAGGGTTGGGGGTAAGGTCACAGATCAACAGGATCCCAAGGCAGAAGAATTTTTCTTAGTACAGAACAAAATGAAAAGTCTCCCATGTCTACTTCTTTCTACACAGACACAGCAACCATCCAATTTCTCAATCTTTTCCCCACCTTTCCCCCTTTTCTATTCCACAAAGCCACCATTGTCATCTTGGCCCGTTCTCAATGAGTTCTTGGGCACACCTCCCAGACGGGGTGGTGGCCGGGCAGAGGGGCTCCTCAGTTCCCAGTAGGGGCGGCCAGGCAGAGGCACCCCTCACCTCCCAGATGGGGCAGCTGGCCGGGCGGGGGGCTGACTCCCCCACCTCCCTCCCAGGTGGGGTGGCTGGCCGGGCAGAGGGGCTCCTCACTTCCCAGTAGGGGCAGCCGAGCAGAGGCGCCCCTCACCTCCTGGATGGGGCGGCTGGCCGGGCGGGGGGCTGAGCCCCCCCACCTCCCTCCCGGATGGGGCGGCTGGCCGGGAGGGGGGCTGACCCCCCCACCTCCCTCCCGGACGGGGCGGCTGGCCGGGCGGGGGGCTGACACCCCCACCTCCCTCCCGGACGGGGCGGCTGGCCTGGCGGGGGGCTGACCCCCCCACCTCCCTCCCGGACGGGGTGGCTGCCGGGCGGAGACGCTCCTCACTTCCCAGACGGGGTGGCTGCTGGGCAGAGAGGCTCCTCACTTCTCAAACGGGGTGGCTGCCGGGCGGAGGGGCTCCTCACTTCTCAGACAGGGCGGTTGCCAGGCAGAGGGTCTCCTCACTTCTCAGACAGGGCGGCCGGGCAGAGGCGCTCCTCACATCCCAGATGGGGCGGCGGGGCAGAGGCGCTCCCCACATCTCAGATGATGGGCGGCCGGGCAGAGACGCTCCTCACTTCCTAGATGTGATGGTGGCCAGGAAGAGGCGCTCCTCACTTCCTAGATGGGATGGCGGCCGGGCGGAGATGCTCCTCACTTTCCAGACTGGGCAGCCAGGCAGAGGGGCTCCTCACATCCCAGATGGTGGGCGGCCAGGCAGAGACACTCCTCACTTCCCAGACGGGGTGGCGGCCGGGCAGAGGCTGCAATCTCGGCACTTTGGGTGGCCAAGGCAGGCGGCTGGGAGGTGGAGGTTGTAGCGAGCCGAGATCACGCCACTGCACTCCAGTCTGGGCACCATTGAGCACTGAGTGAACGAGACTCCGTCTACAATCCCGGCACCTCGGGAGGCCGAGGCTGGTGGATCACTCGCGGTTAGGAGCTGGAGACCGGCCCGGCCAACACAGCGAAACCCTGTCTCCACCAAAAAAATATGAAAACCAGTCAGGCGTGGAGGCGCGTGCCTGCAATTGCAGGCACTCGGCAGGCTGAGGCAGGAGAATCAGGCAGGGAGGTTGCAGTGAGCCGAGATGGCAGCAGTACAGTCCAGCTTCGGCTCGGCATGAGACGGAGACCATGGAAAGAGAGGGAGAGGGAGACCATGGGGAGAGGGAGAGGGAGAGGGAGTGGGAGAGGGAGAGGGAGAGGGAGTGGGAGAGGAAGAGGGAGAGAAGAAACACTCTTTTATTAGAATCTGTGAAAAGACATTTGCGAGCCCATTGAAGGCTATGGTGAAAAACAGAATATCTTCAGAAAAAACTAAAAAGAAGCTATCTGTGAAACTGCTTTGTGATGTGTGGGCTCAACACACAGATTTACAACTTCCTTTCAATTCAGCAGGTTGGAAACTTTTTCTTTGTGAAATCTGTGAATGCACATTCAGGAGACCTTTGTTTCCTATGGTGAAAAACCAAATATTTGCAGATAAAAACTGGAGAAAAGCTATCTGTGAAACTGCTTTGTTACGTGTGGATTTATCTCACAGAGTTAAATGTTACTTTTGATTAGCAGGTTGGAAACACTCTTCTTATAGAGACTGCAAAGGAACATTTTTGAGTCCATAGAGTCCTATGGTGAAAAACTGAGCATCCAAAGACAAAAACAAGAAATAAGTTATCTGTGAAACTGGCTTGTCATGTGTGGATTCGTCTCAGAAATAAACCATTCTTTTCATTCAACAGGTTGGAAACACTCTATTTGCAGACTCTATGAAGAGACATTTGGGAGCCTATTGGGACCTATGGTGAAAAACTGAATATCTACAGATAAAAACCAGAAAGAAGCTATCTTTGAAGCTGCTTTGTGATGAGTGGATTAATCTCACAGAATTAAAACTATGTTTTTATTTAACTGGTTGGAATCAATATTTTTGTAGTAAATGTGAAGGGACATTTCAGAGCTTCTTTAGGCCTATGGTGAAAAACCGAATATCCCCAGATAAAAACTGACAATAGGCTATTTGCAAAACTGGTTTGTCATGTGTGGATTCATCTCACAGATTTAATCCTTCCTTTTGATTCAGCAGGTTGAAAACTCACTATTTGTAGAATCTGTGAAGGGACAATTGGGAGCCCATTGAGGCCTATAGTGAAAAATGGAATATCTCCAGATAAAAACTAGAAAGAGGCTATCTGTGAAAATTCTTTGTGATGAGTGAATTCATCTCACAGAAATAAACCATTATTTTGATTCAAAAGTTTGGAAACACTCGTTTTGTAGAATCTGCAAAGGGACATTTGAGAGCCCATTGATTTCTATGATGAAAAAGAGAATATTTCAAGATAAAAACTGGAGAAAACTATCTGGGAAACTGCTTTGTGATGTGTGAATTTATCTCATAGAGTTAAGCCATACTTTTGATTAGACCCTCTCATTTTATAGATTCTGCAAAGCTACATTTGGGAGATTATTGAGGCCTAAGGTGAAAAACTGAATATCCCAAGATAAAAACTAGAAATTAGCTATTTGTGAAACTGGTTTGTCACGTGTGGATTCATATCACAAAGTTAATCATTTATTTCCATTCAGCAGATTGAAAACACTCTTTGTGTAGAATCTGCAGAGGGACATTTGGGAGCACATTGAGGCCTATTGTGAAAAACAGAATATTCCCAAATAGAAACTCAAAACAAACTATCTGTGAAACTGTTTTGTGATGAGTAAATTCACCTCACAGAGGTAAACCTTTATTTTGATTTAACAGGTTGGAAACCCTCTTTTTGTAGTAAAGGTGAAGGGACATTTGGGAGACCCTTTGAGGTCTATTGTGATAAAATGAATATCCCCAGATAAACACTGGAAAGAAACTGTCTGTGAAACTGCATTGTGATGTTTCAATTCATCTCACAGAGGTAAACCTTTTGATTAGAAAGTTGGAAACATTCTTTCTCTACAAGCTACGAAGGGACATTGGGAACCCAATTAAGCCTATGGTGAAAAACCAAATACTCACAGATAAAAACTAGAAAAAAGCTATATGTGAAACTTCTATGTGATGTATGGGTTCGTCTCACAGAGTTAAACCTTTTTTTTTTGATTCGGTAGGTTGTAAACACTCTTTTTGTAGAATCTGCAAAGGGATATTTGGGAGCCCATTGAGGCCTATCGTGAAAAACAGAATATCTTCAAATAAAAACTGGAGAGAAGCTATCTGTGAAACTGCTTTGTGACGTGTGGATTTATCTCACAGAGTTAAACCTTTCTTTTGATTCAGCAGGTTGGAAATACTCTTTCTGTAGAATCTATGAAGGGACATTTTGGAGCACATTGAGGCCTATGGTGAAAAAGCGAATATCCCCAGATAAAAACCAGAAAGAAGCAATCTGTGACACTGCTTGTGCTCTGTGGATCCATTCCACAAAGTTAAACGTTTCTTTTGATTCAGTAGGTTGGAAACACCCTTTTTGCAGAATCTGTGAAGGGACTTTTAGAAGCCCTTTGAGAAAGAGGGTGAAAAACCGAATATTCCCAGTTAAAAACTATAATCTGGGAAGGGTCATTTGGGAGCTTATTGGGGCCTATAGTAGAAAACCGAATATCCCAAGATAAAAATTAGAATGAAGCTATCTGTGAAACTGCTTTGTGATGTGTGGATTTATCCTACAGATTTTAACCTTTCTTTTGATTCAGCAGGTTGGAAACAGTCTTTTTCTAGAATATGTGAAGGGACATTTGGGAGCCAAAAGAGGCCTATGGTGAAAAACCAAATATCTCCATATAAAAACCAGAAAGAAGTGGCCAGGTGTGGTGGCTCATGCCTTTAATTCCAACACTTCAGCAGGCTGAGGTGGGTGGATCATGAAGTCAGAAGATCGAGACCTTCTTGGGAAACACGGGGAAACCCACCTCTACAAAAAATACAAAAAAAAATAGCCAGGTGTGGTGGCTGGCGTGTGTAGTCCCAGTTACTTTGGAGGCTGAGGCAGGAGAAAGTCGTGAGCCAAGATCTTGCCACTGCACTCCAGCCTGGGAGAAAGAGCAAAACTCCTAAAAAAAAAAAATACCTGGATAGAAGCTATCTGTAAAACTGCTTTGTGACATGTGTATTCATCTTAAACAGTTAAACTTTTCTTTTGATTAGCAGTTTGGGAACACTCTTTTTATAGTATCTCCAAAATTACATTAGGAAGCCCAATGAGGCCTATCATGGAAAATTGAATATTTCCAAATAAAAACTAGACAGAAATTATCTATTTTACTGCTTTGGGACGAGTGGATTCATTTCACAGAGTTAAACTGTTATATTCATTCAACAAGTTGGAAACACTCTTTTTGTAGTAAATGCAAAGGGACACTTGGGAGCCCTTTGGGACCTATGGTGGAAAACTGAATATCCCCTGATAAAAACTAGAAATCACCTATCTGTAAAACTGCTTTGTGCTGTGTGGATTCATCTCACAGTGTTAAACCTTTCTTTTCATTCAGCAGGTTGGAAACACACTTTGTGTAGAATCTGCGAAGGGACGTTTGGGAGCCCATTGAGGCCTGTGGTGAAAATCTGAATATCCCCAGATAAGAACTTGAAATAAACTATCTGTGTAACTGGTTTATTGTGTATGGATTCATCTAAAAGAGTTTACCCTTGTTTTTTATTCAGGAGGTTGGAAACCCTCTATTTGTAGAATATGTGAAGGGACATTTGGGAGCCCATTGAGGCCTATGGTGAAAAACTGAGTATTTCTAGATAAAAACTGAAAAGAAGCTATCTGTGAAAATGCTTTGTGATGAGTGGATTCATCTCACAGAGTTAAACCTTACTTTTGATTAGTAGTTTGGAAACCCTCTTTTTGTACCATCTGTGAAGGGATATTTGGGATCCCATCTAGGGCTATGGTGAAATAGCGAGTATTTCCAGATGAAAACTAGAGAGAAGCTATCTGCAACACTGCTTTGTGATGTGTGGATTTATCCCAAAAAGTTAAACCTTTCTTTTGATTCAGCAGGTTGAAAACACCCTTTTTGTGGAATCTGCAAAGGGACATTTAAGAGCCAATTGAGGGCAATCGTGAAAAAATGAATATTTCCAAATACAAACCAGAAAGAAGCTATCTGTGAAATTCCCTTGTGATGTGTGGATTCACGTCACAGAGTTTAACTTTTCCTTTGATTCAACAGGTTGGAAACACTCTTTTTGTTGAACCTGCCAGAAACATTTGGGAGAACTTTAGGGCCTACGGTGAAAACTCAAATATCACCAGATAAAAACAAGAAGGAATGTATATGTGAAACTGCTATGTGATGTGTGGATTCATCTCACAGAGTTAAACCTTTATTTTGATTCAGCAGGTTGGAAACACTCTTGTTTTGGAATCTGCAAAGGGACTTTTTGGAACCCATTGAGGCCTAGGGTGAAAATCCTAATATCCTCAAATAAAAACTAGAATGAAGATATCTATGAAACTACTGCAAGATTTGTGGATTGATCTCATAGAGTTAAAACTTTCCTCTGATTCAGCAGGTTGGAAACACTCTTTGTGTAGAATATACAAAGGGACATTTGGGAACACATTGAGGTCCATGGTAAAAACCAAAATATCCAAAGATTAAAACAAGAAATTAGGTATCAGTGACACTGCATTGTGATGCATGGATGCATTCCACAGAGTCAAACCTTTCTTCTGATTCAGCAGGTTGGAAACACCCTTTTTGCAGAATCTGTGAAAGGAAATTTTGGAACCCTTTGAGGAATATGGTGAAAAAAATGAATATTTCCTCTTAAAAACTAGAATTTGTGAAGGAATATTAGGGAATCTATTGGGGCCTATAGTAGAAAACTGAATATCCCCACATAAAAACCAGAAAGAAGCTATCTTTAAAATTGTTTGTGATGTGTGAATTCATCTCACAGAGTTAAATCTTTCTTCTGATTCAGGAGGTTGGAAACACTCTTTTTGTAGAATCTGTGAAGAAACATTTGGGAGCCAGTTGAGGCCTATGGTGAAAAACAAAATATCTCCATATAAAAGCTGGAAAGAATCAGCTGGTTGTGGTGGCTCAGGCCTGTAATCCTAGCACTTTGGGAAGTCAAGGTGGGCAGATCATGAAGTCAGGGAATCGAGACCACCCTGGCTAACATGGTGAAACCCGGTTTCTACTAAAGATACAAAAAATTTAGTTGGGTGTGTTGGCGTGTGGCTGTAGTCCCAGCTACTTTGGGGCCAGAGGCCAAAGAATGGCATGAACCCAGGAGGTCAGGAGGTGGAGCTTGCAGTAAGCTGAGATGCCATCACTGCACTCCAGCCTGGAAGACAGAGCAAAATTCCTACAAAAAAAAAAAAGAAAAAGAAAAGAAACAGGCTATCTGTGAAACTGCTTTGTGATGTGTGGATTCATCTCAAAGTGTTAAACCTTACTTTTAAATACTGGTTGGAAACAATCTTTTTATAGAATCTGTGAAGGGAAATTTGGGAGCCTTTTAGGCCTATCGTGAAAAATCAAATATCCCCCAATAAAAACGAGGAAGAAACTTTTGGGGAAGCCATCCCCACACCACTTGGCGGGTACCCCAAGTCCAGCAGAGACAAAGGAATTAGAAAGAGACAGAGTAAGTGTTTAAAAGGTAGATCCAGGGGACCGGAGCTCCAGAGGCTTGCTCATGGCCCAGAGCTCTTTGGCTGTGCCTAATGTATTGGTTTACAAGCTCTTTGTTCTTAGGACAGATGGGAGGGGAGGAAGGGATGAGGAAAATGATTAATCAGTGAAGGAGAACTCGTGAGTCATTCAATAAGATGTATAGCAGTGGCCGTTTCTGTGAATTTCTTTGAGCAAAGGCGTGTGTCTAAACTACTTAAGATCTGTAACTTACTGGCACTGAAAAGGGTGAGAGTGGGTTTCAGGAGGAGCCAAGATATTTGTTTATAACTCCACTGCTTCAAGGGAGTGTTATCTCCCTGAGCAACCTGTGGAATGCCACTGAGCGATTATGCTCTTGGGGCATAAAGACATGAGGGCAATAAGGAGACTTTTCTGTTCAGAGGCCACCCATGGCTCCCCATGGGTGTTTCACAGAGGGGAGACCAACTCATCTGGCAACCCAAAAACTCTCTTTCCCACATGTCCACTCTTTTTTTCTGTATTAACTTTTTTTGTTAATAACCGCCATTGCTATCATGGCTTGTTCACAGTGTCTGGCTTCTCCCAAAGGAGCCGTCAGCATCTGTAGACTAAAAACAAACAGCATAAACAGACACAAAACAAAATACAGTTTGCAATTGCTGATCCACTTTGGTTTTAATCCACTTTAAAGGATTGGTATTAGAAAGGTCATCAGTGACTCCTGCAAGAATATCAGCTCCAGGCAACAGGCTGAGATGAGCCTGAGGTGCCTAAAAAAGTTGTTTTTTTTCAGTTTAGCATTATCTAGTGTTAAATTGTCTTCTTTTCCTTGTAGGTGACGTCTAATCATCTCCTAGTGGTGTTCAATGGCATTGTAAGAGCTAGCAGTAATACAAAAATCAGAAGTATTCCAATCACATTGCATTTGAATTCTATGCTCTAAGCTCATAATCCGTTCTCCCATCCAAATTACTGTTTGACGGAGATTATTAATTTGATTTGCCAATTTTTGATCCATTTGGCTTTGGGAATTCCAAAGCTTAGAAGAATTTTTCTGCCAACTATCCACAAAGCCCACAGTTTGAATAGAAGAGTGCAAGGCAACACCAACAGCAGCAGCAGTAGTTGTGACAGTTATGAGTCCCATGATCACAGCTATTAAAGTAAATATGAAACTCTTTGATCTATTAAGTATTCCTTTTAGTACTTCAGTGACAATATGGAGGGAGAGGCCTCCCAAGGTCTATTTAGGGAAACAGGTATCCAAACTCCTTCTCGGGCCCTAATCGGTAAAATGCTACTATCTTTATTAAAGGTAGAATTAATGCAGGTAAAAAGATGACAGTTGAGTCATGATATGGTTTGAGAATCAGGTAGGATATTAATCCTTCCCACTGCCAACATAAAAGGAGGTTTAACACAACTATGCAATGGGACCATCTGATTAGAGGTCATGGCTACAACAAATCGCACTTTTTTTACTATGGATCTCTGTTTTATATTTTCCTCTCCAAATCTGAATTGGGGTTTGGGCCATCATTAATTTTTACAATTCTGGATGTTCTGGACTTATAATTGGATCAATCGTTTTTGGGCTTGGAGGAGCCATGCCCTTCTCCTCCCACTTAATAGGGTAATTTGTTTCAATTCTTCTATAAAATTTTGGTACATTATCCGGGTAGTTGTTTACAAAAGGAGTCTCTCTACAGTCTTCACGCTGTCCAGTACAAGTTACTGCAAAGTGTCCCGTAGGGGCCCAATCAATGATGATTCCAAAGGATTTGTTTTGCAGTACAGCAGTGCTGTTTGCAATACAATCTTCCCAGGTTAACACCTCTAGATTTTCAGACCATTTAGTGGCCTGCCTAGGGCCGTGATTCTTATTAGGTTTAAATTTACTAATCTGGTGTTGTGTCATAACATAGCCATGCTCAAGGTATTTAATAGTGTACACAGAGTGAAATGTTCTTCCACTGATTACATCAATAGAGGTTTTTGATCCATTATGTGCAGGAACATAAACCATCCAACTTTGTTTATCATAATTTAAACATCCTGCTGCTGGCCCCAGGCAGATGGGAGGAAAGTGATAACCAATGGAAACATTCATCAACATTCCTTCCTCCTCTGGATGAGTAGGACCTCAGTTATCTGTTGGTTCCGGCATCCAGACACTATCACTAACGTGAACCTGCACTGGGGGGTCTAACCATGTAAAAAGCCTAATCAGTGGTGGGAATGGAATGTAGGCCTAATAAGTGTAATTTTGGTCTGCCTCAGCTATGGGGAGACTCACCACCAGGGAGATTATTACAAGCATAGCTACCATTAGATTACTGGTTGTCAGAAGCTTGTTCTGAGACCTCAGTTTCTCTTCTGCAATGTGAGATAGTCTTTTCATCTGACCCCAAGTCGGTGGAGTAGCTTGGTGAGCTTTACTGGTTTCCATCTGCTCAACAGAGATGTTCATCTGAGCCATCTGATGAACTGGGGATGCAAGGATGTTCCGAGGTATTTTCCTCTTCCTTGGATTCTAGCTCATGGCACAGCTTAAGATGTTTTGTGGGTACCCTGAAAGGAAGCTAATTCTCTTCTTGTGAGACAAGCAAACTGGACCTCATGTAAAGATTTTGCCCTTTTCCCAGGTTTTGGTTCTGACGTCCTTCCACCACACGTTTTCCTTCATGAGGATTTATTTTTTGCCCTGTCAAATGCTGCTCTGCTTCCATTGTAACCTGACTTCTAGACAAATTCAAAAAATTTGAAGTGATAAGAGCCAACTGCACCTGCATATGGGGAGTAGAGTCTTCTCTGGTTCCCCCTTCTGTCTCTTGTTTTTGTAATTGAGATGTTAAGGTTCGATTATCCCATTCAACAATGGCTTGGCCTTGAGAATTATAGGGTATTCCAGTACTGTGCTCAATGTGCCATTGTGGACAGAATGCTTGTAAAGATTTACTATGGTAACCTGGGCCATTGTCTGTTTTAATCTTTTGGGGGATGCTTATGGCAGCGAAACAAGAAAAAGTAAATGTATTTTAACATGAGCAGCTGTCTCACCTGTTTGGTAAGTTGCCCAAACAAAATGAGAAAAAATATCTATAGTAACATGGATGTATGAAAGTTTCCCGAATGAAGGTACATGGGTTACATCCATTTGCCACAACATATTGGAGATAACCGCTGTGGGTTAACACCAGTCCCTTCATGTGGCAGTTGTACCTGGCACTGAGGGCAATGTAGCACAATGTCTTTTGCCTGCCTCCAAGTAATTTGATATTTTTATTTAAGTCCTGCTGCATTAACATGTGTTAGGGTGTGAAAATCTTGGGCATTAGTAAGCACAGTGGAAACTAGTAAATCAGCTTGATCGTTAGCCCTTACAAGGGACCCAGAAAGATTACTGTGTGCTTGAATGTGCATAATATAGAAAGAAAAACAGTGATCATGCACTGCC
The DNA here is from genome assembly GCF_000001405.40 of Homo sapiens. Classification (NCBI taxonomy): domain Eukaryota; kingdom Metazoa; phylum Chordata; class Mammalia; order Primates; family Hominidae; genus Homo; species Homo sapiens. The sequence continues at coordinate 43,697,562 of NC_000008.11, forward strand.
TTTTGTAAAAAAGAAAACAGCTTATACAGTTGTTCATCCACAAAATATTTAATGAGTGTGGTTTCTATGTATTGAGTGGCTTGGACAACATAGGCTGAATCAGAGACAATATTTACAGGTTGTTTAAAATCTTCTAACACAGGTATAACTGTCTGTAATTCAGCCCTCTGTGTCGACTGAAAGTCAGTTTGGATAATTCAGTTTTTAGGTCCTACATAAGCTGCTTTTCCATTGCTAGAGCCGTCTGTAAACACAGTCACTTCTCTTTCCAATGGAGCACTATGGGTAATTTTTGGCAGGACCCATGTTATTAGCTTTAAAAACTGAAACATTTTGTCTTTTTGATAATGATTGCTAAGAACTCCAATGAAGACAGCTAAATTTATTTGCTAATTGACCGAATTAAAAACGACTTGCCAAATCTGATTTTTGTTCATTGGAACTGTAATCTTATCTGGATCTGAGCCACAAAGTTGAACAACTCTAAGGCGAGCTTGCCCAGTCAAGATACCGGGCTGATCCAAGTATACTGTGAGTGTTCTGACAGTATTGTGAGACAGAAAAGACCATTCAACTAAGTCTTCACTCTGAACTATAACCTCTGTAGGTGAATGGAGAATAGGGAACACAATGAACTGTAATGGTAAACTTGAGTCTATTCTATTAACCTGGGCCTGTTTTATTTTTCCTTCAATCATTTGTAATTCTTTGGCAGCCTCAGGAGTCAGTTCTCATTTACTATTGAGAGCAGGGTCTCCTCTTAAAATAGAGAACAGATTAGACATGGCATAGATAGGGATCCCCAAAGTAGGTCGAATCCAATCGACATCCCCTAATAATTTTTGAAAATCATTTAAAGTTTTTAGAGAGTCTTTTCGAATTTGAACCTTTTGGGTTTAATTGCCCTTCCCTGAACCTGCATTCCCAAATATTGGAAAGGAGTGGCCATTTGAATTTTATCTGGTGCTCTGAGCAATCCAGCTTTGGCTACAACTTCCTGTAAATAGGAATAACACTGGATAAGTTGGTCTCGATTTTCTGCCGCACACAGAATGTCATCCCTATAATGAATGATATACGAATCTGGAAACTGATCTCTCACAGGTTGAATAGCCTTCCACACAAAAGTTTGACAAATAGTAGGATTATTCAACACACCCTGCAGCAGGACTTTCAAATGATATCTGGCTGCTGGTTCCTTGTTGTTCATAGCAGGAATAGTAAAAGCAAATTTCTCAAAATCAGACTCTGCTGGAGGAATATTAAAAAAGCAGTCCTTCAAATCTATAATATTAATAGCCAGTTTCTAGGAATCATGGTGGGGGATGGAAGCCCTGGCTGCAGGGACCCCATCAGCTGGATGACTGCACTGACTGCTTGTAAGACGGTTAGCATGCGCCATCTACCAGATTTTTTGTTTATTACAAGCACCAGCAAATTCCATGGAGAAATTGTGGGCTCAATGCTTCCTTTGTTTAATTGCTCTTTGACTAATTCTTGTAGGGCCCCCAATTTTTCCTGAGAAAGCAGCTGCTGTTCGGCTCAAACATGATTTTGGGTCTTCCATTTTAAGGGAATAGGACTTGGAGGCTCAACAGTGACTGCCCCTAAAAATGGTAACCCAATCCTTTTTGGTCATTTTTTACAGTAACCTATATGGGTTCAACAATGCCCATCTCCTGTTTTCCTAGGCCTTTTCTGGGAACATAGCCCACGTTTGACATTATTTTTTGACTAGCTTGACTGTACTGGGGAGAAGGGATTGAAATTCCTGTGCCCCATTGCTGAAGTAGATCTCTCCCCCATAAGTTAACAGGAGTGGGCATAATTAGAGGTTGTATTGTGCCTTCCTGTTCTTCTGGACCAAGACAAGGTAAGATAAACTTCTGAAGCAGTTCTGACTCCAAAAAGACCCACCAGGGCCTTTTCTTTGGGCCAGTTTTTTGGCCATTGATAAAGAGCTATGATAGAAACGTCTGCTCCAGTGTTGACCAGAACTTCAAATTGTTTTCCTTGAATAGTGTCCATACAAATAAGTCTATTGTCAGAGACTTGATTTACCCAATAGCAGCATTGTCTGCTGAATTTGTGCTTCCAAATCCTCCTGTTCTTTTTTTCTGAGCTTTCTCCTAACTTAACATACAGTAAAAGCAAGAGTTGAGTGATTCTCTCACCTGGATTAGCACTCCAGGGAACAGTGGAGGAAGTAACAATTTGAATTTCTCCCTGGCAATCACAGTCCACTACTCCAGTATGTACTTGAATTCCCTTTAAGTTTAAGCTGGACCTTCCTTGTATAAGTCCCAGAGTGCCGTTTGGCAATGGGCCATAAATTCCTGTTGGGACCTTCCTAAGAGGCTCCCCAGGAAGGAGGGATATGGTTTTGATACAGCATAAATCTACTGCATCGCTTCTAGCTGTGGACGGGGACAATTGCTGTACATTTGTACAGGGATAGACTGGGCTGGGAACACTCCATTTGGAGTTGGGGGCATCCCATCCTGAATTGGGAATGCCCCATTTTGAATTAGGGCCTGAGGCTGGCCCCTCTCTCCATTTCCTGGCAAGGGCTATCTGCTGTTATCAAACTTTGAATGACATTGATTAGCCCAGTGCTTTCCTTTTTTACATCTGGGACAGGTACCTGGTTCCCTGCTTTTTCCTCCTGAGTTTTTCCTTTTTTGGCTATTTGCACACTCTCTTTTTGTATGTCCTATCTGTCCACAATTATAGCAAGATCCAGGGAACACTCGTGTGTTTTTTGTTACCTTTAGTCTAGCCATTGCCTGAGCAAGCAGGCTGACCTTATATAAGGGCCCTCCAGTGCCATCACAGGCTTTAATGTATTCACTTATTTTCCTCATTTAGATCTGCCTTTCCCTTAATAGGTCTAATTGCTGCCTGACATTCTATATTAGCATTTTCATAAGCAAGCAGCTGAATGATCACTTTCCTGGCATGAGAATCCAAAATAGACTTTCGAGTCACGTCTTGCAAATGGGCGATAAAATCTGGATAACTCTCCCTTGGGCCCTGCTGAACTGAGTTAAAAGAAGGATTAGTAGTACCAGGGTCGTCAATATTTTCCTAGGCTCTTAAGCATATAGTTCTGAGCTGATCAATAGCCTCATCCCCCATTGCCATCTGTTGATTTAGAGCACCCCATGCCTGTCCGATTCCAAGCAATTGATCAGGTGTGATATTAATGGGAGGTTGGGCTTGAGCATTTCTGCATGCCTGATTTGTTGCTTCATCCATCCACCAGGTTTTAATTTGGAGAAATTAAGAGGGGGACAGGGTGGATCAGGCTAATGATTCCCAATCGGTAAGTATTAAATGCCTGTTAAAAGGCACAGATTTTAACAAGGAATTAACATAAGGAGAATTTGGCCCACACTGTTTAATTGCTAGCTCTAAGTCTTTTAATATTTTAAAAGCAAATGTCTCCTGGCATTCTTGAGAATGTTCTCAAGGCTTCTCAGCTGGAGAATTAATTACTGGAAACTGCCAAGCATCCAAATCCCCCATTTCTCATGCCTGGCAAATGGATGCCTGAATTGTGCCTGTGCCATAATTTGTATTTGGACTGGCTCACAGCATTCCGCTATGATAATTAACAGGCGGACAAGCCTGGATCATTCCCTTACTGTAATTGGCTCTTGGGCAAGCCTGAAGCTTCCCTTCACCATAATTAATGGTGGGGCATGCAACAATGGGAGTGGCAAGTCGCATCTCAGACTCCCGTTCCAAAAATTCATAAGATTGAAGTGGGGGTGGTCATTCAGGACCTTCCCCTAAAGGAGCAGTAGGTGGCACTCTTTCTGCAGTAAGTGGAATTGTTTCTTTGATAAGTTTTTGGAAGTTAGCATATATAGCTTCCCATTTCTCCTCCTTTTTAAAAGTAGACTGTGATGGTTCACTTTGCTGATCATCAGACTCCTGATTATTAAACTTTTCTGTTATCCTGAAACTTCTCCTCCTCCTCCTCAGTGTGGAAGGGCTCCACTGCTGTTTTAATTGCTGACCACAAAGACCAAGCAGAGAAGGGAATATCATGGCGCTCTTGTGCTCCTTTTAAGGCTGATCCGAACTTGTCCCAATCTTTTATGTTCATCATTCCATATTTCAGGAACCAAGGAGAATACTTTTCTATGAGATGGAACTAAGATGTGAGGTTTTGGATACTCACAATTACCCCTCTGCAGTGCAATAACTGCCACACCAGGCATAAGTAATTAGCAAACTTACTGTGAGCCTGACCCATATTTTTCCGACATTACCATGGAATTCTCTGAGCTCCCTACTTACCCATAGAGCTTGAAGTGAAAAAGTACTCTGGCATCCTTTGTCACTCGTCCTCCACTTTCCACACTCTGCCGTTCCTTCACCGGATTATTTGTAGAGATTACAGGGAGCCCCATGTTGGGCAACGGATGTTGGGGAAACCACCCCCACACCACCCGGTGAGTACCCCAAGTTCAGAAGAGTCAAAGGAGTTGGAAAGAGACAGAATACGGGTTTAAAAGGCAGATCAAGGGGGCAGGAGATCCAGAGGCTTCCTCAAGGTCCAGAGCTCTTTGGCTCTGCCTAATTTATTGGTTTACAAGCTCTTTGTTCTTAGGACAGATGTGAGGGGAGGAAGGGAAGAGGAAAAGGGTTAATCAGTGAAGGAGAACTTGTGAGTCATTCAATAAGATGTATAGCAGTGGCCGTTTCTGTGAATTTCCTTGAGCAAAGGCATGTGTCTAGACTACTTAAGATCTTTAACTTATGGAGACTGAAAAGGGTGAGAGTGGGTTTCAGGAGGAGCCAAGATATTTGTTTATACTTCACTGTTTCAAGGGAGTGTTATCTCCCTGAGCAACCTGTGGAATGCCACGGAGCAATTATGCTTTAGGGGCATAAAGACATGAGGGCAACAAGGAGACTTTTCTGCTCAGAGACCACCCATGGTCTCTCACATAGGTGTCTCACACAGGGGAGACCATCTCATCTGGCAGCCCAGAAACTCTCTTTCCCAAAGAAACTATCTAGGATACTGCCTTCTGATGAGTGGATTCATCTCACAGAGTTAAACCTTCATGTTGATTCAACAAGTAACAAGTTGGAAACACTGTTTTTGCAGTAAATGCGAAGGGACATTTGGGAGCCCTTTGGGGCCTATGGTGAAAAATTGAATATCCCCAGAAAAAAGCTAGAAAGAAGCCCATCTGTAAAACTGCTTTGTGATGTGTGGAATTATGCCACAGAGTTAAACCATTCTTCTAATTGAGCAGGTTGGAAATATCATTTTGTAGAACCTGCAAAAAGATATTTGGGTGCCCCTTGAGGCTTACGGTGAAAAACTGAATATCCCCAGAAAAAAATAGAAGCAAGCTGCTTGTAAAACTGCTTTTGGATGTGTGGATTCATTTCACAGCTTTAAACTTTTCCTATGATTGAGCAGGTTGGAAACACCCTTTTTGCAGAATGTGTGAAGGGACATTTGGGAGTACTTTGAGGCCTATGGTGAAAATCCGAATATCCCAAGATAAAAACTAGAAAGAGACTATCTGTGAAACTGGTTTGTTTTGTATCATCTCACAGTGTAGATCCTTTTTTTTATTTAGCACGTTGGAAACACTATTTGTACAATCTGTGAAGAAATATTTGGGAGCCCGTTGAGGCCTATGGTTAAAAACCGAATATCCCCAAGAAAAAACTAGAAATAAGCTATCTGTGAAACTGCTTTCTGACGTGAGTATTCAACTCACAGATTTAAACTTTATTTTGATTCAACAAATTGAAAACACTGCTTTTGTAGTAAATGCGAAGGGACATTTAGAAGCCCATTGATGCCTATAGTTAAAAAATAGAATGTCCTTAGGTAAAAACTGAAAAGAAGCTATCTGTGAAACTGCCTTGTGGTGTGTGGAAATCACAGAGTTAAAACTTCTTCTGATTAGCATGTTGGAAACACGCTTATTTTAGAATCTGCAAAGGGACATTTAGAATTCCACTGAGGCCTATGGTGAAATACCGAGTATCCATAGTTGAAAACTAGAAAGAAACTATCTGTCGAACTTCTTTGTGATGTGTGGATTTATCCCATAGTATTACACCTTTCTTTTGATTCAGCAGTTTGGAAACACTCTTTTTTTAGGCTCCATGAAGGTAAACTTGGGAGCCTATTGAGGCCTATCATGAAAAACCAAATATCTTCAGAAAAAAACTAGAAAGAAGCTATCTGTATACTGCTTTGTGATGTGTGGATTCTCTCACCAAGTTAAAAATTTCTTTTGATTCAGTAATTTGGAAACACTTTTTTTTTTTGTAAAATCTGCGAATAGACATTTAGGAGCCTTTGAAGCCTATGGTAAAAAAACAAATATTTACAGATAAAAACTGAAGGAAAGCTGTCTGTGAAACTGATTTGTGATGTGTGGATTTATCTCACAGAGTTAAATGTCACTTTTGATTAGCAGGTTGGAAACACTCTTCTTATAGAATCTGCAAAGGGGCATTTGTGAGCCCATTGAGGCCTATGGTGAAAAACAGAATATCCCCAGATAAAAAATAGAAAGAAGCTATCTTTGAAACTGCTTTGTGATGCGTGGATTCATCTCACAGAAGTAAACCTTTATTTCTTTCAACAGATTGGAAACACCCTTTCTGTAGTAAATGAGAAGGGATATTTTGGAGCCCCTTGAAATCTAAGATGAAAAACAGAATATCCCCAGATAAAAACTAGAAATAAGCAATCTGTGAAACTGGTTTGTAATGTGTGAATTCATCTCACAGAGGTAAGACTTACTTTAAATTAGCAGGTTTGAAACACTCTTTTTAGACAATTTGCAAAGGGACATTTGGGAAGCCATTGAGGCCTAAGGTGAAAATTCAAACATCCCAAGATAAAAACAAGAAATAAGTTATCTGTGAAACTGGTTTGCCATATGTTGATTCATCTCACAGAATTAAACATTTCTTTTGATTGAGCAGTTTGTAAACACTCTTATTGTGTAATTTGTGAAGGGGCATTTGGGAGCCCTTTGAGGCCTATTGTGAAAAATTGACTATCCCCAGATAGTAACTCGGGAGAAGCTATCTCTGAAACTGGTTTGTGATGAGTGAATTTATCTCACAGAGATACAGCTTTATTTTGATTCAACAGGTTGGAAACCTCTTTTTTTGTCAAGAATAAATTCTTTAATAGAAAGATGTAGACATATATGCACAAGAAACAACAGCAAACAGGAAACCATAATCTCTCCAAATGGGCAAAGCAAAAAACCAGTAACTGACCCCATTGATATGGCTATATGTAAGCTGTCTAACCATGAATTCAAAGTAGTAGTTTTTTTCATGAAAATAAATTTAATCTTAACCCCTTAAGAGGATCTCAGGAAGAGGGGATCCTAGGACCACACTTAGACTTGATGTTCTAGGAAAATACAATTTACAAAAAATATATAATTTTTCAACAAAAAAACTTCAGACCAATTTTACTTATGATTAAGAATGGAAAATTTTTAAATAAAATAACCAATAGCATATTAAACAAACAACATGATCAACAAGACTCATTCCAGAATGAAAGAATCCTTCAATATTAGGAAATCTGTTAATGTATTTTTTTAAAATTTTATTATTATTATACTTTAGGATTTAGGGTACATGTGCACAATATGCAGGTTGGTTACATATGTATACATGTGCCATGTTGGTGTGCTGCACCAATTAACTCGTCATTTAGCATTAGGTATATCTCCTAATGCTATCCCTCACTGCTCCCCCCACCCCACAACAGTCACCAGTGTGTGATGTTCCCCTTCCTGTGTCCATGTGTTCTCATTGGTCAATTCCCACCTATGAGTGAGAAAACGCAGTGTTTGGTTTTTTGTCCTTGTGATAGTTAGCTGAGAATGATGGTTTCCAGTTTCATCCATGTCTCTACAAAGAACATGAACTCATCATTTTTTATGGCTGCATAGTATTCCATGGTGTATATGTGTCACATTTTCTTAATCCAGTCTATCGTTGTTGGACATTTAGGTTGGTTCCAAGTCTTTGCTATTGGGAATAGTGCCACTATAAACATACGTGTGCATGTGTCTTTATAGCAGCATGATTTGTAATCCTTTGAGTATATCCCCAGTAATGGGATGGCTGGGTCAAATGGTATTTCTAGTTCTAGATCCCTGAGGAATTGCCACACTGACTTCCACAATGGTTGAACTAGTTTACAGTACCACCAACAGTGTAAAAGTGTTCCTATTTCTCCACATCCTCTCCAGCACCTGTTGTTTCCTGACTTTCTAATGATTGCCATTCTACCTGGTGTAAGAAGGTATCTCATTGTGGTTTTGATTTGCATTTCTCTGATGGCCAGTGATGGTTAACATTTTTTCATGTGTTTTTAGTCTGCATAAATGTCTTCTTTTGAGAAGTGTCTGTTCATATCCTTTGCCCACTTTTTGATGGGGTTGTTTGTTTTTTTCTTGTAAATTTGTTTGAGATCATTGTAGATTCTGGATATTAGCCCTTTGTCGGGTGAGTAGATTGCAAAACTTTTCTCCCATTCTGTAGGTTGCCTGTTCACTCTGATAGTAGTTTCTTTTGCTGTGCAGAAGCTCTTTAGTTTAATTAGATCCCATTTGTCAATTTTGGCTTTGGTTGCCATTGCTTTTGGTGATTTAGAAATGAAGTCCTTGCCCATGCCTATGTTCTGAATGGTATTGCCTCGGTTTTCTTCTAGGGTTTTTATGGTTTTAGGTATAACATGTAAGTCTTTAATCTATCTTGAATTAATTTTTGTGTAAGGTGTAAGGAAAGGATCCAGTTTCAGATTTCTGTAATTATGCAGCATTAATTCTGAGGGCTCTGTTCTGTTCTTTTGGTCTATATCTCCATTTTGGTACCAGTACCATGCTGTTTTGGTTACTGTAGCCTTGTAGTATAGTTTGAAGTCAAGTAGCGTGATGTCTCCAGTTTTATTCTTTTGGCTTAGGATTGACTTGGCAATGCGGGCTCTTTTTTGGTTCCATATGAACTTTAAAGTAGTTTTTTCCAATTCTGTGAAGAAAGTCATTGGTAGCTTGATGGGGATGGCATTGAATCTATAAATTATCTTGGGCAGTATGGCCATTTTCACGACATTGATTCTTCCTACCCATGAGCATGGAATATTCTTCCATTTGTTTGTATCCTCTTTTATTTCCTTGAGCAGTGGTTTATAGATCTCCTTGAAGAGGTCCTTCACATCCCTTGTAAGTTGGATTCCTAGGTATTTTATTCTCTTTGAAGCAATTGTGAATGGGAGTTAACTCATGATTTGGCTCTCTGTTTGTCTGTTATTGGTGTATGAGAATGCTTGTGATTTTTGCATATTGATTTTGTATCCTGAGACGTTGCTGAAGTTGCTTATCAGCTTGAGGAGATTTTGGGCTGAGACAATGGGGTTTACTAGATATACAATCATGTCATCTGCAAAGAGGGACAATTTGACTTCCTCTTTTCCTAATTGAATACCCTTTATTTCCTTCTCCTGCCTGATTTCCCTGGCCAGAACTTGCAACACTATGTTGAATAGGAGTGGTGAGAGAGGGCATCCCTGTCTTGTGCCCGTTTTTAAATGGAATGCTTCCAGTTTTTGCCCATTCAGTATGATATTGGCTGTGGGTTTGCCATAGATAGCTCTTATTATTTTGAGATACGTCCCATCAATACCTAATTTATTGAGAGTTTTTAGCATGAAGTGTTGTTGAATTTTGTCAAAGGCCTTTTCTGCACCTATTGAGATAATCATGTGGTTTTTGTCTTTGGTTCTGTTTATATGCTGGATTACATTTATTGATATGTGTATGTCGAACCAGACTTGCATCCCAGGGATTAAGCCGACTTGATCATGGTGGATAAGCTTTTTGATGTGCTGCTGGATTTGGTTTGCCAGTATTTTATTGAGGATTTTTGCACCAATGTTTATGAAGGATATTGGTCTAAAATTCTCTTTTTTGGTTGTGTCTCTGCCAGGCTTTGGTATCAGGATGAATCTGGCCTCATAAAATGAGTTAGGGAGGATTCCCTCTTTTTCTATTGATTGGAATATTTTCAGAGGGAATGGTACCAGCTCTTCTTTGAAACTTTGTCCTGGACTTTTTTTGGTCAGTAAGGTACTGAATATTGCCTGAATTTCAGAGCCTGTTATTGGTCTATGCAGAGATTCAACTTCTTCCTGGTTTAGTCTTGGGAGGATGTATGTTTTGAGGAATTTATCCATTTCTTCTAGATTTTCTAGTTTGTTTGCATAGAGGTGTTTATAGTATTCTCTGTTGGTAGTCTGTATTTCTGTGAGATCTTTGGTGATATCCCCTTTATCATTTTTTATTGCATCTATTTGATTCTTCTCTCTTTTCTTCTTTATTAGTCTTGCTAGTGGTCTATCAATTTTGTTGATCCTTTCAAAAAACCAGCTCCTGGATTCATGTACTTTTTGAAGAGTTTTTTGTGTCTCTATTTCCTTCAGTTCTGCTCTGATCTTAGTTATTTCTTGCCTTCTGCTAGCTTTTGAATGCATTTGCTCTTGCTTTTCTCATTCTTTAATTGTGATGTTAGGGTGTCATATTTAGATCTTTCCTGCTTTCTCTTGTTGGCTTGTAGTGCTCTAAATTTCCCTCTACACACTGCTTTGAATGTGTCCCAGAGTTTCTGGTATGTTGTGTCTTTGTTCTCATTGGTTTCAAAGAACATCTTTATTTCTGCCTTCATTTCGTTATGTACCCAGTAGTCATTCAGGAGCAGGTTGTTCAGTTTCCATGTAGTTGAGCGGTTTTGAGTGAGTTTCTTAATCCTGAGTTCTAGTTTGATTGCACTGTGGTCTGATAGACAGTTTGTTATAATTTCTGATCTTTTACATTTGCTGAGGAGAGCTTTACTTCCAACTATGTGGTCAATTTTGGAATAGGTGTGGTGTGGTGCTGAAAAAATGTATATTCTGTTGATTTGGGATGGAGAGTTCTGTAGATGTTTATTAGGTCTGCTTGGTGCAGAGCTGAGTTCAATTCCTGGGTATCCTTGTTAACTTTCTGTCTCATTGATCTGTCTAATATTAACAGTGGGGTGTTAAAGTCTCCCATTATTATTGTGTGGGAGTCTAAGTCTCTTTGTAGGTCACTCCAGACTTGCTTTATGAATCTGGGTGCTCCTGTATTGGATGCATATATATTTAGGATAGTTAGCTCTTCTTGTTGAATTGATCCCTTTACCATTATGTAATGGCTTTCTTTGTCTCTTTTGACCTTTGTTGGTTTAATGTCTGTTTTATCAGAGAGTAGGATTGCAACCCCTGCTTTTCTTTGTTTTCGATTTTCATGGTAGATCTTCCTCCATCCCTTTATTTTGAGCCTATGTGTGTCTCTGCACATGAGATGGGTTTCCTGAATGCAGCACACTGATGGGTCTTGACTCTTTATCCAATTTGCCAGTCTTTGTCTTTTAATCCAAAGGAAACCTCTTTTCATAGTAAATGTGAAGAAACATTTGGAAGCCTGTTGAGGCCTACAGTGAAAAACCGAATATCCCTTGGTAAAAACTAGAAAGAAGCTATCTGTGAAATGCTTTGTGATGTGAGGGTTCATCTCACAGAGGTAAACCTTCTTTTGATTAGCAGGTTGAAAACCCTCTTTTTGTAGAATCTGCGAAGTGACATTGGGAGCCCAATTAACTTTATTGTGTAAAACCAAACATCCCCAGATGAAAACTAGAAAGTAGCTAACTGTAAAACTGCTTTGTTATGTGTGGATTCATCCAACAGAGTTAAACCTTTCTTTTGATTGAGCAGGTTGGATACACTTTTTTTTTTGTAGAATCTGTGAAAAGACATTTGGGAGCCTATTGAGGTCTATGGTGTAAAACAGTATATCCCCAAATAAAAACTATGAATAAGTTACCTGTGAAACTCTTTTGTCATGTGTGGATTCATCACACAGAGTTAATAATTTCTTTTAATTCTGCATGTTGGAAACACTGTATTAGTATAATCAGCATAGGGACATTTGGAATCTCATTGAGGCCTATGTTGAAAAACCAAATAACTCCAAATAAAAACTAGAAAGAAGCTGTCTGTGAAACTCCTTTGTGACGAGTGGATTCATCTCACAGAGGTAAACCCTTATTTTGATTCAACAGGTGGGTAACACTCTTTTTGTAGTAAATGTGAAGGGACATTCGGGACCCCATTATTCCTGGAGAGAAGTTATCTGTGAAATGGCTTTTTGATGTGAGGATTCATTCCACAAGGTTAAACCTTACTTTTGATTAGCAGGTTGGAGACGCTGTTTTAGTAGAATATATGAATGGACATTTGGGAGCCCACTGAGGCACATGGTGTAAAACTAACTATCCTTAAATAAAAACTGGAAAGAAGCTATCTATAAAACTGCATTGTGATGTGTAGATTCATCTCACGGTGTTAAATCTTTATTTGGATTTAGCTGGTTGGAAACCCTTTTTTTTGAAAGATCTGTGAAGGGATATGTGGGAACCCATTGAGGCCTGTGGTGAAAAACCAAATATTTCCAGATAAAAACTAGAAAGAAGCTGTTTGTGAAGTTGGTTTGTCATGTGGGGATTTGTCTCAGAGTTTACCATTTTTGTGATTTGGCAGGTTGGAAATACTTTATTTGTAGAATCAGCAAAGGGACATTTGGAGACCATTGAGGCCTAGGGTGTAAAACAGAATATCCACAGATAAAAAGTAAAAAGCCCCTGTCTTTAAAATGGTTTGTGATGTGTGGATTCATCTCAGGCAGTTAACTTTATTTTTGATTAACAGGTTGGAAACACTCTTTTTATGGAATGTGCCAAGGGACATTTGTGAGCCTTTTGAGTCCTATGGTGAAAAAAGGAATATCCCAAGAAGAAAACTAAAAAGAAGCTATCTGTGAAAATGATTTGTGACATGTGGATTCATCTCACACAGTTAAATTGTTCTTTTGATTCAGCTGGTTGGAAACTTTTTTTTGTAGAATCTGCAAAGGGATATTTGGGAGCCTATTGAGGTCAGTACTAAAAAAAACAAATATCCCAACATAAAAACTAGAAAAAAAGCAATCAGTGATATTTATTTTTGATTTGTGAATTTATCTCACACAGTTAAACCTTTGTTTATATTCAGCAGGTTGGAATCACAGGGACATTTGGGAGCCCATTGAGGCCTATGGTGAAAAACTGAATATTCTCAGATAAAAACAAGAAAGAAGCCATTTGTGAAACTGCTTTATGATGTGTGGATTCATCTCACAGAATTACACTTTGATTTTGATTGAGCAGGCTGCAAACACTCTTTTTGTAGAATTTGCAAAGGGACATTCTGGAGAGTTTTTAGGCCTCTGGTGAAAAACTGAATATCCCAAAATCAAAATTAGAAAGAAGCCATCTGTGAAACTGGTTTGTTATGTCTGCATTCATCCCACAAATTTTCCCCTTCCTTTTGACTCAGTACTTTGGAAACACTCTATTTGTAGAATCTGTGAAGAAACATTTGAAAGCCCATTGAGGCCTGTGATGAAAAACAAAATATCTCCAGATAAACACCAGAAAGAATCTATCTGTGAAACTACTTTGTGGTATGTGGATTCATCTCACAGAGTTAAACCTGTCTTAAGTTTCAGCTGGTTGAAGAAACTCTTTTTTTTAAAATCTGCAAAGGGATATTAAAAGCTCATTGAGGTTTTGATTGAAAAACTGAATATCCCCAGGAAAACTAGAAAGATGATATCTTGGAAACTGCTTCAGATTTGTGGACTCATCCAACACAATTAAACATTTCTTTTGATTCAGAAGGTTGTAAACACATATTTTGTAGTATCTGTGAAGGGATATTTGGGAGCCCATTGAAGCACATGGTGAAATACTGAACATCCTCAGATAAAAACTAGAAAGAAACTATCTGTGAAACTGCTTTGTGATGTGTAAATTGATGTCACAGATGTAAACTTTTCCATTGATTCAGCAAGTTTTAAACACTCTTTTTTGGAATCTACAAATAGATATTTGAAAGCTCATTAAGGCCTACAGGAAAAAACTGAACATCCCCAGATTAAAACTAGCAAGAAGCTATCTGTGAAACTGCTTTTTGATGTTTGAGTTCATCTCACAGACTTAAACCTTTCCTTTGATTCAGCAGGTTGGAAAAACCTTCTTGTAGAATTTGCAAAGTGACATTTGGGAATCCTTTGATGCCTGTGGTTAAAAAACAAAATATCTTCAGTTTAAAACCAGAAACAAGCTGTGTGTGAAACTGCTTTGTGATGTGTATACTCATCTCACAGAGTCAAGTATTTCTTTTGATTCAGCAGGTTGGAAACATTCTTTTTTAAAAACCTGTGAGGAAACTTTTGAGAACCCTTTGTTACCCATGGTGAAAAACTGAATATCTTCAGTTAAAATCTAGGAAGAAGCTACCTGTGAAACTGCCTTTTGATGTATGGATTCACCTTAAAAATTTACACTTTCCTTTTGTTGAGCACTTTGGAAAACTCTTTTTGAAGAATCTAGGAAGAGACATTTTGGAGCACATTATTTCCTATGGTTAAAATGCAAACATCCCTAGATAAAAACTAGAAAGAAGCTATGTGTGAAACTGCTTTGTGATGTGTGGATCCATCTAACATTGTTAAACATTTCTTTTGATTCAGCAGATTGCAAACACTCTTTTTGGAGAATCTGCAAAAAGAAATTTGCAAACCCATTGATGCCTGTGGTGAAAAACCAAATATACCCAGAAAAAAATTAGAAATAAGCTATTTCTGAAATTGCTGTCTGATGTGTGGATTCATCTCACAGAGGCAAACCTTTTTTTCTTTATTCAGCAGGTTGGAAACACTCTTTTTGTAGAATATGTGAAAAAACTTTTGGGATCCCATCAATGCCTTTGGTTAAAAACAGAATATCTCCAGATAAAAACTAGAAAGAAGCTATCTGTGAAACTTCTATGTGATGTGTGGAGTCATGTCACAGAGTTCAAACTTTCTTTTCATTCAGCAGGTTAGAAACACTTTTTTTGTAGAATCTGGGTAAGGACATTTGGCAGTGCATTGAGGCCTATGGTGAAAAACTGAATATCCACACAGAAAAAGTAGAAAGAAGCTATCTGGGAAAGTACTTTGTGATGTGTGCATTGATCTGTCAGAGATAAACCTTTCTTTTCATTTAGCAGGTTGGTAGGTAACACTTTTTTTTGTAGAATCTGTGAAGGGACATTTGGGAGTCCATTGAGGGTAGGGTGAAAAACGGAATGTCCCCAAATAAAAACTTGAAAGAAGCTATCTGTGAAACAGCTTTGTGGTGTTTGGATTTATCTCAAAGAGCTATACCTTTCTTTTGATTCAGCCAGTTGAAAACAATCTTTTTCTAGAATCTGTGAAAGGACATTTTGGAGCCCATTGAGGCCTATGGTTAAAAACCAAATATATGCAGATAGAAACTACAAAGAAGCTAACTGTGAAACTGCCTTCTGATGTGTGGATTCATCTTAAGGAGGTAATATTTTTTTGATTCAGCAGGTGGGAAACACTGTTTTTTAGAATCTGTGACAAACATTTGGGATGAAATTTAGGCCTATCATTAAAAACAGAATATCCCCAGATGAAAACTACAAAGAAACTATCTGTGAAACTGCTTTCTGATGTATAGATTCATCTCACAGAGTTAAACTTTTTTGTTGATTCAGCAGTTTGAAAACGCTTTTTTTTGTGGAATATATGAAGGGACATTTGAACATCCACTGAGGCCTATGGTGGAAAACCAAATATCCCCAGATAAAAACTGGAAAGAATCTATCTGTGAAACTGCTTTGTAATGTTTGGATTTATCTCACAAAGTTAAATCTATCTTTAGATTCAGTATGTTGGAAGCAATCTTTTTTTAGAATCTGTGAAGGGACATTTGGAAGCTCATTGTGGCCTACCATTAAAAACCAAATATTCTCAGATAAATAGTAGAAAGAAGCTGTCTTTGAAACTGTTTTTTGATGTGTTTGTTCATCTAAAAGAGTTAAAGCTTTCTTTTGATTTAGCCGATTGGAAACACTCTTTTTGTAGAATCTGCAAAGGGACATTTTGGAGCCCATTGGTGCCTATGGTGAAAAACGGAATATCCACAGATAAAAACTAGAAAGAAGCTATCTGTCAAACGGCTCTGTGATGTGTGGATTCATGTCCCAGAGTGAAAACTTTCTTTTGATTCAGCAGGCAGGAATCTCTTTTTTTAAATAGAATCTGCAAAGGGACATTTTGGAGCTTAGTGAGGTTTATAATGAAAAACAAAATATGTTCTGCCCCTAGAACAACTAGAAAGAAGCTATCTATGAAATTGCTTTGTGTTGTGTGGATATATCTTACAAAGATAAACATTATTTTTTTGATTCAGCAGGTTGTGAACACTTTTTTTGTAGAATCTGTGAAGGGATATTTAGGGACATGTTGAGACCTGTGGTGAAAAGCCAAATATCCCCAGATAAAAACTAGAAAGAAGCTCTCTGTGAAACTGCTTTGTGATGTGTGAATTCACATCACAGAGTTAAAACTTCATTTTGATTCAGAAGGAGGGAAACACTTTTTTTTTTTGCAGAATCTAAGGGACATTTGGGAGCTTGTTGTGGCCTCTGGTGAAAAACTGAATATTCCCACATAAAAACTAGACAGAAGCTATCTGTGAAACTGCTTTCTGAAGTGTGGTTTCACCTCAAGGAGTTAAACATTTCTATTGATTCAGCAGGTTGGAAACACTCTTCAGGCAAAATACATGAAGGGACATTTGGAAGCCTATTGTGGCCTGTGGTGAAAAACCAAAAATCTCCAGATAAAAACGAGAAATGAAATGTATATGAAACTGATTTTTGATGCGTGAATTCATCTCACAGAGTCAAAATTTTCTTTTGATTCAGCACGTTTGGAAACACCATTTTGGTAAAATCTGCAAAGGGAAATTTGGGAGCCCATTAAGGTCTAGGATGAAAAAAAGAATTTCCATATATAAAAAATAGAAATAAGCTATCTGTGAAAGTGCTTTGTGGTGTGTGGCTTCATCTCACAGAGATAAAACTTTATTTTGATTCAGCAGGTTGGAAAAATTTTTGTAGTGAAACTTCTTTGTGATGAGTGGATTCACCTCATCGAGTTAAACCTTACTTTTGATTCAGCAGGTTGGAAACACTATTTTTGTAGGAACTGCAAAGGGACACTAGGGTGCCATTTAGTCCAATGTTGAAAAATTGAATATCCCCAGATATAAACTAGAAAGAAGCTATCTGTGAAACTGCTTTGTTATGTGTGGATTCATCTCACAGAGTTAAACCTTTATTTTGATTCAGGAGAGCAGAAACATTCATGTATAACCCACAATGGGACATTTGGGAACCTATTGAATCCTGTGGTGAAAAACTGACTATCTCCAGATAAAAACTAGAAGAACTATCCGTGAAACTGCTTTATTATGTGTGGATTCATTTCACAGGGTTAAGCCATTCTTTTATTCAGCAGTGCAGAACCGTTACTCTGTGGAATCTGCAAAGGAACATTTTGGAGCCCATTAAAACCTATGGTGAAAAACTGAATATCCCCAGATAAAAAATAGGAAGAAGCTATCTGTGAAACTGTTTGTGATATGTGGATTCATCTTATAGAGTTAAATTTCTTTTTATTGAAAAGTTTGGAAACATTCTTTTTGTAGAATCTGTGAAGGGATATTTTGGAGATTATTGAGGCCTATGGTGAAGAACAGCATATCACAATATAAAAACTAGAAAGAAACTGTCTGTGAAACTGCTTTCTGATGTGTGGATTCAACTCACAGCATTAAACTTTTCTTTTGATTGACCAGGTAAAAAACACTTTTTTTTTGTGGAATCTGTGAAGTGACATTTTGGAGCCCACTGTGGCCTACAGTGAAAAACCAAATATCCTTAGATAAAAACTAGAAAGAAGCTGTGTTTGTAATGGCTCTGTGATGTGTGGATTCATGTCCTAGAGTGAAAACTTTCTTTTGATTCAACAGGCTGGACACTCTTTTTTAGTATTATCTTTGAAGGAACATTTTGATATCTAACGAGGCCTATGGTGAAAAACCAAATATTCCCTGTCATAAACTAGAAAGAAGCTATCTATGAAACTGCTTTGTGATGTGTGGAATGCATATTCCACAGACAAACCTTTCTTTTGATTCAGCAGGTTGTTAACACTCTTTCAGTAGAATCTGCAATGGGATACTTGGGAGGCCTTAGATGCTTATGGTTAAAAAAAAAAACTAGAAACTGTCTATGGAACGGCTTTGTGATGTGTGGATTTATCTCACAGAGTTAAACGTTTCTATTTATTAAGGGGTTTGGAAAAACTTTTTTTGTAGAATCTATGAAGAGACATTTGGGAGCCCTTTAATTATTGTGGTTAAAAAGAGAATGTCCTCAGTTAAACACTAGAAACAAACTATCTGTGAAACTGCTTTGTGATGTGTATATTCATCTCACAGAGTTAAACATTGCTTTTGGTTAAGCAGGTTGGAAAATTTTTTTTTAAAACTTGTGAGAGAAACTTTTGAGACTCATTTATGCCCACGGTGAAAAACAGAATATCTTCAGATAGAAAATACAAAGAAGCTATCTGTGAACCTGCCTTGTGGTGTATGAATTCGTCTTACAGAGTTAACCCTTCCTTTTTGTTGAGCAGGTTGGAAACCCTCCTTTTGTAGAATCTGTGAAGTGATATTTTGGAGCCCATTGTTTCCTTTGGTTAAAAAGCGAAAATCCCCAGATAAAAACTAGAAAGAAGCTACGTGTTAAACTGCTTTGTGATCTGTGGATTCATCTCCACATGAATTACACTTTTCTTTTAATGCGGCAGGTTCCAAACACTCTTTTTGTAGAATCTGTGAAAGGAAATTTGGGGGCACATTGACACCTATGGTTTAAAACCAATTATACCCAGATGAAAAGTAGAAAAAAGCTATCACTGAAATTGTTTTGTGATGTGTAGATTAATTTCACAGAGGCAAACTTTTGTTGTTTCAGCAGGTTGTAAACACTCTTTTTGTAGAATCTGCAAATAAACATTTGGAATCCCATCTAGGCCTATGGTGAAAAAGAGAATATCTCCTGATAAAAACTAGAAAGAAGCTATCTGAAAAACTGCTTTGTGATGTGTGGATTTATTTCACAGAGTTAAAACTTTTTTGGTTGAGCAGGTTGGAAACACTATTTTTGTAGAAATTGTGAAGGCACATTTGGGAACCCATTGAAGCCTATTGTGAAAATCCAAATACTCCCAGATAAAAACTAGAAAGATGCTCTCTGTGAAACTGCTTTGTGATGTCTTCATTCATCTCATACAGTTAAGTATTACTTTTGATTCAGCAGGTTGGAAACACTCTTTTGAAGAATCTGCAATCAGACATTTTGGAGGGCTACAGTGAAAAACCTAATATCCACAGATTAAAACTGGAAAAACTCTATCTGTGAAACTACTTGGTGGTTTGTGGATTCATCTACAGAGTGAAACCTTTCTATTGATTTAGCAGGCTGGCAACACTCTTTTTGTAGACTCTGCCATGGGTCATTTGGAAGCCCTTTGAATCCAACAATGAAAATGCGAATATCTCCAGACAAAAACTAAAAAGAAGATCTCTGTGAAACTGCTCTGTGATGTGTAGATTCATCTCACAGATTTAAACCTTTCTTTTGATTTAGCGGATTGGAAACACTCTTTTTGTAGAATCTATAAAAAGACATTTGGGAGGCCTTCGAGGTCTGTAATGAAAATAAATCCTCATATAAAAACTAGAAAGAAGGTATTGTGAAACTGCTTTGTAATGTCTGCAATCAACACACAGAGATAAAACTTTCTTTTGATTCAGCAGATTGGAAGAACTCTTTTTGCAGAATCTGTGAAGGGACATTTGAAACTCCATTGAGAGCTATGGTGAATAACAAATTAGCCCCAAATAAAAACAAGAAAGAAACTATCTGTGAAACTCCTTTCTGTTGCATAGGTTCATCTCACAGAGTTAAACCTTTGTTTTGTTTTAGCAGGCTGAAAATGCTCTTTTTGTAACCTCTGTGAAGGGACATCAGGAAGCCCACTGGGAGGCCTATGGTGAAAACCCACCTATTCCCGGATAAAACTAGAAAGAAGCTACCTGGGAAACTGTTTTGTGATGTATGGATTCATCTCACAGAGTTAGAACTTTTTTTGATTCAGCAGGTTGGAAACCCTCTTTTTGTAGAATCAGTAAAGGAACATTCATGTTCCCTATCATGAAAAACTGATATCTCAAGATAAAAAACAGAAAGAAGCTATCTGTGAATCTTCCTTCTCATGCACAGAATACTCGCACAGAGTTAAAACTTTATTTTGATTTAGCACGTTGGAAACACTCTTTTTGTAGAATCTGCGAAGGTACATTTGAAAGCCCATTGAGGCCTATGGTGAAAAACTGAATATCCCCAGAGAAAAACTGGAAAGAAGCTACAGGTGCAACTGCTTTGTGATGTGTCAATTCATCTCACAAACTAAAAGTTTTCTTTGGGTTGAGCAGGTTGGAAACACTCTTTTTGTAGAATCTGCAAAGGGACATTTGGGAGCCCATTTAGGACTATGGTGAAAATCTGAACATCTTCAGATAAAAACTGGAAAGAAGCTATCTGTGAAATTGCTTTGTGATGTTTGGATTCATCTCAAACAGATACATACTTCCTTAGATTCAGCAGGTTGGAAACTTTTTTTGTAGAATCTGAGAATGGACACTTGGGAGCCCCTTGTGACCTATAGTGAATTAAGATTTTCCCCAGATAGAAACTAGAAGGAAGCTATCTGTGAAACTGCTTTGTGATGCCTCTATTCATCTCACAGTGTTAAACCATTTTTTGATTCAGCTGGTTGGAAACAATCCTTTTATGGAATCTGTGAAGGGACATCTTGGATCTCATAAAAACTTTGGTGAAAAATACTATTTTTTGCAGAATCTGCAAATGGATATTTGGGTGCCCTTGTGGCCTATAGTGAATTAAGAATATCCCCAGATAGAAACTAGAAAGAAGCTGTCTGTGAAACTGCTTTATGACGTGTCTGTTCATCTTACAGAGTTAAACCATTTTTTCACTTAGCAGGTTGGAAACACTCTTTTTGTAGAATCTGTGAAGGGACATTTGGGAGCCCATAAAAATTTTGGTGAAAAACTGAATGTCTCCAGATGAAAACTAAAAAGAAGCTATCTGTGAAACTGCTTTGTGATGTGTGGATTCACCTCATGGAGCTAAACCTTTCTTTTTATTCAACAGGTTTTTACCTCTATTTTTGTAGAAGCTGTGAAAGGACATTTTGGAGCCCATTGAGGCCTATAGTGAAAAACAAAAATCCCCAGATAAAAACTAGAAACAATCTACCTGGGAAACAGCTTGGTGATACGTGGATTCATCTCACATAGTTAAACCTTTCCTTTGATTCAGCAGGTTGGAGACACTCTTTTTGTAGAATGTTTGAAGAAATATTTATGAGTCCACTGAGGCCTATGGTGAAAAATTGAATATCCCCAGACAAAAACTAGAAGAAAGCTATATGTGAAACTGCTTTTTAATGTGTGAATTCATCTGAGAGAGGTAAAACTTTATCATAATTCAGCAAGATGGAAACACTCTCTTTGATGAATCTGAAAATGGGCATTTTGGGGCCCATTGAGGCCTATGGTGAAAAACCGAATATCACCAGATAAACTCTAAAAGAAGCTCTCTGTGAAACTGCTTTGTGAAGTGTAAATTCATCTGACATAGTTAAACGTTTCTTTTGATTCTGTGCATTGGAAAAACTCTTTTTGTAGAATCTGTGAAGGGACATTTGGGAACCCTATTAGGCCTAAGGTTAAAAACTGAATATCCCTACATAAAAACTAGAAAGAAGCTATATATGAAACTGCTTCATGATGTGTGGATTCACCTCACAATGAAAAAGCTCACATTTGATTCAGCAGGTTGGAAACACTCTTTTTGTAGAATCTGTGCAGGTACGTTTGTAAGCCCATTGAGACCTACTGTAAAAAAACTGAATTTACCCACATAAAGACTGGAAAGAAGCTATCTGTGAAACTGATTTGTGATGTGCAGATTCATTAGATAGACTTAAGCCTTTTGATTCAGCAGATTGGAAACACCCTCTTAGTATAACCTGCAAATGGACATTTAAGAGCCCATTGTGGCCTATTATCCCCATATAAAAACGAGAAAGAAGCTATCTATGAAACTGTTTGGATATGCATGGTTTCATCTCACAGAGTTAAACACATCTTTTGATTCAGCAGGTGGGAAACACTCTTCTTGCAGAATCTTGGAATGGACATTCGGGAGACCATTGAGGCTTAGGGTGAAAAACTAAATACTGAGAGATAAAAATTAGAGTGAAGCTATGTGTTAAACTGCTTTTGGATATCAGGATTCATCTCAGAGATTCAACATTTCCTTTGATTCAGCAGGTTGGAAACACTTTTTATTTGAATCTGTGAAGGGACATTCAGATCCCAGTGAATTTTATAGTGAAAAACTAAACTTTCCCTGATTAAATCTACAAAGAAGCCATCTGTGAAACCCTTTTGTGATGTGTGGATTCATTTCACAGAGGTAAAGCTTTCTTTTGATTCATAAAATTGGAAACACTCTTTTTGTAGAATCTGCATGGGACATTTGGGAGCCCATTGAGGCATATGGTGAAAAACTGAATATTCACAAATAAATACTAGGAATAAGCTTTCTGTGAAAATGCTTCATGATGTGTGGATTCAACTCACAAATTTAACCCTTTCTTTTGATTCAGCATGTTGGTAAACACTCTTTTTGTGGAATCTGAGAAGGGACATTTGGATGCTTATTGAGGTTTATGGTGAAAATCCTGTTGGGGTGTGATCAGGCCACACCCCCAAATGTGGGTACCTTAAGTCCGGTGGTGACAAAGAATGAGAAAAGACTGGTTAAGAGTAAAAGCAGCTCCAGGGGGTCAGTTGCTAAAGTGAGGGCTGCAAAAGGCCCAGAACTCTGATTTCCTGACAATTTATTGAGTACAATCTTTTGATCTAAGAGGCAGTTGGTATAGGGTAGAATGGTGAAGGAGTAGGGGTATGCCTCATTCTAAAGATCTATAGCAGTGGCAGTTATGTGAATTTCCTTTAAGCTTAAAGCATATGTCTAACTATTAAGATAGACTTTAACTTATGGAGCTGCAGCTGGTGGGAATTGGTTTTACAAAGAGCCAGGATGTCTGGTCACATTCCAATGCTTCAAGGGAGTGTTTCAGGCCAGAGCATTCTGTGTAAAGCCACAGAGCAGGTCATGCTCACTGGTCTGGGGACACAAGGGTGGTCAGGAGATATTTCTCCTCAGGGGCCCCCTGTGGTGTTCCTTATGTGTCCTACACAGGGGTGACTGACTAAACTTGCACCCCATAAACTCTTCCACTACAGAGTATCCCCAGAAAAAAACTAGAAATAAGTTATCTGAGAAACTGCTTTGTGACGTGTGGATTCATCTTACAGGGTTAAACCTTTCTTTTTATTCCCCAGTTTGGGAACACTGTTTTTGTAGAACCTGCGAAGAGACCCTTGGGGGCTCATTGATACACATGTTCAAAAAGAAAATATCCCCAGATAGAAACTAGAAAGAAGCTATCTTTGAAGCTGCTTTGTGATGTGTGGATTTGTCTCAGAATTACATCATTCCTTTGATTGAGCAGTTTGGAAACTCTGTTTTTGTACAATCTGCAAAGGGACATTTGGGAGCTCATTGAGGCCTATGGTGAAAAAGTGAGTATCCCCAGATACAAACTGAAAGAAGTTATTTGTGTAATGGCTTTATAATGTGTGGGTTCTTCTCATAGAGGTAAACCTTTCTTTTGATTCAGAAGGGTAGAAACAGTCTGATTGTAGAATGTGTGAAGGGATATTTGGGGGTGAATTGAGGCCTACAGTGACAAAGAAAATTTCCCCAGATAAAAACCAAAAAGAAGCTGTCTTTGAAACTGCTTTGTGATGTGTGGATTCATCTCACAGAGTTAAAACTTTCTTTTCATTCAGCAGTTTGGAAACACTGTTTTTGTAGAATCTGTGAAGGGACAATTAGGAGTGCATTGAAATGTATGGTGCCAGTCCACATTTCCCCAGATGAAAATGAGAATGAAGCTATCAGTTAGACTGTCTTGTGATGTATGGATTCATGTCACAGAGTTTGGTAACATTATTTCTGTAGAACCTGTGAAGGAACATTTGGAACCTCACTAAGGCCCGTGATGACAAACTGAATATTTTCAGATAAAACTAGAAGCTATCTGTGAAACAATTTTGTGATGTGTGGATTCCTCTTGCAGAATTAAGTATTTCTTTTGATTGAGCAGTTTGGAACACTGTTTGTGTAGAATCTGTGAAGAGACATTTGGCAGGTCATTGAGGTCCATGGTGAAAAAGGGACTATCCCAAGGCAAAAACTAGAAAGACATTATCTGTCAAACCACTTTGTTATATGTGGATTCATCTCAGAGAGTTAAACCTTTCTTTTCATTCAGCAGTTTGAAGACACTGTTTTTGTAGAAACTGCAAAGGGGCATTTGGGGGTACATTGATTTCTATGGTGACAAACAGAATATCCCCAGATTGAAAGTAGAAAGAAGCTATCTGTGAAACTGCTTTGTGATGTGTGGATTCATCTCACAGAGTTATACCTTACTTTAGATATAAGAGTTTGGAAACACTATTTTTGTCAATCTGTGAAGGGACTTTTTGGAACTCATTGAGTCCTACAATGAAAAAGTGAATATCCCCAGATAAAAACTAGAAAGAAGCTATCTGAGAAGCTGCTTTCTGATTTGTGGATTCATCTCACAGAGTTAAACCTTTCTCTTCATTTAGCAGTTTGGAAACACTGTTTTTGTAGAATCTGTGAAGAGATATTTGGTAGGTCACTGAGGCCTATGGTGAAAAAGCAAATATCCGAAGATAAAAACTAGAAAGAAGTTATCTGTGAATCTGTGTTGTGATTTCTGGATTCATCACACAGAGGTAACACTTTCTTTTGATTCAGTAATTTGGAAACACTGTTTTTGTACAATCTGCGATGGGACATTTGGGAGCTCACAGAGGCCTACAGTGAAAATATGAATAACCCAAGATAAAAACTAAAAAGATGTTATCTGTGAAACTGCTTTGTGATATGTGGAATCATCTCATGTTAAACCTTTCTTTTGATTCAGGAGTTTGGAAGCACTGTTTTTGGTGAAACTGTGAAGGGACATTTGGGAATGCTTTGAGGCCTATGATGAAAAATCAAATATCCTCAGATGAAAAGTGGAAAGATGTTATCTGTGTAACTGCTTTGTAATTTTTGGATTCATCTCACAGAGTTAAAACGTGTTTTGATTCAGTCTGTTGGAAACAGTCCTTTTGTAGAATCTATGAAATGACATTTGGGAGTGCATTTATGTCTATAGTGACAAACAGAATATCCCCAGATTGAAACTAGAAAGAAGCTATCTGTGAAACTTTTTTGTGATATGTGGATTCACCTCACAGAGTTAAACATGCCTTTTGATTCTGGAGTTTGGAAACACTATTTTTGTAGAATCTGCAAAGGGACTTTTGGGAGCTCATTGAGTCCTACAATGAAAAACCAAATATCCACACATAAAAACTAGAAGGAAGCTATCGGTGAAATTACTTTGTGATTTGTGGATTCACCCCACAAAAATAAACCTTTCCTTTGATTCAGCAGTTTGGAAAGAGTGTTTTTGCAGAATATGCAAAGGGACATTTGGGATCACATTGGGGCCTATGGGGAAAAAGCGAGTATCCCCAGATTAAAACTACAAAGATATTATAAGTGAAACTGGTTTGTGATGTGTGGATTCATCTCACAGAGGTAAACCTTTCTTTTCACTCAGCAGTTTGGAAACACTGTTTTTGTAGAATCTGCAAAGTGGCATTTAAGAGTGCATTGAGTCCTATGGTTAAAAAGTGAATATCTCCAGATAAAAGCTAGAAGAAATCTACCTGTGAATCTGCTTTGTGATGTGCGGATTTTTCTCACAGAGTTAAACCTTTCTTTTGATTCAACAGTTTGAAAACTCTATTTTTGTAGAATCTGGCAAGGCACATTTGGGAGCTCATTGAGGCCTATGGTAACAAACAGGATATCCGCAGATAAAAACCAAAAAGAAACTAACTGTGAAACCGCTTTATGATGCGTGGATTAATCTCACAGAGTTAAACCTTCCTTTTGATTCAGCAGTATGGAAACACTGTTTTTCTAGAATCTGCGATGGGAAAATTGGAATGTCATTGTGGCCTATGGTGAAAAAGCAAATATTCCCAGATAAAAACTAGAAAGAAGTTATCTGTGAAACTGCTTTGTGATATGTTGATTCTTCTCACAGAGTTTAACCTTTTTTTTTTGATTCCACAGGTTGTAAATAGTCCTTTTGTAGAACTTGCAAAGGGAGATTTGGAGCACATTGAGGCCTATGGTGACAAACAGAATATCCCCTGATAAAAACTAGAAAGAAACTATGTGTGAAATTGCTTTCTGATGTGAGGATTCTTCTCACAGAGGTAAACTTTTCTTTTGATACACAAGGTTGGAAACACCCTTTTTTGACAACCTGCGATGAGACATTTGGAAGCCCACTGAAGCCTATGTTTGAAAACTGAATATCCACAGGTAAAAATTAGAAAGAAGCTGTCTGTGAAACTTCTTCATGATGTGTGAATTCATCTCACAGAGTTAAACCTTTCTCATGATTCAGCAGTTTGGGAACACTCTTTTTTTTCAATTTTAATTTTAATTTAATTTAATTTTATTTTTATTTATTGATCATTCTTGGGTGTTTCTCAGAGAGGGGGATGCAGCAGGGTCATAGGATAATAGTGGAGAGAAGGTCAGCAGATAAACACGTGAACAAAGGTCTCTGGTTTTCCTAGGCAGAGGTCCCTGCGGCCTTCCACAGTGTTTGTGTCCCTGGGTACTTGAGATTAGGGAGTGGTGATGACTCTTAAGGGAACACTCTTTTGAAAGGATCTGTGATGGGATACTTTCAAGCCCACTGAGGCCTATAGAAATAAATGGAATATCCATATACAAAAACTAGAAAGAAGCTATATATGAAACTCCTTTGTGATGTGTGGATTCATCTCACAGAGTAGAACTTGCTTTTGATTCAGCAGCTTGGAGACACTGTTTTTGGAGAATCTGTGAAGGGACATTTGAGAGATCATTGAGGACTATGGGGAAAAACCAAATATCCCAAGACAAACACCATAAAGAAGCTACCTGTGAAACTGCTTTGTGATGTTTGGATTCATCTTACAGAGTTAAACTTTTGTTTTGATTCACCACGTTAAAAACATTCTTTTTGTACAATCTGTGAAAGGATATTTGGGAGCCCATTGAGGCCTATGGGGAAAAACAGAATATCTTCAGAGAAAAACAAGAAAGAAGGTACCTGTGAAACTGCTTTGTGATGGGTGGATTCATCTCAAACAGTTAAAGCTTTCTTTTGATTCAATAGTTTGGAAACACTCTTTTCAAAGATTCTGTGAAGGGACATTTGAGAAGCCATTGAGGAGTATGGGAAAAAAACGAACGTCCCCAGATAAAAAATACAAAGTAGCTATCTGTGAAATTGCTTTGTGATGTGTGGACTTCTTGCAGGAAGTCAGGGACCCCAAATGGAGGGACCAGCTGAAGCCATAGCAGAAGAATGTGGATTGCGAAGATTTCATGGACATTTATTAATTCCCCAAGGTAACACTTTTATAATTTCTTATGCCTGTCTTTACTGCAATCTCTAAACATAAATTGTGAAGATTTCCTGGACACGTATCACTTCCCCAATCAATACCGTTGTGATTTCCTATGCCTGTCTTTACGTTAATCTCTTAATCCTGTCAGCTGAGGAGGATGTATGTTGCCTCAGGACCCTGTGATAATTGCATTAACTGCATAAATTGTAGAGCATGTGTGTTTGAAAAAAGAACAGGAGAACAGGACACCTTGAAAAAAGAACAGGAGAACAGCAATTGTTCAGGGAATAAGAGAGATAACCTTAAACTCTGACCACCAGTGAGCCAGGTAGAACAGAGCCATATTTCTCTTCTTTCAAAAACAAATGGGAGAAATATCGCTGAATTCTTTTTCTCAGCAAGGAACATCCCTGGGAAAGAGAATACGCTCCTGGTGGTGGATCTATAGACGGCCCCCTTGGGTGTGGCCATCTTCTGTGGTCTGTAGACTGTAGGGGTGAAATAGAACCCAGTCCCTCATAGTGCTCCCAGGCTTACTAGGAAGAGGAGATTCCCACCTAATAAATTTTGGCCAGACAGGTTGCTCTCAAAACCCTGTCTCCTGATAAGATGTTATCAATGACAATGGTGCTAACTTCATTAGCAATTTTAATTTCACCCCAGTCCTGTGGTCCTGTGAGCTTGCCCTAACTTCATTTGCCTTGTGATATTCTATTACCTTGTGAAGTTCGTGATGTCTGTGACCTACACCCTATTTGTACACTCCCTCCCCTTTTGAAAGTCCCTAATAAAAACTTGCTGGTTTTGCCACTTGTGGGGCATCACGGAATCTACTGACATGTGATGTCTCCCTCGGATGCCCAGCTTTTGTACTCTGTCCCTTTATTTCTCAAACCAGCTGATGCTTAGGGAAAATAGAAAGGAACCTACATGACTATTGGGGCAGGTTCCCTAGTATGGACTCATCTCACAAGAGTTAAAATTTCTTTTGATTCAGCAGGTTGAAAATATTATTTTTGGAGAATCAGGATCAGACATTTGGGAGCTCTTTGCAGCCTATGGGGAAAAATTGAATAACCAAGATAAAAACTAAAAAGAAGCTACCTATGAACCTCCTTTGTAAAGTGTAGACTAACACCTCAGAGTTAATCCTTTCTTGGGATTCAGCAGGTTGAAAACTTTCTTTTTGGAGATCTGCAAAGGGAAATTGGGAGCCCATTGAGGTCTATGGGGGTAAACAAAGTATTCCCAGATAAAACCTAGAAAAAAAGCTATCTGTGAAACTGCATTGTGGTGTGTGGATTCAGCTCAGAGTTAAAGCTTTCTTAGATTCAGCAGTTTGGAAACTCTCTTTTTAAAAAATCTGCAATGGGACATTTTCAGGGCCCATTGAAGCCTTTGGGGAAAAACCGAATATCCCCAGTTATAAACTAGATAGAAGCTATCTGTGAAACTTATTTGTGATGTCTGGATTCATCTCACAGAACAAAACATTTCTTTTGATTCAGCAGGTTGGAGACACTCTTTTTGAAGAATCTGTGAAGGGATATTTGGGAGCCCAGTGAGGCCTATGGGGAAAAGTGGAATATTCCCAGATGTAAACTCATAGAAGCTATCTGTGAAACTACTTTGTGGTGGGCGGATTCATCTCATAGAATTAAACATTTCTTTTGACTCAGCAAGTTGGAAACACTCTTTTTAGAGAATCTGCAAAGGTATATATGGGAGTCCATTGAGGCCTATGGGGAAAGACAGAATACAGAGTTAAACCTTTGTTTTTATTCAGCAGGGTAGAAACACTCTTTTTCCAGAATCAGTGAAGGGATATTTGTGAGCCCATTGAGGCCTATAGGGAAAAAGCAAATATCCCCAGATAAAAACTAGAAAGTAGCTATCGGTGAGACTACTTTATTATGTGTGGATTCACCTCACAGAGTTAAAGCATTCTTTTGATTCAGCAGCTTGGAAACTCTCTTTTTGTACAATATGTGAGGAAACATTTGGGAGCCCATTCTGTCCCATGGTGAATAACAGATTAACCACAGATAAAAACAAGAAAGAAGCTACCTGTGAAAATGCTCTGTGATCTGTGCATTCCTCTCACAGTGTTAAACCTTTGTTTTGATTCAGCACTTTGGAAACTTTCTTTTTGGAGTAGCTGTAAAGGGAAATTTGAGAGCACATTGAGGACTATGGGGGTAAAGAAAATATCCCCAGATAAAAACTAGAAAAAGCTATCTGTGAAACTGCTTTGGGACGTGTGGATTCATCTCACAGTGTTAAACCTTCCTTTCTATTCAGCATGGTAGAAAGACCCTTTTTGTAGAATCTGCAAAGGGACATTTGGGAGCCCTCTGATGCCTATAGGAATAAAACGAATATTCCCATGTAAAAATTTGGAAGAAGCTTTAAGTTTAACTGCTTTGTGATGAGTGGATTCATCTCACAGAGTTGAACCTTTCTTTTTATTCAGCAGGGTGGAAACACTCTTTTTGCAGAATCAGTGAAGGGACATTTGGGATCCCATTGAGGCCTATGGGGAAAAAGTGAATGTCCCTTTATACAAACTACAGAGAAGCTATCTGGGACACTGCGTTATGATATGTGGATTCATCTCACAGAGTTAGAGAATTCTTTTGATTCAGGAGGTTGGAAACACTTTTATTGTACAATCTGTGGAGGGACATTTGGGAAACCAGGCCTATTGTGATTAACAGATTATCCACAGATAAAAACAAGAAATAAGCTATCTGTGAAACTGCTTTGTGATGTGTCCATTCATCTCATAGAGTTAAACCTTTTTTTAGGTTCAACGGTTTGGAAACATTCTTGTTGCTGAATCTGTGAAGGGACATTTGGAAGCCCATTTAGGCCTATGGGTAAAACTGAATATCCCCAGATAAAAACTAGAAAGAAGCTATCTGTGAAACTGCTTTGTGATATGTTACTTTATTGCACAGGGTTAAACCTTTCTTTTGATTCAGAAGATTGGAACACCTTTTTTGTACAATCCGTGAAGGGAGATTTGGGAGCCCAAGAATCCTATGGAAAAAACAGAATATCCCTAACTAAAAAAAAGAAAGAAGCTGTTTGTGAAACTCCTTTGTGATGTACAGATTCATCTCAAATAACTAAACCTTTCTTTTGCTTCAGCGCGTTGGAAACACTCTTTTTGTAGAATATGCAAGGGGAAATTTCGGAGCCTATTGAAGTCTATGGAGAAAAACTGAATATACCCACATAAAAACAAGAAATAAACTGTCTGGGAAACTACTTTGTGATGTGTGGATTCATTTCAGAGAGTTGAACCTTTCTTTTGATTCAGTCAGCTGGAAGTACTCTTTTTGAAGAATCTGAAGGGATAATTCGGAGCCCATTAAGACCTATGGAAAAACCCCGAACATCCCCAGATAAAAACAAGAAGAGAAGTTTTTGTGACAGGGCTTTGTGATGACTGGATTCATCTCACAGAGTTAAACCTTCCTTTGGATTCAGCAGGTTGGAAACACTCTTTTTGTTGACTCTGCAAAGAAACATTTGGAACCACTTGAGGACTCTGGGGAAAAACAGAATGTCCCCGGGAAAAAAAAGAAAGAAGCTATTTCCAAACCTGAGTTGTGATGAGCGGATTCATCTTGTAGAGTTAAACTTTTCTTTTGATTCAGCAGGTTGGTAACACTCTTTTTGGAGAATCTGCAAAGGGACATTTATGAGACAATTGAAGCCTATGTGGAAGAACAGAATATCCCCAGATAAAAACTACAAAGAAGCTATCTGTGAAACTGCTTTGTGAGGTGTAAATTCATCTCACAGAGTTAAACCCTTCTTTCATTCAGCAGGTTGTAAACTCTTTTTTTGTAATATCTGTGAATGGACAATTTGAGTCCCCGAGGCCTACCAGGAAAAAACAAATATTCCCAGATACAAACTAGAAACGAGCCATATTTGAAACTGCTTTGTGGTGAGTGAATTCATCTCACAGAGTTATACATATTTTTAAATTCAGCAGGTTAGAAACACTCTTTTTGTAGAATCTGTGACGAAACATTTGGGAGCCCATTGAGGCCTATGGGGAAAAATCCGATGTCTTTAGTTGAAAAGTAGAAAGAGTATATCTGTGAAACTACTTTTTGATGTGTGCATTTATCTCAGAAAGTTAAAGTTTTCTTTTGATTCAGTAGGTTGGATACACTATATTTGTAGAATCTGCAAAGGGACATTTGGGAGCTCATTGCAGCCTATGGGGAAAAACTGAATATTTCCAGATAAAAACTAAAAAGATGTTATCTGTGAAACTGTTTTGTGATGTGTTTATTTATCTCACACAATTGAAACTTCATTTTGATTCAGCGGTTGGAAACTCTCTTTTTGTAGGACAGGCGAATGGATATTTGGGAGTCCATTGAGGCCTATGAGGAAAAACTGAATATCCTCAGTTAAAACTTTTGATTCAGCAGGTTAGAAGCTATCTGTGAAACTGCTTTTTGATGTGTGGATTCATCTCACAGAATAAATTTTTCTTTTGTTTCAGCAGGTTGGAAACACTCTTTTTGCAGAATCTGCTAAGGGACATTTGAGAGCCCATTGAGGACTTTGGGAAAAAAATAATATTCTCAGATAAAAACTAGAAAAAAGCTATATGTGAAATTGCATTGTTATGTGTGGATTAATCTCACAGAGTTAAACCTTTCTTTTGGTTCAGCATGTTGGAAACACTGTTCTAAAGAATCATTGAAGAGGCATTTGGGAGCCCTTTGAGATGTAGGGGAGAAACAAAATATCCCCAGAAAAAACTAGAAAGAAGATATCTGTGAAACAGTTTTGTGATGTGTTGATTCATGTCACAGAGTTAAACTTTTCTTTTGATTCAGCACGTTGGAAACACTCTTTTTGTAGAATTTGCTAAGGTATATTTGAGAACCCATTGTAGCCTATGGGGAAAAACTGAATATCCCCAGATAAAAATTAGAAAAAAGCTATCTCTGAAACTGCTTTCTGATGTGTGGATTCATCTCACAGAGTTAAACCTTTCTTTTGATTCAGATGTTTGGAAACACTCTTTTTGGACAATCTGTGATGAGACATTTGGAAGCCTATTGAGGCCTATGGGGAAAAACTGAATATCAACAGATAAAAATTAGAAAGAAGCTGTCTGTGAAACTTCTTTG
This sequence comes from Homo sapiens, assembly GCF_000001405.40. Classification (NCBI taxonomy): domain Eukaryota; kingdom Metazoa; phylum Chordata; class Mammalia; order Primates; family Hominidae; genus Homo; species Homo sapiens. Next base: position 43,730,522 of record NC_000008.11, read on the forward strand.
TGATGTGTGGATTCATGTCACAGAGTTAAACCTTTCTTATGATTCAGCAGTTTGGAAACACTCTTTTTGGAGAATCTGCGAAGAAACATTTGGTAACGCATTGAGGGCTGGGGAAAAACCGAATATCTCCATATAAACACTATAAAGAAGTTATCTGTGAAGCTGCTTTGTGATGTGTGGATTCATCTCACAGAGTTAAACCTTTCTTATTATTCAGCAGTTTGGAAACACTCTCTTTGTAGAATCTGCAAACAGACATTTGGGAACCCACTGAGACCTATGGGGAAAACCTGAGTATCCTCAGATACAAATGAGAGAAAATCCATCTGTGAAACTGTATTGAAAAGCGTAGATTGATCTCCCAGCGTTAAACCTTTTTTTTTAATTCAGAAGGTGGGAAACTATATTTTTGTCAAATCTGTGAAGGGATATTTGGAGCCTATTTTGGCCTATGGGAAAAACCGAATATCCACAGATAAAAACGAGAAAGAAGCTATTCGTGAAACCTGCTTTTGATGTGTGGTTTCATCTCACAGAATTAAATTTTTCTTCTGATTCAGCAGGTAAAAACACTCTTTATGGAGAATCTGTGAAGGTGCATAAGAGAACCCATTATGTCTTAGGGAAAATCCAAATATCCTGAGATAAAAACCAGAAGGAAGGAATCTGTGAAACTGCTTTGTGCAATGTGGATTCATCTCACAGAGTTAAATTTTGTTTTGATTCTGAAGATTGGAAACACTCTTCTTGGAGAATCTCTGAAGAGACTTTTGAAATCCCTTTGAGATCTATTGGAAAAAAACAAATATCCCGATGAAAACTAGAAAGATGCTATTTGTGAAATTGCTGTGTGGTGTGTGGCTTCATCTCAGAGTTAAACCTTTCTTTTGATTCAGCAGTTTTGAGGTACTCTTTTTGGAGTATATGTGAACAGACATTTTGGAGCCCATTGAGACCTATCAGGGTAAACTGAGTATTACTAGATAAAAACTAGAAAGAAGCTATCTGTGAAACTGCTTTGTGATGTGTGGATTCATCTCACAGAGTTAAATTTTTCTTTGGATTCAGTAGGTTGGAAACACTCTTTTTGGACTATATGCACAGGGACATCTTGGCACCCATTGAGGCCCATTGGGATAAACTGAATATCCCCAGGTAAAATCCAGAAAGAAGGTATCTGTGAAACTGTTTTGTCCGTTTGAAATTATCTCACAAAGATAAACATTTCTTTTCATGCAGCAGGAGGGAAACACTCTTCTTGGAGAAACTGCGAAGAGACATTTGGGAGCTTATGGAAGACTACAGGTAAAACCAAATATCCTGAGATAAAAGCTGGAAAGAAGCTATCTGTAAAACTTCTTTGTAATGTGTGGATTCATCTTACCGAGTTAAACCTTTCTTTTGATTAAGCAGGTTGGAAATCCTCTTGTAAAATCTGTGAAGGGACATTTGGGAGCCCATTGAGGAATGTAAAGAAAAAACCGATTATCCTGAGATAATAACTAGAAAGATGATAAATGTGAGACTGCTCTGTGATTTGTGGATTCACCTCAAACAGTTAAACCTTTCTTTTAATTCAGCAGATCGGAAACACTCTTCTCAGAGAAACTGCAAACGGACATTTTGAAGGCCATTGAGGCCTATTGGGAAAAACTGAATATCTCCACATAAAAACTAAAATAAAGCTATCTGTGAAACTGTTTTGTGACAAGTGGATTCATTTCACAGGGTCAAAACTTTCTGTTGATTTAGCAGGTTGGAAACACTCTTTTTGGAAAATCTGCCTATGGACTTTTGGGAGCCCATTGAGGCCAAAGGGAAAACCTGAATATCCCATGATAAAAACTAGAAAGAAGCAATCTGTGAAACTGCCTTGTATGTGTGGATTCATCTCCCAGGGAAAAACCTTCCTATTCTTTCAGCAGATTGGAAACACTTTTTTTGTGGAATCTGCAAGGGACATTTTGGATCCAATTGAGTACCATGGGGAAAAAACGAATATCTCCTGTTAAATCTGGAAACAAGCTATGTGCTAACTGCTTTGGGATCTGTGGATTTATCTCACAGTGTTAAACCTTTCTTTTGAGTCAGCAGATTGGAAACCCTCTTTTTGTAGAATCTGCAAAAGAGCATTTGTGATACTTTTGAGGCCTATAAGAAAAAAACAAATATCCCCAGATAAAAACTACTAAGAAGCTCTCAGTGACACTGCTTTGAGATTTGATCCAACAGAGTTAAACCAACAGAGTTAAACCATTCTTTTGATTGAGGACGTTCAAAATGCACTTTTTGTAGAATCTACAGTGGTATATTTTGGAGCCCATTGAGGCTTTTGGGGAAAACCAAATATCCTCAGATAAAAACTACAAAGGAGCTATCTGTGACACCACTTTTTTATGTGTGGATTCAACTCACAGAGGCAAACCATTGTTTTGATTCAGTACGTTGGAACACTGTTTTTGTAGAATCTGTGAAGGGACATTTTGCAGCATGTTGAAGCCCATGGCAAAAAAAACGGGTTATCCCGAGATAAAAACTACAAGGACACTATCAGTGAAACTGCCTTGTGATGTGTGGATTCATCTCACAAAGGTAAACCTTTCTTTTGATTGAGCAGGTTGGTAACACTCTTTCTGTAGAATCTGCAATGGTACATTATGGACCTATTGAGGCCCATAAGGAAAAACCAATATCCACAGAAAATAACTAGAAAGAAGCTATCTGGGAAACTGCTTTGTGATTTGTGGATTCATCTGACAGAGTTAAAAGTTTCTTTTGATTTACCAGGTTGGAAACAATCTTTTTGTAATACCTGTGAAGGGATTTTTGGGAGTCCACTGAGGCCCATAGAAAAAAAAATATACCCAGATAAGAAAAAGAAAGAAGCTCTCTGTGAAACTGCTTTTTGATGTGTGGATTCATCTCAAAGAGTTAAACCTTTCTTTTGATTCAACAGGTTGGAAACACTCTTTGTAGAATCTGCAAAGGGACATTTAGAAGCCAATGAGGCCTAGAGAGATAAACCCAATATCTCCACATAAAAACTAGGAAGAAGATATCTGTGAAACTGCTTTGTGATGTGTGGACTCATCTCACAGGGTTAAACCTTTCTTTCAATTAAGCAGGTTGGAAACACTCTTTTGGGAGAATCTGTGAAGGGAAATTTCAGAGCCCATTGGGGCCTATGAGGAAAATCTGAATAACCTCAGATAAAAACTAGGGAGAAACCATCTGTGAAACTGCTTTGGATGTGTGAATTCACCTCCCAGAGGTAAACCATTCTTTGATTCCACAGTTTGGAAACACTCTTTTTGTAGAAACTGCAAAAGGACATTTGGGAGCCCTTTCAGGCCAATGGGGAAAAACTGAATATCTCCTGATAAAAACTCCAAAGAAACTTTTTGTGAAACTGCTTTGTGATGTGTTTATATTTTCTTTTGATTACTAGAAAGAATATATCTATGTAACTTCTTTGTGATGTGTACATTCACCTCACAGAGTTAAACCTTTCTGTTCATTCAGCAGGTTGGAAATTCTCTTTTTGGAGAATCTGTGAAGAAACATTTTAAAGCCCCTTGAGGCCTTTGGGGAAAACCTGAATATCCCCAGATAAAAACTAGAAAGAATCTATCTGAGAAATCGCTTTGTGATGTGTGGATTCATCTCATAGGGTGAAGCCTTTCTTTTGATTCAGCAGGTTACAAATGGTCTTTTTGGAGTATCTGTGAGGGGACATTTGGAGGCCCGCTAAGGCCTATAGAGAGAAAAGAAATATCCCCAGATGAAAATCAGGAAGAGGTTATCTGTGTAACTTCTTTGTGACGTTTGTATTTATTTTGCAGAGGTAAAGCTTTCATTTGATTCAGCAGGTTGGAAACACTGGTTTTGGAGAATATGTGAAGGGACATTTGGGATCCCATTGAGGCCTATGGGGTAATACTAAATATCGCCAGGAAAAAACTAGAAAGAAGCTATCTGTGAAACTGGTTTGTGATATGTGGATTCATCTCACAGTGTTAAACCTTGATTTTGATCCAGGAGGTTGAAAACATTCTTTTTGTAGAATCTGTGAAGGGACATTTGGGAGCCCTTTGAGGCATATGGGAAAAAAACAGGCTATACCCAGATAAAACTAGAAAGAAGCTATCCATGAAACTGGGTTTTGATGTGTGGATTCAAGTCACAGAGTTAAACCTTTCTTTTGATTCAGCTGTTTGGAAAAACTCTTTTTGGAGAATCTGCAAAGGGACATTTTGTAGCACCTTGAGGCTTATGGGGAAAAACAAAATATCCCCAGATAAAAACTGCATAGAAGCAATCTGTGGAACTGTTTCATAATGCGTGGATTCATCACACAGAATTAAAATTTCCTTTTGATTCACCAGGTTGGAAACACATTTTTGGATAATCTGTGAAGGGAGATTTTGGTGCCCATAGAGGCCTATGGGAAAGAAAAAGAATATCCCCAGATAAAAACTAGAAAGAAGCTATCCGTGAATCTGCTTTGTGATGTGTGGACTCATCTCACAGACTCTAAACTCTCTTTTGATTCAGCTGGTTGGAAACACTCTTCTTGTAGAATATGCAAAGGGACATTTGGGAGCCAATTGAGGCCTAAGGGGAAAACAAAATATCCACAGATTAAAAACTAGAAAGAAGTTATCCATGAAACTTCTTTGTGATCTGTGGATTCATCTCACAGAGGTAAAGTTTTTGTTTGATTTAGCAGGTTGGAAACCCTCCTTTGGAGACTCTACAAAGGGTCATTTTGGGAACCCATTGAGTACCCAGGGGAAAAATTGAATATCCCCAGAAAAAAACTAGGAAGAAGCTATCCATGAAACTGCTTTTTGATGTGTGGATTCATCTCACAGAGCATAACCTTTCTTTTGATTCAGCATGTTGGAAACACTCTTTTTGTAGAATTTGAGAAGAGACATTTGTGAACCCGTTGAGTCCTAGGGAAAAACCAAATATCTCATTATTAAAACTAGAAAAAACCTATCCATGAGACTGCTCTGTGATATGTGGATTCAGCTCACAGAGTTAAAACTGTCTATTGATTCAGCAGCTTGGAAATGCTATTTCTGGACAATCTGTGAAGGGACATTTGGAAGCCCATTGAGTGTTATGGGGAAAAACAAAATATCACTAGAAAAAAAATTAGAAGAAGAAACACGGGAAAATGTTTTGTGATGTGTGCATTCATCTCATAGAGTTAAACCTTTTTTTTGATTCAGCAGGTAGGAAACACTATGAAGAATCTGCAAAGAGATATTTGAATGCCTATTGAGGCCTATGGGGTACAACAAAATATCCCCATATAAAAACTAGTATGAAGTTGTCTGTGAAACTGTTTGTGAAGTGTGTATTCATCTCAGAGTTAAAACTTTTATGTCATTCAGCAGGTTTGAAACTCTTTTTTTGGAGAGTCTGCAAAGGGACATTTTGGAGCCCATTGTGGTCTACATGAAAAAGCAGAATATCTCAAGATAAAAACTAGAAAGAAACTATCTGAGAGACTGTTTTGTAATGTGTGGATTCAGCTCACAGGCTTAAACCTTTCAATTGATTCTGCAGGATGGAAATATTGTTTTTCAAGAATCAGCAAAGGGAAATTAGGGAGCCATTGAGGCCTATGAGGAAAAACTGAACCTCCCCACATAAAAACTAGAAAGAAGCTATCTGTGAAAATGCTTTGTGATTTACGGATTCATCTCACAGAGTTAAAATTTGTTTTTGATTTATTAGGTTGGAAACTCTCTTTTTGGAGAATTTGTGAAGAAACATTTGGGAGCCCATTGAGGCCTATAGGGAAAAGCTGAATAACCCCAGATAAAAACTAGAAAGAAGGTATCTGTGAAACTGCTTCGTGATGTTTGGATTCATCTCACAGAGTTAAAACTTTTTTTTAGATTCAGCTGTTTGGGAACATTCTTTGTGGGGAGTCTGTGAAGGGACATTTGGGAATCCATATCCATTGAGGACTTAGGGAAGAAAACGAATATAACCAGATAAAAACCAGAAAGAAGCTATCTGTGAAACTTCTTTGTAATGTGTGGATTTATCTCACAGAGTTAAACCTTTGTTTTGATCCAGCAGACTGGAAACACTCTTTTTGTAGAATCTGTGAAGAGAATTTTAGGAGTGTATTGAGGCCTAAGAGAAAAAAAACAGAATATCCCCAGATAAAAAAACTAGAAGGAAGCTATCTGCAAAACTGCTTTCTGATGTGTGGATTCATCTCACAGATTTAAACCTTTCTTTTCATTCAACAAGTTGGAAAAAAATTTTTTATAATCTGCAAAGAAATATTTGGCTGCCCATTGAGGCCTAAGGGAAAAAACAGAGTATCCCCACATAAAAACTGAAAGAAGCTATCTGTGAAACTGCTTTCTGATGTGTGGATTCATCTCACAGAATTTAACCTTGAATTTGCTTCAACAGGTTAGAAACTCTGATTTTGGAGAATCTGCAAGGGGTCATTTTGTAGCCCTTTGAGGTCTATGGGGAAAAGCCGAATATCCCAAGGTAAAAAATAGAAAGAATGTATCCGTGAAACTGATTTGTGATGTGTGGATTCATCCCATAGATTTAAACACTCCCTTTGATTCAGCAGTTTGGAAACAGTTTTTTGTCGAATCTGTGAAGCGACATTTTGGAGCACTTTGAGGCCTATGGTGAAAAAACAAATATTCCCAGATGAAAAATAGAAAGAAGCCATCTGTGAAACTGCTTTTTGATGTATTGACTCACGTCATATAGGTAAATCTTTGTTTTGAACCAGGAAGTTGGAAATACTCTTTCGGTAGGATCTGTGAAGGGACACTAGGGAGCCCATTTAAGACTATAAGTAAAAATTAAATATCCTTATGTAAAAACTGGAAAGAAGCTATCTGTGAATCTGCTTTGAGATGTGTGGATTCATATCACAGAGTTAAACGTTTCTTTTGATTCAGATGCTTGGAAACACTTTTTTTGTAGAATCTAATAAGGCACATTTGGGAGCCAATTGATGTCTATGGGGGTAAAAAACGAATATCCACAGACAAATTTAGAAAGAAATTACCCATGAAACCAGTTTGTGATGTTTGGAATCATCTCACAGAGATAAAGCTTTCATTTGATTCAGCAGGTTGGAAACACTCCTTTTGGGGACCCTGCAAAAGAACATTTGAAAATCCATTGATATCTATCAGGGAAAAATGGAATATCCACAGAAAAAATTAGAAAGCAATTTTTTGTGAAACTGGTTTCTGATGTGTGGATTCATCTCACAGAGATAAATTTCATTTGATTCAGCAAGTTGGAAACACTCCTTTTGGTGACTCTGCAAAGGAACATTTGTGAGCCCATTGAGGCCTATGGGGAAAAATAGAATATCCCCAGATAAAAACTAGAAAGAAGCTATCTGTGAAACTACTTTGCTTGTGTGGATTCCTCTTACAAAGTTGTAAATTTCCTTTGATTCAGCAGGTTGGAAACACTCTTTCTGTAGAATCAGTGTAGAAACTTTTAGAAGCCCATTGAGACTTATGGGGAAAAAAATGAATATCTCCAGGAAAAGGAGAAAGAAGCTATCTGTGAAACTGCTTTGTGAAGTGAGGATTCCTCTCACAGAGTTAAAACTTTCTTTTGATTCAGCAGGTTGGAAACACTCTTTTCTAAGAATCTGTGAAAGGACATTTGGGAACACATTGAGACCTATGGGGAAAAACTGAATAATCCCAGATAAAAACTAGGGAGAAGCTATCTGAAACTGCTTTGTGATGTGTTGATTCACCTCACAGAGTTAAACCTTTCTTTTGATTCAGCAGATTAGACACACTCTAACTGGATAATCTGTGAAGGGACATTTGGGAGCCCATTGAGGCCTGTGGGGAGAAACAAAATATCCAAAGATAAAACTTAGAAAGAAGCTACCTGTGAAACTGCTGTGTGATGTGTAGATTTATCTTACAGAGTTAAATTTATTTTTTGACTCAGCACGTTGGAAAAACTCTTTTTGTAAAATTTGCAAAGGGACATTTGGGAGCCCATTGTCTCTGTGGGGAAAAACAGAATATCCCTAGAAACAAATTGAAAAGAAGTTATTTTTGAAACTGCTGTGTGATTTGTGGATTCATCTAAAAGAGATAAACCTTCTTTTGATTAAGCAGGTTGGAAACACTCTCTTTGAAGGAGCTGTGAAGCTGCATTTTTTAGCCCATTGAGGCCAAAAAAAAAACCTGGAATATTCCCATGTAAAAACAACAATGAAGCTATCTGTCAAACTGCTTTCTGATAAGTGGATTCATCTTACAGAGTTAAACATTTCTTTTCATTCAGCAGGTTAGAAACACTCTTTTTGTAGAGTCTGCACAAAGACATTCAGTATCCCATTGAGTCCTGGGGAGAAAAACCAAATATCCCAACATAAAAACTAGAAAAAAAAATCTTTGAAATTTATTTGTGATGTGTAGACTCATCTAACATAGCAAAACCTTTCTTTTGATTCAGCAGGTTGGAAACACTGTTCTTGAAGAATCTGTGAAGGGACATTTTGGAGCCCATTGTGGCCTATGGGGAAAAACGGAATATCCCAAGATAAGTACTAGAAAAAAGCTATCCATGAGACTGCTTTGTGATGTGTGGATTCAGCTCACAGAGGTAAACCTTTCTTTTGATTCAGGTTTAAAACACCTTTTACAAAAATTGCGAAAAGACATTTTGTAGCCCATTGATGCTACAAACTTAAAAGGAGCTATTTGTGAAATGGCTTTGTGATTTGTGGACTCATCTCACAAAAGTAAACCTTTCTTTTCATTAAGCAGGCTGGAAATGCTCTTTTTGGAGTATATGCAAAGGGATATTTGGGAGTCCTTTGGTGCATATAAGGAAAAACTGAATATCCCCAGATAAAAACTAGAAAGAAGCTATTTGTGAAACTAGTTTTTGATGTGTGGATTCAATTCACAGAGAAAAATATTTCTTTTGATTTAGCTGGTTGGGAACACGCTTTTTGGAGAATCTACAAATGTAGGGGTGGGTTGCCCCTCCACACCGGTGGGTGTTTCTCGTAAGGTGGAAGGAGAGACTTAGGAAAGAAAAAGACACAGAGACAAAGTATACAGAAAGAAATAAGGGGACCCGGGAAACCAGCGTTCAGCATATGGAGGATCCCGCCAGCCTCTGAGTTCCCTTAGTATTTATTGATCATTCGTGGGTGCTTCTCGAAGAGGGGGATGTGTCAGGGTCACAAGACAATTGTGGGGAGAGGGTCAGCAGACAAACACGTGAACAAAGGTCTTTGCATCATAGACAATGTAAAGGACTAAGTGCTGTGCTTTTAGATATGCATACACATAAACATCTCAATGCTTTACAAAGCAGTATTGCTGCCCGCAAGTCCCACCTCCAGCCCTAAGGCAGTTTTTCCCTATCTCAGTAGATGGAGCATACAATCGGGTTTTATACCGAGACATTCCATTGCCCGGGGACAGGCAGGAGACAGATGTCTTCCTCTTGTCTCAACTGCAAGAGGCATTCCTTCCTCTTTTACTAATCCTCCTCAGCACAGACCCTTTACGGGTGTCGGGCTGGGGGATGGTCAGGTCTTTCCCTTCCCACGAGGCCATATTTCAGACTATCACATGGGGAGAAACCTTGGACAATACCTGGCTTTCCTAGGCAGAGGTCCCTGCGGCCTTCCGCAGTCTTTGTGTCCCTGGGTACTTGAGATTAGGGAGTGGTGATGACTCTTAAGGAGCATGCTGCCTTCAAGCATCTGTTTAACAAAGCACATCTTGCACCGCCCTTAATCCATTTAACTCTGAGTTGACACAGCACATGTTTCAGAGAGCACAGGGTTGGGGGTAAGGTTATAGATTAACAGAATCTCAAGGCAGAAGAATTTTTCTTAGTACAGAACAAAATGGAGTCTCCTATGTCTATTTCTTTCTACACAGACACAGTAACAATGTGATCTTTCTTGCTTTTCCCCACATACAAAGGGACATTTCGGGGCCTCTTGAGGCCTAAGTGGAAAAAATGAATATCCCCAGGTGTAAAGTGCAAAGAAGCAATCTGTGGAACTGTTTTGTGATGTGTGGGTTCATGTCACACAAAGAAAGATTTCCTTTGATTCAGAAGATGGAAAACTCTCTTTTTGGATAATCTGCAAAGGGACAGTTTGCATCCCTTGGAGCCCTATGGGAAAAAGAACTGAATTTCCCCAGATAAAAACTAGATGGGAGCTCTCTGTGGAAATGCTTTGTGATAAGTGTATTTGACTCACAGAGTTAAACCTTTCTCTTGATTCAGCAGTTGAAAACACTCTTTTTGGATAAACTGCAAAGGGATATTTGGGAGCCCATTGAGGTCTATTGGGAAAAACTGAATATCTTCAGATTAAAAACTAGAAGGAAGAAGATTTCAGTGAAACTGCTTTGTTATGTGTGGATTCATCTCACAGAGTTCAACCAGCCTTTTGATTCAGCAAGTTGGAAACACTCTTTTTGTAGAATCTGTGAAGGGATATTTGGGTGCCCATTTAGGCCTATTAGGAAAAACTGAATATCTACAGATAAACGCTAGAAAGAAGCTCCCCAAGAAACTGCTTTGTGAAGTTTGGATTCGTCTCACAGAGGTAAACCATCCTTTCATTCCAGCAGATTAGAAACACTGGTTCTGTAGAATACGACAGGGGACTTTTGGGAGCCTTTTGAGGCCTATAAGTAAAAGCTGAATATCCACAGGGAAAAAAGCTAGAAAGAAGTGAACTGTGAAAATGGTTTGTTTCGTGTGGATTTATCTCACATAGCTAAACCTTTCATTTTATCTAGAAGTTTGGAAACACTCTTTTTGGAGAATACTCAAAGGAAAATTTGAAAGTCCATTAAGGCCTATGGGGAAAAACAAAAAATCTCAAGATAAATACTAGAATGAAGTGATATGTGAAACTGCTTTGTGCTGTGTGGATTCATCTCACATACTTAAACCTTTCTTTGGATTCAGCAGATTGGAAACACACTTTTCGGAGACTCTGTGAAGAGCTAAATTTGAGAGCCTCTTGAGGCCTATGGGAAAAACAGAATATCCCCAGATAAAAACTAGAAAGAAACTATTTGTGAAATGGCTTTGTGATGTGTAAATTCATCTCACAGAGTTAAACCAATCTTTTGATTCGATAGTCTGGAAATACTCATTTTGGAGTATCTGTGAAAGGACATTTGGGAGCCCATTGTGGCCTACGGGGAAACACCAATATCCCCAGATAAAAACTAGTAAGAAGCTATCTGTGAAACTGCCTTGTGATGTGTGGATTCAACGCACAGAGTTAAATCTTTTTTTTTTGTATTCACCAAGTTGGAAACAGTCTTTTTACAAAATCTGTGAAATGCCCTTAAGGAGACAATTGAGGCCTATTGCAAAAAAAACCCAGAATATCCCCAGTTACAAACTAGACAGAAGCTATCTGTGAAACTGCTTTGGGATGAGTGAATTCATCTCACAGAGTTAAATCTTTCTTTTTTTCAGCATTTTGGAAACACTGTTTTTGGAGTATCTGGGAAGGGACATTTGGGAGCTTATTTAGGCCTATGGGGAAAAAAAGAATATCCCCAGATAAAAACTGGAAAGAAGCTATCTGTGAAAGTGCTTTGTGATGTGTGGATTCATCTCAGAGTTCAACCTTTCCCCTGATTCAGCAGGTTGGAACCACTCTTTTTGGAGAAACTGTGAAGGGATATTTCAGAGCCCATTGAGGCCTATGGGGAAAAGTTTAAAAAAAAACATTTGAAAACTAGAAAGAAGCTATCTGTGAAACCGTTTTATGAGGTGTGGATTCTTCTCACAGAATTAAACCATTCTTTTGGTCCAGCAGGTTAGAAACACTGTCTCTGTAGAATCTGTGAAGGGACATTTTGGAGTCCTGTGAGGCCTATTACTAAAAATCGAATAAGCCCAGATAAAAAAGAAGAAAAAAGCTATCTGTGAAACTCCTTGTGAAGTGTATATTCATCTCACATAGATAAACTTTTTGTTTTATAAAGCAGGTTGGAAACACTCCTTTTGCAGAATCTTCAAAGGAACATTTGGGAGCCCATTAAGGTTTATGGGGAAAAAACAAATATCCCAAGATAAAACTAGAAAGAAGCTATCTGTGAAACGGCTTTGTAATGGGGAAATTCATTTCACAGAGTTCAACCTTTCTTTTGATTCACCTGGTTGGAGAGACTTGTCTTCTAGAATTGGTAATGGGAAATTGGGAGCCCAATGTGGCTTATGGGGAAAAACAGAACATCCCCAGATAAAAAGTAGAAAAAAGTTATCTGTGAAACTGCTTTCTGATGTGTGGATTCATCTGACAGAATTAAGCTTTCCTTTGATTTGGCAGATGGGAAACACTCTTTTTGGAGAAACTGGGAAGGGACTTTTGGGGTCCATGTGGCCTATAGGAAAAAAGAGAATATCCACAGATAAAAACTAGAAAGAATATATCTGTGAAACAGCTTTTGACCTGTGGACTTATCTCACGAAGTTACCAGTCTTTTGATTCAGTAGATTGGAAACACTCATTTCAGAGATTCTGCAATGTGACAATTGGGAGATCATTGAGGACTATGGGGAAAAACATAATATCCCCATATACAAGCAAGAAAGATGTTATATTCGAAACTGTTATGTGATATGTGTATTCACTTCACAGAGTTAAAACTTTCTTTTTGGTTTAATAGGTTAAAAACACTCTTTTTGTAGAATCTGTTATGGGACATATGGGAGCCCATTGAGGCCTATGGGAAAAAACTGAACATTTCTAGATAAAAACTAGAAAGAATCTAATTGTGAAACTGCATTGTGATGTGTAGATTTATCTCACAGAGTTAAACCTTTCTTTTGATTCAGCATTTTGGAAACACTTCTTTCTGAGAAACTGTGAAGGGAAATTTGGGAGACCATTGATGCCTTTGGTAAAAAAAACATAGATAAAAACTAGATAGTAACTATCCGTGTAACTACTTTGTGATGTGTGGATCCATCTCACAGAGTTTAACCATTTTCTTGACTCAGCTGGTTGGAAACCCTCTTTTTGGAGAATCTGTAAAGGGACATTTGATAGCCCATTGAGGCATATGGAAAAACCAAATATCCCCAGAAGAAAACTAGAAAGAAGCTATCTGTGAAACTGCTTTATGATATGTGGAATCAGTAAAACATTCTTTTGATTCACCAGTTTGGAAATACAGTTTTTTATGAATCTGCAAAGGGATATTTGGGAGCGCATTGAGGGACATGGAAAAAAACACAATATGACAGGATAAAAACTAGAAAGAAGGTATCTCTGAAACTGCTTTGTGATGTGTGGATTCGTCTCACGGAGATGAAACTTTCTTTTGTTTAAGCAAGTTGGAAATACTCTTTTTGGAGAATCTGTGAAGGTACTTTTGAGAGCCAATTGTGGCCTACGGGGAAAAAGAAAATATCCCTGGATAAAAATTAGAAAGAAACTCTCTGTTAAACTGCTTTGTGATGTGTGGCTTCACCTCACTGAGTAGAATTTTCTTTTGGTTCAGCACGTTGGAAACACTCTTTTTGTAGAATCTGTGAAGGGATATTTTGGAGCACACTAAGGCCTACGGGGAAAAACCAAATATCCCAAGATAAAAACTAGAAAGAAGCAGTCTGTGAAACAGCTTTGTGACACGTGGATTCATCTCACAGATAAACCATTTTTTTTGAAACCTCAAGTTGAAAACACTCTTTTTGTAGGATCTGCAAAAGGACATCTGAGAGCCCATAGAAGCCTATAAGGTAAAAACAGTATCCCCCGATAAAAACTAGAAAGAAGCTCTCTGTGAATCTGCTGTGAGATGTGTGCATTCATCTCACAGAGTTTAACATTTCTTTTGGTTCAGCAGTTTGGAAACATGCTTGTTGGAGAATCTTTGAAGGAACAATTGGGACCCCATTGAGGCATATGGGGAAAAACAGAATATCGCCTGAAAAAAACTAGAAAGAAACGGTCAGGGTAACTGCTTTGTCATGTGTGGATTTACCCCATAGAGTGAAACCTTTCTTTGGCTTCAGTAGGTTGGAAACACTCTTGTTGGAGAATCTGTGAAGAAACATTTGGAGCCCATTGAAGTTTACGGGGAAAAGCCAAATATCCCCAGATAAAAAGTTGAAAGAACTATCTGTGAAAATGCTTTCAGATGTGTGGATTCATCTCACAGAGTTAATCTTTTCTTTTGATTTGGCAGGTTGGAAACACTATTTTTGATGAATCTGCAAAGGACAATTTTTAGCCTATTGAGGCCCATGTAAAAAAAACAAAGGTCCCATATAAAAACTAGAAAGAGGCGATCTGTGAAACTGCTTTGTGATGTGTGGATTTATGTCAAAGAGCTCAACCTTCGTGTTGATTCAGTAACTTGTAAATTATCTTTTTGGAGAATCAACAAAAAAACATTTAAGAGCCCATTTTTGCCTATGAAGAAAAACCAAATATCCCCAGATAAAAACTGGAAACTATCTGTGAAACTGATTTATGATGTGTTGTTTCATCTCACAGAGTTAAAACATTACTGTGATTTAGGAGGTTGGAAACACTCTTTTTGTAGAATCAGTGAAGGGACATTTGGGAGCCCATAAACGCCTATGGGAAAAAATCAAATATACACAGATAAAAAATAGGAAGAAACTCTCTGTGAATCTGCTTTGAGATGTGTTGATTCACCTCAGAGACTCAATGTTTTCTTTCTATTCAGAAGGTTGGGAACATGCTTTTTGGAGAGTCTGTGAAGGGACATTTGGAAGCTGTTTGTTGGCTACAGGCAAAAACAGACTCTCCCCTGATAAAAAAAAAAAAAAAGAAAAAGGTATCTGTGAAACCAGTTTTTGAGGTTTGGATTCATATCAGATTTAATTTTGATTTCACACAAGGGAGGCACTCTTTTTTTAGAATCTGCAGAGACATTTGGGAATCAATTGAGCCCTATGGGGAAAAACGGAATATCCCCAGATAAAGACTAGAAAGAAGCTATTTGTGAAAGGGTTTTGTGATGCGTGGATTCATCTCACAGAGTTAAAACTTTTTTTTGGTCCAGCAGGTAGGTAACACTCTATTTGGGGGATCTGCCAAGGGACATTTGGGATCCCATTGACTCCTATTGGGAAAAAGAGAATATCCCCAGATAAAAGCTAGAAATAAATTATCATCAATGAAACTGCCTTGAGATGTGTGGATTCATCTCACAGAGTTAAATCTTAATTTTGATTCAGCAGGTTGGAAAGAAGCTTTATAGAGAATCTGAGAAAGGACGTTTCCGAGCTCTTGGTGGCCTATGGGGAAAAGTAGAATATCCCCAGATAAAACGTAGAAAGAAGCTATCAGTGAAACTACTTTGTGGTTTGTGGATTCATGTCACAGAGTTAAGCCTTTCTTTAGTTTTAGCAGGTTGGAGACACTCCTTTTGGAAAATCTGTGAGAAAACATTTGGGAGCCCACCGAGACCTATGGGGAAAAACCGAATATATCCAGATAAACAATGGAAAAGAAGATACCTATAAAACTACTTTATTTTGTGCAGATTCATCTCACAGAGTTAAACCTTTCTTTTGATCCAGCAGGTTAGAAACACCTTTTTTAGAGACTTGGTGAAGGGGTATTTGGAAGCCCATGAGGCCTATGAAAAAATACCAAATATCCCCAGATAAAAACGAGAAACAAGCTACCTGTGTAACTGTTCTCAGATGTTTGGATTCATCTCACCGAGTTCAACCTTTGTTCGACTTAGGAGGTGGGAAACACTCTTTTTGTAGAAGACACGAAGGGACATATGGGAGCACTGTTGTTGCCTAAGGGAAAAAAGGAATATCCCCAGATAAAAACTAGTAAAAACTCTCTGTGAAACTGCTTTGAGGCATGTGGATTTTTCTCACAGAAGTAAAACATTCCTAGATTCAGCAGGTTGGAAAAACTATTTTTGGAGTCCCTGCAAAGGGACAGTTGAAAGCCCACTGAGGGCTGTGAGAAAAAACTGAATATCCCTAGAAAAAAATTAGAAAGAAGCAATTTGTGAAATTGCTTTCTGATGTGTGGATGCATCTCACAGAGTGAAACCATTCTTTTGACTCAGCAGTTTGCAAACACTCTTTCTGGGGAATATTGAAAAGATATTTGGGAGCACATTGAGGAATATGGGGAAAGCCAGAATACCTATAGATAAAAACCAGAAAGATAAAACTGCTTTCTGATGGGTGAATTCGTCTTACAAAGGTAAACATTTCTCTTGATTCAGCAGGTTGGAAACACTCTTACTGTAGAATCTGTGAAGGGACATTTGGGAACCCACTGAGGCGTATGATAAGGAACTGAATATTCCCAGATAAAACGTACAAAAAAACTGTCTATGAATCTGCTTTTTGGTTTGTGGATTCATTGTACAGAGTTAAAACTGCCTCTTGATTCAGCAGGTTGGAAACTCTCTTTTTGTAGAATCTGTGAAAAGACGTTTGGGGGCCCATTCAGGCCTAAGGGGAAAAACGGAATATCCCCAGATAAAAAATACAAACAAGCTCTCTGTGAAACTGCTTCCTGATGTGTGGATTTATATCAGATATAAATCTTTCTTTTGATTCAGCCGGTTGGAAACACTTTTTATGGAGAACCTGTGAAGGGACACTTTGGAGTCATTGAGACCTATGGAGAAAAACCAAATATCCTCAGATAAAAACTAGAAAGAAGCTCTCCGTGAAATCACTTTGTGATGTGTGGATTTATCTCACAAAGTTAAACCTTTCTTTTGATTCAGCAGGTTGGAAACACTTTTTTTGGAGAATCTGTGAAGGGATATTTGGGTGCTCAGGGTGTGTGGGGAAAAACAGATTATCCCCAGATAAAAACTAGAAAGAAACTATCTGTCAGACTGCTTTGTTATGAGTGGATTCATCTCACAGAGTTAAATGTTTCTTTTCATTCAGCAGGGAGGAAACACTTTTTTTGGAGAATCTGCAAAGGGACATTTGGGAGCCCATTGCAGTCTATGGTGAAAAACAGATTATCCCCAGGCATAAACTGCAAAGAAGCTGTCTGTGAGACTTATTTGTGATGTGGGGATTCAGCTCATAGAAATAAACCTTTTTCTTTATTCAGCAAGTTTGAAAAACTTTTTTCATTATTATACTTTAAGTTCTAGTGTACATGTGCACAATGTGCAGGTTTGTTACATACGTATACATGTGCCATGTTGGTCTGCTGCACCCATTAACTCGTCATTTATGTTATGTATATCTCCTAATGCTATTCCTCCCCATCCACCCACCCCACAACAGGCCCCAGTGCATGACGTTCCCCTTCCTGTGTCCATGTGTTCTCATTGTTCAATTCCCACTTATGAGTGAGAACATGCAGTGTTTGGTTTTTTCTCCTTGCAATAGTTTGCTGAGAGTGATGGTTTCCAGCTTCATCCATGTCCCTACAAAGGACATGAACTCATCCTTTTTTATGGCTGCATAGTATTCCATGGTGTATATGTGCCACATTTTCTTAATCCAGTCTATCATTGTTGGACATTTGGGTTGGCTCCAAGTCCTTGCTATTGTGAATAGTGCTGCAATAAACACATGGGTGCATGTGTCTTTATAGCAGCATGATTTATAATCCTTTGGGTATATACCCAGTACTGGAATGGCTGGTTCAAACGGTATTTCTAGTTAAAGATCCCTGAGGAATCGCCACACTGACTTCCACAATGGTTGAACTAGTTTACAGTACCCCCAACAGTGTAAAAGTGTTCCTATTTCTCCACATCCTCTCCAGCACCTGTTGTTTCCTGACTTTTTAATGATCGCCATTCTAAGTGGTGTGAGGTTAGAATGTGGTTTCGATTTGCATTTCTCTGATGGCCAGTGATGATGAGCATTTTTTCATGTGTCTGTTGGCTGCATAAATGTCTTCTTTTGAGAAGTGTCTGTTCATATCCTTCACCCACTTATTAACGAGGTTGTTTGTTTTTTACTTGTAAATTTGTTTGGGTTCTTTGTAGATTCTGGATCATCGAAATGAAAGAAGACACAAACAAATGGAAGAACATTCCATGCTCATGGATAGGAGGAATCAATATCGTGAAAATGGCCATACTGCACAAGGTAATTTATAGAATCAATGCCATCCCCATCAAGCTACCAATGACTTTCTTCACGGAATTGGAAAAAGTAATTTAAAGTTCATATGGAACCAAAAAAGAGCCCACATTACCATGTCACTCCTAAGCCAAAAGAACAATGCTGGAGGAACCATGCTACCTGTCTTCAAACTACACTACAAGGCTACAGTAACCAAAGCAACATGCTACTGGTACCAAAACAGAGATATAGATCAATGGTACAGAACAGAGCCCTCAGAACTAATACCACATATCTACAACCATCTGATCTTGGCAAACCTGACAAAAACAAGAAATGGGGAAAGGATTTCTTATTTAATAAATGCTGCTGAAAAACTTTTTTTAGAGAATCTGTGAAGGGACATTTGGGATCCTGTTGTGGCCTATAAGGAAAAACTAAATATCCCCAGATAAAAACTAGAAAGAAGCTATCTGTCAAACTGCTTTGTTATGGGTGGATTCATCTCATAGAGTTAAACCTTTCTTTTCATTCAGCAGGTTGGTAATGCTTTTTTTGGAGAATCTACGAATGGACATTTGGAAGCCCATTGCGGTCTATGGCAAACTGAATATCCCCAGATAAAAACTAAAAAGAAGGTATCTGTGAAACTTCATTTTTATGTGTTTTCCCCTGTCACAGAGTTAACTTTTACTTTGGATTCATCAGGTTGGAAACTCATGATTCATCTCACAGATTTAAACCTCCTTATGGAGAATCTTCAAAAAGACATGTAGAAGCCCTTTGAGGCCTACAGGAAAAATTTGGATATCCCAAGATAAAAACTAGAAAAAGCTATCTGTGAAGCTACTTGGTGATCTGTAGACTCATCTCACAGAGTCAAACTTTTCTTTTGATTCAGCAAGTTGGAAATACTCTTTTTGGAGTATTTGCAAAGGAACATTTGGGAGCCCATTAAGACCTATGGGGAAAAAGCAAATATCCCTAGATGAAAACTAGAAAGAAGCTATCTGCAAAACTGGTTTGTGACGTGTGGATTCGTCTGAAAGGGTTCAATCCCCCTCTTGATTCAGCAGGCTGTAAACACTCTTTTTGGAGAATATGCCAAGGGACATTATGGAGCCCATTGAGGCCTATGGGGAAAAATGGAATATCACCAGATATAAACTACAAAGAAACTATCTGTGAAACAGCTTTGTGATGCATGGATTTATCTCACAGAAGTAAACCTTTGTGTTCTTTCAGAAAGTGAATCTGGTTTTTGATGTGTGAATTCAACTCACATAGTTGAACCTTTCTATTGATTCAGTTGGTTGGAAACACTCTTTTTGGAAAATCTGTGAAGGGACATTTGGGATCCTCTTGAGGCCTATGGGGAAAAACAGAATAGCCTCAGATAAAAACTCCAAAGAAGAAATCTGGGAAATGCTGTGTGATGTGTGATCTCATCTCAGAGAATTAAACCTTTCTTTTGATTCAGTAGGAGGGAAACACTGTTTTTGGATGATCTGTGAAGGGACATTTGGGAGCCCCTTGAGGCCTAAGGGGAAAAATCGAATATCTCCAGATAGAAACTAGAAGGAAGCTATCAGTGCAACAGCTTTTTGATGTGTGGATTCATCTCACAGAATTGAACATTTCCTTTTATTCAGTAGGTTGTAAGCACTCTTTTTGTATACTAGGCAAAGTGATATTTTGGAGCCCATTGAGGCCTATGGGGATAAACTAGATATCCCCAGATGAAAACTCTAAAGAAGCTATCTGTCAAACTTCTTTGTGAAGTGTGGATTCATCTCACAGAGTTATACCTTTTTTTTTTCTTTTTTGATTCACCAGATGGAAACACTCTTTTTGCAGATCTGCAAGAAACATTTGGGAGCTTGTTGAAGACTATGGGAAAAAAACAAATATGTCAGATAAAACTAGAAGGAAGCTATCCATGAAACTAGCTTTCATTCCTCATTCAACTCTCCAAGTTGAAACTTTCTTTTGATTCAGTTGGTTGCAAACAGTCTTTTTGACGAATTTGCGAAGTGACTTTTTGGAACCAATTGATGCCTATGGGGAAAAACTGAATTTCCACAGATACAAACTAGAGAGAAGCTATATGTGAAACAGCTTCGTGATGTGTGTATTCATGTCACAGAGGAAAATATTTTGTTTGATTCAGAAGGTTGGAACACTCTTTTTGAAGACACTATGAAGGGATATTTGGGAGCCCTTGAGGCTTGTGGGAAAAATTGGATATACAAAGATAAAAACTAGAAAGAAGCTATATGAGAATCTGATTTGTGATGTGTGGATTAATCTCAGAGAGTTAAAATTTTCTTTTAATTCAGCAGGTTGGAAACACTCTTTTTGAAGAATCTGTGAAGAAACATTTGGGAGCCACTGAGGCCTATGTGGAAAACCAGAATATCCCCATATGGAAACTAGAAAAAAGCTATCTATCTATGAAACCACTTTGTGATGAATGGATTTATCACAAAGATTTAAAACTTTTTTGATTCAGCAGTTTGGCAAAACTCTTTATGGAGAAACTCTGAAGGGATATTTGGGATCCAATTGAGGCCTTGGGACAAAAACCGAATATCCTCAGATTAAAACTAGAGTGAAACATCTGTGAAACTTCTTTGTAATGTGTAGATTCATCTCACAGAGTTAAGACTTTCTTTTGTTGCAGCACTTTGGAAACACTCTTTTTGGAGAATCTGCAAAGGGACAATTGAAAGCCCATTGAGACCTTTTGGGAATAACAGCTTATCCCCAGATATAAACTAGAAAAAATCTCTCTGTGAAACTGCTTTGTAATGTGTGGATTCATCCCATACAGTTAAAAGTTTCTTTTGATTCAGCAGGTTGAAAACACTCTTTGTGTAGAATCTGAGAAGAGATATTTAAGAGCCCTTTGAGGTTTATAGGGAAAAACTGAATATCCTAAGATATAAACTAGGAAGAAGCTATGTGTGAAACTGCTTTGTGATGTGTGGGTTCTTCTCACAGTGTTAAACGTTTCTTTTGATACAGCAGATTGGAAACACATTTTTTGTAGAATCTGCAGAGGGACATTTACAAGCCAATTGAGGGCTATTGGGAAAAACAAATCATGCCAAGATAAAAAAGAAGAATAAGTGATCTGTAAAACTTCTTCGTTGTGTGTTTATTCATCTCACAGTGTTAAACCTTTCTCTTGATTCACCAGGTTGGAAACACTCTTTTTGGAGAGTCTGTAAAGGGACATTTGGGAGCTCAATGAGGCCTAAGGGCATAAACCTAATATCCTCAGATAACAACTAGAAAGAAGCTGTCTGTGAAACTGTTTTGTAATGTATGGATGCATCTCACAGAATTAAACCTTTCTTTTGATTCTGGCAGCTGGAAACACTCTTTTTGGAGAATCTGCAAAGGGACACTTTATAGCCCATTTAGGCCAATGGAACAAAACCGAATATCCCCAGGTGAAATCAAGAAAGAAACTATCTTTGAAACTTATTTGTGATTTGTGGATTTATCATAAAGTGTTAAGCTTTTCTTTTGATTCAGCAGGTTGGAAACACTCTTTTTGGAGAATCTGCAAAGAAACATTTGGGAGATCTTTGAGGCATATGGAGATAAACCAAATATCCCCAGATGAAAACTAGAAAAAGCTATCTGGGTAACTGCTTTGTGATGTGTGGATTCATCTCACAGATTAAAACTGACTTTTGACTCAGGAGTTTGGGAACACTCTTATTAAAGAACCCACAAAGGGACATTCGAGAGCCCATTGAGTCCTATGTGGAAGAATCAAATATCCCCATTAAAACAAGCAAGACTCTATCTGTGAAACTGCTTTGATATATGTGGATTCGTCTGAACAGAGTTAAACATTTCTCTTGACTCAGCAGTTTGGAAACATTCTTTTTGCAGCATCTGTGAAGAGACATTTGGGAGTCCGAAAAAGACTATGGGGAAAAAATAAATTTACCCTGATTAAAACTAGAAAGGAGGTATCTGTGTAACTGCATTGTGATGTGTGGATTCACCTCACAGAGTTAAAACTTTCTTTTGATTCAGCAGGTTGGAAACACTCTTTTTGTATCTGTGAAGGGATATTTGGGAGCTTGTTGAGGCCTATGGCAAAAACCTAAATATGCCTAGATAAAAAGTAGAAAAAACTATGTGTGAATCCACTTTGCAATGTGTGGATTTATCTCATGGAGCTAAACCTTATCTTTAATTCAGCAGGTTTTGAACACTTTTTTTGTAAAATCTGTGAAGGGACATTTGGGAGCCCCTTAAGTCCTATGAGAAAAAACCTAATATTTCAAGATAAAAACCAGAAATAGGCTATATGTGAAACTGCTTTGTGATGTGTGGATTCATCTCACAAAGGTAAACCTTTCTTTGGCTCATCAGGTTGGATACACTCTTTTTGGAGAACCCGCAAAGCCACATTATGGAGCCCACTGCAGCCTATGGTGAAAAACAAAATATCCCCAGATAAAAACTAGAAAGAAGCTTTCTGTGAAACTGCTTTGTGATATGTGGATTCGTCTCATGGAGTTAAAACTTTCCTTTGATTCAGCAGGTTGGAAACACTTTTTTTGAACAATTGGCAAAGGGACATTTAGAAGCACTTTGAGGCCTATAAAGAAAAACTGAATAACCCCAGATAAAAACTAAAAGGAAGCTATCTGTGAAACTGATTTGTGTTGTGTGGATTCATCTCACAGAGTTAAATATTTCGTTTGATTCAGCAGTTACAAACACCCTTTTTTTAGAATCCGTGAAGGGACATTTTGGAGCTTATTGATGCCTATGGGGAAAAACAGAATATCCCCAGATAAAAACTAGAAAAAAGCTTTCTGTGAAACTACTTTGTGATGTGTGGCTTCATCTCACAGAGGTAAACCATTCATTTGATTCAGCAGGTTGGGAGCCCTCTTTTTGGAGTATCTGTAAAGGGACAGTTGGGAAGCCATTGAGGCCTTTAAGGAAAACACAATATCCACAGATAAAAAGTAGAAAGAAGCTATCTATCTGTGAAAATGCTTGTGATGTGTGGATTCATCTCACATAGTAAAACTTTCCTTTGATTCAGAAGGTTGGAGACACTGTTTTTGGAGAGTCTTTGAAATGACATTTTGGAGCCCCTTGAAGCCTATTGGAAAAAACATGAATAATCCCTGATAAAAACTAGAAAGAAAGAATATTTGAAACTGCTTTTGGATGTGGACTAATCTCACAGAGTTCAAAATTTCTTTTCATTCAGCAGGTTGGAAGCACTCTTTTTGGAGAATTGGCAAAGAAACATTTGGGGGCCCGTTGATGCCTATGGATAAAAACCAAATATCTTCAGATAATAACTAGAAAGAAGCTGTCTGTGAAACTGCTGTGTGATATGTGGATTCATCTCACACAGTTAAACCAGTATTTTGACTCAGCAGGTTGGAAACTCTGTAGAGTATCTGCCAAGGGACATTTTGGAGCCATTAATTCAGCAGGGTGAGAAACTCTCTTTTTGGGGAGTTTGTGAAGGGATATTTGGGAGCCCATTGAGGCCCAAGTAAAAAACTAGAATATCCCCAGATAAAAACTAGAAAGTAGCTATCTGTGAAACTGCTTTGTGATGTGTGGACTCATCTCACAGAAGTAAACCTTTCTCGTGATTCAAAAGGTGGGAAACACTCTTTTTGAAAATTCTGCAAAGGGATATTTGGGAGCCATTGATGCCTCTGAGGAAAAACCACGTATCCCCAGATTAAAAACAAGAAAGAAGCTATCTGTGAAAATGCTTTGTGCTGTGTGGATTCATCTCACATAGTGAAACCTTTGCTTTGATTCAGGAGGTTAAGAGTACTCTTTTTTTTTAATCTGCTGTTGGGCATTTGGGATCTTATTGAGGCCTTTGGGGGAAAACCTATTATCCCCAGATAAAAACTAGAAAGAAGCTATCTGTGAAACTGCTTTGTGATGAGTAGATTCACCTCACAGATTTAAACCTTTCTTTTGATTCAGCAGGTTGGAAATACTCTTTGGAGTGTCTGCAAAATGACCTTTCAGAGCCCATTTATGTTTATGGGGAATGAGCAAATATGCCCACATAAAAGCTAGAAAGACACTATCTGTGAAACTTCTTTGTGAAGTGTGGCTTCATCTCAGAATTAAACCTTTCTTTTGATTCAGTAGATTGGAGACACTTTTTCTGCAGAATCTGGGAAAAGCCTTTTTGGACCCCATTAAGGCCAATGGGGCAAAAAAGAACATCCCCAGAAAAAAAATAGCAGGAAGTGATCTGTTAAACTGCTTTGTGATGTGAGGATTCACCTTACAGAGTTCAACCTTTCCTTTGATACAGAAGGTTGGATAGAGTAATTTAGAATAATCTGTGAAGGGAAATTCTGGAGCTTATGGAAGCCAATGGGGAAAAATATCCCCATATAAAAACTAGAAATAATCTATCTGTGAAACTTCTTTATGATGTGTGGATTCATCTCACAGAGATAAAACTTTCTTTTGACTCAGCAGGTTTTAATACTTTTTTTGTAGCATCTGTGAAAGGACTTTTAAGAGCCCATTGAGGACTACTGGGAAAAACAGAATTTCCCCAGATAAAAACTAGAATGAGTCTTTCTGTGAAACTGCTGCATGATATGTGGATTTATCTCACAGAGTTAAACCTCTTTTGTTGATTCAGAAGGTTGGAAAATCTCTTTTGGTAGAATCTGTGAAAGAATATTTGGGAGCCCTTTGAGGCCTGTGAGCAAAAACTGAATAACCTCAGAAAAAGACTAGAAGGATGCTATCTGTGAATCTACTTTGTGATTTGTGGATTCATCTCATGGAGTAAAACCTTTTATTTTTTTGACCCAGCAGGATGAAAAGACCCTTTTTATAGAACCTACAAAGGGACATTTGGGAATGCATTGAGGCCAATGGGGAAAAAAAATCCCCAGATAAAAACTAGAAAGAAGCCACTTGTGAAACTGCTTTGTGATGTGTGGATTCATTTCACCAAGTTAAACATTTCCTTTGACTCAAAATGTTGGATACTCTCTTTTTGGAATATCTGTGAAGAAATGTTTGGGAGCCCATTGGGGTCTAAAGGGCAAAACTGAATATCCTGAGATAAAAACTGGAAAGGAGCTATCTCTGAAGCTGCTTCATGATGTGCAGATTCACGTAACAGGAGTAAAACTTTCTTTTTAATCAGCACGTTTTAAACACTTTTTTTTAGCGTCTCCAAAAAGACTTTTAAGAGCCCATTGAGGCCTATGGGGCAAAATAGAACATCCCCATAAAAAAACTTGAAAGAAGCTATCTGTGAAACTGCTTTGTAATACGTGGATTCACCTCACAGAGTTAAACCTTTCTTTTGATTCAGCATGTGGGAAACACTCTTTTTGGAGTATCTGCAAAGGGACATTTGCAAGCCCATTGCAGCCTAGGTGGAAAAACAGAATATTCTCAGATTAAAAGTAGAAAGAAACTCTCTGTGAGACTGCTTTGTGATGTGCAGATTCAGCTCAAAGACTTAAAACTTTCTTTTTATTCACTAGGTTGGAAACACTCTTGTTATAGGATCTGCAAAGAGACATTTGAGAGCCCATTGGTTCCTATGGGGAAAACCAAATATCCTCCCAAATAAAAGTAGAAATAAGCTATCTGTCAAACTGCTTTGTGATTTGTGGATTCATCCCACATAGTTAAACCTTTCTTTTGGTACAGTAGGCTGGAAACACTACTTTTGGAAAATCTGCAAAGGGACATTTTGGAGCCCTTTGATGCCTATTGAGAAGAGCTAACTATCCCAAGTTAAAAACTAGAAAGAAGTTATATCTGTGAAACTGCTTTGTGGTGTGTGGGTTCATCTCAAGGAATTAAACCTTTCTTTTTATTCAGCAGGTTGGAAGCACTCTTTTTGGAGAACCTCCGAAGGGACATTTGGGTGACCATTTAGGCCCATGGGTAAAAACTGAAAATTTGCTGATAAAAACCAGAAAGAAGCAATCTGTGAAACAAATTTGTGATGAGTGGATTCATCTCACAGACTTAAAACTTTCTTTAGATTCAGCAGGTTGGAAGTACACTTTTTGGAGTGCCTGTGAAGAGGCATTTCAGAGTCCTTTGAGTCCTATTGGGAAAAACTAGATAGAAACTAGAAAAAGCTAGATAGAAACTACAAAGAAGCTATCTGTGAAGCTGCTGTATGAAGTGCAGATTCATCTCAGAAATTTAAACTTTTCGTTTGATTCAGCAGATTAGAAACACTGTTTTTGGAGAATCTGTGAAGGGACACATCAGAGCCCATTGAACACTGTGGGGAAAAAGCGAGTATCTCCAGCTAAAATTTAGAAAAAAGCTGTCTCTGAAACTGTTTTGTGATGTGTGGATTCATCTCACAGATTTAAATCTTTATTTTGATTCAGAAGGTTGGAAACACTCTTTTTGGAGAATCTGCAAAATGACATTTTGGAGCCCATTGAAGCCTATTGGAAAAAATTTAATATCCACAGATAAAAACTAGAAAGAAGGTATCTTTGAAACTGCTTTGTGATGTGTCAATTCATCTCAAAGAGTTCAACCTTTCTTTTGATTCAGCAGGTTGGAAGAACTCTTTTCAGAGAATTGGCAAAGAAATATTTGGGAGCTCATTGATACCTATGGATAAAAACCAAAGGTCTTAAGATAATAACTAGAAAGAAGCCATCTGTGAAACTGCTATGTGATATGTGGATTCATCTCACAGAATTAAGACTTTCTTTTGATTCAGCAGATTGGAAACACTCTTTTTGGAGAATCTCTGAAGGGACATTTGGGAGCCCTTTGAGGCCCATGTAAAAAAAACGAATATTCCCAGATAAAAACTAGAGAGAAGATATCTGTGAAACTGCTTTGTGATGTGTGGATTCGTTTCACAGAGTTAAAATTTTCTTTTGATTCGGCAGATTGTAGACCTCTTTTTGGAGAATCTGTGAAGGGAAATTTGGGAGCCCTTTGAGGCCTAAGTTGAAAAACTGAATACCCCAGATAAAAACTAGAAGCTATCTGTGAAACTGCTTTGTGACATGTGGATTCATTTCACAAAGTTAAAGTTGTCTTTTTGTTCACTAGGAGGAAACCCTCTTATTTGAGAATCCCCAAAGGGACTTCTTGGCACCATTGTTGTCTAAGAGGAAAAATTGAATATCCCCAGAAAAAAACTGGAACGAAGTAATCTGTGAAAATGCTTTTGGGTGATTACATTAATCTCACAGAGTTAAACCTTTCTTTTTACTTAGCAGCTTGGAAGCATTCTTTTTGTAGAATCTGTGAAGGGGCATTTGGAAGCCCATCGAGGCATAGGTGAAAAACAAAATATCCCCAAATAAAAACTAGAAAAAAGCAATCTGTGAAAGTGCCTTATGGTGTGTAGATTCATCTCACAGGGTTAAGCCTTTCCTTTGATTGATC
Source organism: Homo sapiens (assembly GCF_000001405.40). Lineage (NCBI taxonomy): Eukaryota > Metazoa > Chordata > Mammalia > Primates > Hominidae > Homo > Homo sapiens. Next base: position 43,758,062 of record NC_000008.11, read on the forward strand.
AGGATGGAAACACTCTTTTTGTAGAATCTGTGAAGGGGCATTTGGGAGCCCATATCAGTTTAGGGAAAAATGTAAATCTCAACATAAAACCAATAAAGAATTTATCTATGAAACTCCTTTGTGATGTGTGGATTCATCTGAGAGAGATAAACCTTTCTTTTGATTCAGCAGGCTGGAGAAACTCTTTGTGGAGAATCTGTGAAAGGAAATATAGGCGCTCAAATAGACTTGTGGGGAAAAATGGAATATCCCAAGATAAAAACTAGAAAGAAGTTATCAGTGAAACTGCTTTGTGTTGTGTGGATTCCTCTCACAGAGTTAAATTTTTCTTCTGATTCAGCAAGTTGGGACAACACTTTTGGTAGAATCTGTAAAGAGTCATTTGGGAACACATAGAGGCTTATAAGTAAAAACTGAATATCCTCAGATAAAAACTAGAAGGATGCTGTCTGTCAAACTGCTTTGTGATGTTTGGATTCATCTCAGATTTGAATCTTTCATTTGATTCAGAAGGTTGTAAACACTCTTTTTGGAAAATTTGCAAAGGCACATTTGGGAGCCCTTTGAGGTCTAAGGGGGAAAATGCAATATCCCAAGATAAAAACTGGAAAGAAGCTCTCTGTGAACTGCTTTGTAATGTGTGGATTCATTTCTCAGAAGTAAACATTTCTTATGATTCAGCAGGTTGGAAACACACTTTCTGTAGAATCTGTCAAAGAATATTTTTGAGGCTTTTGAGGCCAATGGAAAAAAAAAACTCAAATATCCTCAGATGAACAGTAGAAAGAAGATACCTGTGAAACTCCTTTTTGATGTGTGGATTCAACTCCCAGACTCAAACCTTTCTTTTATTAAGGAAGTTGGAAACACTGTTTTGGATAATCTGTGAAGGGACATTTGAGAACCATTTTAGGCCTATGTGGGAAAACCAAATATCCCCAGGTTAAAACTAGAAAAATGTTATCTGTGAAACTACTTTTTGATGTGTGGATTCATCTCACAGAGGTAAAATTTTCTTTTGATTCAGCATGTTGAAGACTTCTTTTTGGAGAATCTGTGAAGGGAAATTTTGGTGCCCATTGAGGCCTAATGGGAATATCCCCAAATAAAAACTAGAAAGAAGCTATCTGTGAAACTGCTTTGTGAGGTACGGATTATTTTCCCACAGTTAAGCTTTGCTTTTGATTCTGCAGGTTGGAAACACTCTTTTTGGAACATCTGTGAAAGGACATTTGGGAACCCATTGAGGCTTAGGGGTAAAAATGAATATATCCAGATAAAAACTACAAAGAAATTTTTGTGAAACTGCTTTGTGATGTGTGGTTTCATGGCAAAGAGGTAAACTTTTCTTTTGGTACAGCAGGTTGGAAACTCTTTTTTTGCAAATCTGCCAAGGGAAATTTGGGTGCCTTTTGAGTCCTATGGGGAAAAATTGAATATCCCCAGATAAAAACCAGAAAGAAGCTATCTGTGAAATTAATTTGTCACGTGTAGATTCATCTTACAGAGTCATATTTTTCTTCAGATTCAGTAGCTTAGAAACATTCCTTTTGTAGAATCTGCAAAAGGACATTTTGAGCTCATTGAGGCTTGTAGGGAAATCTGTATATCCACAGATAAAAACTACAAATGAACTATACATGAAACTGCTTTTTGATGTGTGGATTCGTCTCACAGAATTAAACATTTCTTTTGATTCAGCAGGTTAGAAACACTCTTTTCATAGAATCTGCAAAGAAACATTTGGGAGCTTATTGAGGGCTATGGGAAAAACCAAATATCACCAGCTAAATACTAGAATGAAGCTCTCTGTGAAACTGCCTTGTGATGTGTGGATTCATCGCACAGAGTTAAAACTTTCTTTTGATTCAGCAGGTAGGAAACACTCTTATTGGAGAATCTTTGAAGGGACAACAGAGAGACAATTGGGGCCTATATGAAAAAAATAAATATTGCCAGATAAAAAGCAGAAAGAAGCTACCTTTGGAGCTTCTTTTTGATGTGTGGATTTATCTCATAGAGTTAAAACTTTCTTCTGATTCTGCAGATTCGGTACACTCATTTTGGAGAATCTGCAAAGTGACATTTGGGAACCCATCAAGGCTTAAGAGGAAAAACTGAATATCCCCAGGTAAAAATGGGAAAGAAGCTATCTGTGAAAATACTTTGTGAAGTGTGGATTCATCTCACAGAGTTAAATTTTTCTTTTGATTCAGCAGGTTGGAAACATTCTTTTTGGTGAATCTGTTATGGGACGTTTGAGAGCCTGTTTTGGCCTCCAGAGAAAAACCAAATATCACCAGATAAATAATAGAAATAAATTATCTGTGAAACTGCTTTTTGAAGTGTGGATTCGTCTCACAGAGTTAAACCTTTCTAATGATTCAGCAGGTGGGAAACACTCTTTTTGTAGAATCTGTGAATGGACATTTGAGGGCACTTTGAGGTATTAGGGGAAAAACTGAATATCACGAGGCAAAAACTAGAGAGAAGCTATCTGAGAAACCAATTTGTGATGTGTGGATTCATTGCACAGAGTTTTACCTTTCTTTTGATTCACCAGTTTGGAAACACTCTTTTTGGGGAATTTGCAAAGGGATATTTGGGAGCCCATTGAGGCCTATGGTAAAAAACTGAACACCCCCAGGTAAAAACTAGAAAAATGGAATCTGTGAAACTGATTTGTGATTTGTGAATTCATCTCTCAGTGTTAAACCATTCTATTGATTCAGAAGGTTGGAAATACTCTTTATGGAGAATCAGTGAAGGGACGTTTGGGACCCCATTGCAGCCTAGAAGGAAAAACAGAATATCCCAAGATAAAAAGTAGGAAGAATCTATCTGTGAAACTGCTTTGTGATGTGTGTATTTATCTCAGAGAATTAAACCTTCCCTTTCATTCAGCAGGTTTGGAAGAAGTCTTTGTAAATTATCTGCGAAAGGACATTTCAGAATCCATTGAGGCATATGGGAAAAAAACGAGTATTCCCACATAAGAAGTAGAATGAAGCTATCTGTGAAACTGAGTTCTGATGTGTGGATTCATCTCACAGCGTTAAAGCACTCTTTTGATTCAGCAGGTTGGAAACACTGTTTTTGATGAATCTGCAATGGGACATTTTGGTTCCCTTTGATGCCTTTGGGAAAAAAACGAATATTTCCAGATAAAAACTGGAAAGAAGCTATCTTTGAAAGTGCTTTGTGATGGGTGGATTCATCTCACACAGTTAAATTTTTCCTTTGATTCAGCAGGTTGGAAAAACTTTTTTTGTAGAATTCGTGAGGGGACATTTAGGAGCCTATTGAGGCCTATGGGGAAAAACTGAATATCCCCAGATAAAAACTACAGAGGAGCTATCTGTGAAATTGCTTTGTGATGTGTGGATTTTTCTCACAGATTTAAACCTTACTTTTGATTTAACAGAAAGAAAATATCTATGAAACTGCCTTGTGATGTGTGGATGCATCTCAGAAAGTTAAAACTTTTTTTTATCAAGGAGGCAGAAAACCTTTCTTTTGGAGAATCTGTGAAGGGACATTTAATATCCCATTGAGGCATAAGGAGCAAAATCTAATATCCCCAGAAAAATCTATAAAAAATTATCTGTGAAACTGCCTTGGGATGTGTTGATTCATCTCACAGAGATAAACCTTTCGTTTGATTCAGCCAGTTGGAAACCCGCTTTTTGGAGAACCTGCAAGGGAACATTTGGAGCTTAGTGATGTCCATGGAAAAAAAAAAAGAATAGTCCAGATAAGAACTAGAAAGAAGCTATCTGCGAAACTGTGTTTTGATGTATGGGTTCATCTCACATTTAAACCTTTCTTTTGATTCAGCAAGTTGGAGACACTTTTTCAAGAATTTTCAAAGTGACATTTGGGAGCCTGTTGAGACCTACAGGGAAAAACCAAATAGCCCCAGATAAAAATCTAGAAAGAAGCTGTCTGTGAAAGTGATTTGTGATATGCAGATTCATCTCCAGATTTAAGCATTTCTTTTGCTTCAACATGCTGGAAACACTCTTTTATAGAATCGGAGAAGAGACATTTGGGACCTCTATGAGGCCTACAGGGAACAACTGAATAAGCTCAGCTTAATAATAAAATGTATCTCTCTGAGCAACTGCCTTGTGATGAGAGGATTCGTTTCACCAGGTAAAAACTTTCTTTGATTTCAGCAGTTAGAAGCACTCCATTTGGAGAATCTGAGAATGGACATTTTGGAGTCCATTGAGGCCTATAGGAAAAAACAGTTTATCACTGGATAAAAACTAGAAAGAAGCTTTTTGTGATACTGCTTTTTGATGTGTAGATTCGCGTCATAAGGTTAAATCTTTGTTTAGATTCAGCAGGTTGGAATACCTCTTTTGGAGAATCTGTGAAGAAACATTTGAAAGCTTATTGAGACCCAGGGGAAAAACCAAATATCCTTAGTTAAAAAGTAGAAAGAAGATTTCTGTGAAACTACTTTCTGATGTGTGGATTAATTGCGAAAAGTTCAAACTTTCTTTTGATTCAGCAGTTTTGAAACAGTTTTTTAAATAATCTGTGAATGGATATTTTAAAGCCCATTGAGGCTTAACGGAAAAAAATGAATATACCCTTATAAAAACAAGAAAGAAGCTATTTTTGAAAGTCCTTTTTGATGTGTGGATTCAACTCATAGAGGTAAAACTTCTTTTTTTCAGCAGTTTGGAAATAATCTTTTTGGATAATCTGCAAAGGGACGTTTTGGAGCCCATTGATGGCTTTGGTTAAAAATCTAGTAGTTCCAGATAAAAGCTAGAAAGAAGCTATCTATGAAACAGCTTTGTGATGTGTGGATTCACCTCACAGAGTTGAAACTTTCTTTTGATTCCGCAGGTTGGAAACACTCTATTTGGACAATCAGCAAAGAAACATTCAGGCACTTATTGAGGCCTTTGGGGAAAAACTGAATATTGTTAGATAATCACTAGAAAGAAGCTATCTGTGAAACTATTTTGTGATGTGTGGATTCATCTCACAGAGTTAAAACTTTCTTTTGATTCAGCAGCCTGGAAACCCTCTTTTTGGAGAATCAGTGGAGGAATTTTTAGGAGCCCAATTTTACCTATCAAAAAAAAATTATCACCAGAAGAAAATGTAAAAGAAGCTATTTGTGAAACTGATTTGTGATGTCTAAACTCATCTCACAGAGCTAAACCTGTCTTCTACTCATCAGGTTGGAAACACTCTTTTTGGAGAATCTGCAAAGAGACATTTGGGAGCCCATTGAGACCTATGGGGAAAAACTGAATATCTCCAGATAAAAACTCAAAGGAAGCTGTCTGTGAAAGTACTTTCTGATGTGTGGATTCATCTTACACAGTTAAACCTTTCTTTGGATTGACCAGGTGGGAAACACTCTTTTTGGAGAATCTGTGAAAGGACATTTTGGCTCTCATAGAGTACTATAGGGAAAAATCGAATATCCCCAGATAAAAACTTGAAAGAAGCAATCTGTGAAACAATTTTGTGATGTGTGGATTTATCTCACTGAGTTAATTTTTTCTTCTGATTCAGGAGGTTGGAAACACTCTTGTTGAAGAACCTGTGAAGGGATATTGGGAGCCAATTGAGGCCTATGGGGAAAAAATGAATATCCTTAGATAAAAATTACAAGGAATCTATCTGTGTTACTGCCTTTTGACGTGTGGATTCATTTTACAGATGTAATTTTTTCTTTTCATTCAGCAGGTTGTAAACACTCTTTTTGGAGTATCTGTGAAGGGACATTTGGGAATCCATTGAGGCCTATGGATAAAAACAAAATATCCCCAGACAAAAATTACAAAGAAGCTATTTGTGAAACTGCTTTGTGATATGTGGATTCACATCACAGAGGTAAGACTTTCCATTGACTCAGCAGGTTGGAAAGACTCTTTTTAAAAAATATGTGAAGGGACGCTTGGAAGGACATTTAGGCCTAAGGGGTAAAACTGAGTATCCCCAGACAAAAACTAGAAAGAAGTTATCTATGAAACTGCTTTTTGTTGTTTGGTTTCATCTCACAGAGTTAAACCTTTATTTTGATTCAGCATTTTGGAAATACTCTATTTGTAGGATCTGTGGAGGGGCATTTGGGAGTCCGATGAAGCCCATGGGGAGAAACAAAATTTCCCCCAGTAAAACCTACAAAGAATCTGTCTGTGAAACTACTTTGTGATGTGTGGATTCATCTCACATATTTAAAGCTTTTTTTTGATACAACAAGTTGGAAACAGTCTTTTTGGGGAATTGGTGAAGGGGCATTTATGAGCCCATTGATGCTGAAACGGAAAAAATGAATATCCCCAAATAAAAACTTGAAAGAAGGTATCTGTAAAACTGCTTGGTGACATGTGGATTCAATTCAGAGTTAGACATATCTTTTTATGTAGCAGGTTGGAAACACTCTTTAGAAAATCAGTGAAGAGACATTTGGGAGCCCATTTAGTCCTGTGGCAAAACACTGATTATCACCAGATAAATACGAGAAAGCAGCTATCTGTGAAACAGCTTTGTGATGCGTAAATTCATCTCACAGAGTTAAACCTTACTTTTGATTCAGCAGGTTGGAAACTATCTTTTTGGAGAATCTGTGAAGGTACATTTTGGAGACCAATGAGGCCAATGGGAAAACACTGCACATCCCTAGAGAAAAATTAGGAAGAAGCTATATGTGAAGCTGCATTGTGATGTGTGGGTTCATCTCACAGGGTTAAATGATTCTTTTGTTCCAGCAGGTTGGAAACACATTTTTTGGACAATCCACGAAGGGACATTTGGGAGCCCATTGAGGCCAATAAGTAAAAGATGAATACCCCAAAATAAAAACTAGAAAGAAGCTACCTTGAAACTGCTTTGTGTTGCGTGGATTCATCTCACAGTGTTTAAACTTTTGGAGATTAAGCAGGAAGGACAAACTCTTTTTAAAGGATCTGTGAAGGGCCTTTTTGGAGCCCATTGAGGACTATGGGAAAAAACAGAATACCCCAGATAAAAACTAGAAAGAAGTTATCTTTGAAACTGCTCTCTGATGTGTGGATTCATCTCACAGAGTTAAACCTTTCTTTTGATTCAGCAGCTTGGAAACACTCTTATTAGAGTATCTGTGAAGGGACTTTAGAGAGCCCACTGAGGCCTTTGGCAAAAAACGGAATATCCCCAGATAAAATATGGAAAGAAGCTATCTGTGAAACTGCTTTGCAATGTGCAGAGTCATCTCACAGATTTAAAGCTTTTTTTTTATTCAGCGGCTTGGAAACAATTCTTTTTTTACAGAATCTTCAAAGGGACACTTGGAAGCCCATTGAGGCCTATGGGGAAAAACCAAATATCCCCAGAAAAAAACTACATAGAAGCTATCTGTGAAATGGCTTTGTGATGTGTAGATTCATCTCACAGAGTTGAAACTTTTTTATGGTTCATTATGTTGGAAACACTCTTTTTTAGAATCTGTGAAGGGACTTTTTTGACCCCATTGAGGCCTGCAAGGAAAATCCGAATATCCCAAGATTTAAACTAGAAAAAATCTCTCTGTGAAACTGCTTTCTCATTTGGGGATTTATCTCAGAGTTAAACCTTTCTTTTCAATCAGTACGCTGGTAACATTCTTTTTGTAGAAACAGCAAAAAGAAATTTTGGAGCCAATTGAGGCCTAAGGGAAAAACTGAATGTCCTCAGAGGAGAAGTACAGAGAAGCTACATGTGAATTTACTTTGTGATGTGTGGATTCATCTCACAGAGTTAAAATTTTCTGTTGATTCAGCCAGTTGGAAATACTCTTTTTGGGGAATTTGTGAGGGGACATTTGGGAGCCCATTGTGGCCTATGTGGAAAATCTGAATATCCTTTGATAAAAACCTCTAAGAAGCTGGCTGTCAAAATGCTTTGTAATATGTGGATTCATCACAGAGTTAAACCTTTCTTTTTATTCAGAAGGTTGGAAACACTCTTTTTGTAATATCTGCCTAGGGACATTTGGGAGCCCATCTAGGCCTGTGGAAAAAGCCTGAATATCCCCAGATAAAACTAGAAAGAAGCATCCATGAAACTGGTTTTTGAGGTGTGGACCCAGCTCACAGAGTTAAACCATTCTTTTAATTCAGCAGTTTGGAAAAACTCTTTTTGGAGAATCTGCGAAGGGAAATTTTGGAGGCAACTGATGCCATAGGTGAAAAACTGAATATCCCCACAGAAAAAAGAAAGAAGCTATCCGTGAAACTGCTTTGTGATGCGTGGATTTATCTCATAGAATTAAATCCTTCTCTTGATTCAGCAAGTTGAAAATACTCTTTTTTAAATTCTGTGAAAAAACATTTTTGAGGCAATTTAGGCCTAAGTTTTAAAAGAGAGTAACCCCAGATAAAAGCTCAAGGGAAGTTATTTGTGAAACTCCTTTTTGATGTGTAGATTCATCTGACAGAGTTACATCTGTCTTTTGATTTAGCAGATTGGAAACACTCTTTTGGAGAATATGCTGTGGGCATTTGGGAACACACTGAGCTTTACAGAAAAAAATTGAATATCCCGGATAAAAAGTAGAAAAATGCTATTTGTGAAAGTCCTTTGTGATGTGTGGATTCCTCTCACAGAGTTAAAACTTTCTTTTGTATCATCAGGTTGGGAATACCTTTTTTTTAGAAACTGTTCAGGGAAATTCGGGACCCCATTGAGGCCTAGAATGAAAAAACTGAATATCCCCAGATTATAACCAGAAAGAAGCTATGTGTGAAACTGCTTTCTGACGTGGGGATTCATCCCACAGTGTTAAACTGTTCTTTCCAATCCATAGCTTCAAAACGTTCTTTTTTGTAGAATCTGCTAAAAAATTCTGGAGTCCATTGAGGCCTCTGTGAAAAAACTGATTATCTCTAGATAAACACCAGAAAGAAGCTATCTGTGAAAATGCTTTGTGACATGTGGATTCATCTCACAGAGTTAAACCATATTTTTGATTCAGCAGGTTGGAAACACTCTTTTTGGAGAGTCTGCGAAGGGACATTTGGGAGCCAACTGATACCTATGGGGAAAAACCCAATATCACCAAATAAAAACTAGGAAGAAGCTATCTGTGAAACTGCTTTGTGATGTTTGGATTCATCTCACAGAGTAAAGGTTTCTTTTGATTCAGCACATTGGAAACACTCTTTTTGGAGAATCGGCAAACAGACATTTGGGGACACATTGAGGCATATGGGGAAAAACTGATTATCCCCAGATGAAAACTAGAAAGATGCTATCTGTGAAACTTCTTTGTGATGTGTGGATTCATCTCACAGAGTTGAACCTTTCTTTTGACTCAGCACGTTAGAAACACTCTTTTTATGGAATCTGAGAAGAGATATTTGGGAGCCCTTTGAGGCCTCTTGAGGCCCCTTTGAGGAGAAAAACTGAATATCCTCAGATAAATAGTAAAAAGAAGCTATCTGAGAAACTGCTTTGTTATGTGTGGATTCATCTGACAGAGCAAAAACTTTCTTTTATTCAGCAGGTTGGAAACACTCTTTTTGAAGAATAAGCGAAGGGACATTTTGGAGCCCATGAGGCCTAAGGGGGAAAAAACGAGTATTTCCAGATAAAAACTAATAAGAATCTATCTGTGAACTGGTTTGGGATGTGTAGATTCACCTCACAGAGTTAGTTCTTTCTTTTGTTTCAGCAGGTTGGAAACACTCTTTTTGAAGAATCTGTGAGGTGACATTGCGGAGCTCATTGACGCCTACAGGGAGAAACTGAATATCCCTAGATAAAAACTAGAAAGAAGTTATCTGTGTAACTGATTTGTGAAGTGTGGATTCATCTGACAGAGTTAAGTTTTTCTTTTGATTCAGCAGGTTGGAAGCATTTTTTTTGTAGAATCGGAGAAGGAACATTTTGGAGCCCTTTGAGGCAGATGAAGAAAAACAGATTATACCCAGATAAATACTACAAAGAAGCTATCTGTGAAACTGCTTTGTGATGTATGGATTCATCTCACTGACTTAAACATTTCTTTTGATTCAACATGTTGGAAACAGTCTTCTTAAGTAATCTGCGAAGGGACATTTGGGAGCCCTTGGTGACTATGGGGAAAAACTGAATATCCCCAAATAAAAACTAGAAGTAAACTAACTGTGAAACTGCTTTGTGATGTTTGGATTTATCTCACAGTGTTAAACCTTTCTTTTGATTTGGCAGGTTGGAAACACTTTTTTTGGAGAATCTGTAAAGGGACACTTGATATCTTATTGAGGCCTACAGGGCAAAATGGAATATCCTCAGATAAAAATTAGAAAGAAACTATTTGTGAAACAGCTTTGTGATATGTGGATTTATCTCACAGAGATAAACCTTTCTTTTGATTCAGCGGGTTGGAAACTCTCTTTTCAGAGAACTTGTGAAAAAACATTTGGAAACTTATTGAGGCCTATGTTGACAAACCAAATATTTCCAGATGAAAACTAGAAAGTAGTTATCTGTGAAACTGCGTTGTGATGCATCGATTCATCTCACAGTGTTAAAACTTTCTTTTGATTCAGCACTTTGGAAAAACACTTTGTCAAGAGTCTTCAAAAGGAAATTTGGGTGCCCATTCAGGCCTATAGGGAAAAACCGAATATCCCCAAATAAAAAATTAGAAAGAAGCTGTCTGTGAACATACTTTGCAATGTGTGAATTCTTCTCACAGAGGTAAATGTTTCTTTTGATTCAGTACTTTGGACAGACTCTTTTTGTAGAATCTGAGAAGAGAGATTTGGGAGCCCTTTGAGTCGTATCAGAAAAAAATCAGAATATCCCCAAATAAAAGCTAGACAGAAGCTATCTTTGAAACTGCTTTTTGATGTGTGGATTCATCAGAGAGTTAAAACTTTCCTCTTATTCAGCACGTTGGGAGCACTTTTTTCTGAGAATCTGCAAAGGGACATATTGGAGCCCAGTGAGGCCTAAGGGGAAAAACTGAATATCGCAAGATAAAAACTAGAGAGAAACTATCTGTGAAACTGTTTTGTGATGTGTGGATTCAACTCTCAGAGTTACAACTTTCTTTTGATTCTGCAGGGTGGAAACACTCTTTTTCAATAATCTGAGAAAGGACATTTGGGAGCACATTGAGGACTAAGGGGAAAAATGGAATATCTCCAGATAAAAACTACAAAGAAGTTATCTGCAAAACTGTGTTGTGATGGTGGATTCATCTCCCAGTGTTAAATCATTCTTTTGATTGAGCACATTGAGAACACACTTTTTGGAGAATCTGCAAAAGACATTGAAGTGCCTTTGTGGCCTATAGGGAAAAACAGAATATCCCCAGATAAAAACTAGAAACGTATATCTGTGACACTGCTTTGTAATGCATGCATTTATCTCACTGTATTAAATCTTTCTTTGATTCAGTTGGTTGGAAACATTCTTTTTGTAGAATCCGTGAAGAGACATTTGGGAGCCCTTTGAGGCCTATTGGGAAAAACAGAATATCCTCAGGTAAATACTATAAAGAAGGTATCTGAGAAACTGCTTTGTGATGTGTGGATTCATCTCATGGAGTTAAACCTTTCCTTTGTTCAGCTGGTTGAAAAGACTCACTTGGGAGAATTGGAGAAGGGTCATTTTGTAGTCTGTTGAGGGTTACAAGAAAAAACAGAATGTCCCCTGATAAAAACTAGAAAGAAGCTATCTGTGAAACTGTTTTGTGATGTGTGGATCCATCTCAAAAGGTGAAGACCTTCTTTTGATTCAGCAGGTTGGAAATATTTTTTTTCTGAGAATCTGCAGAGGGACATTTGGGAGAGCTTTGAGGCCAATGGGGAAAAAAAGAATATCCTCAGATAAAAACTATAAAGCTGCCATGGGTGAAACTGCTTTGTGTTGTGTGGATCCATCTCACAGAGTTAAACTTCCCTTTTGATTCAGCATGTAAGAAGCACTCTTTTTGGAGCATCTGCAAAGGGATATTTGGGAGCCAATTGAGGCTTATCAGAAAAAAATGAATATCTCAAGATAAAAAGCAGAATGAAGCTAACTGTGAAACTCCTTTGTGATGTGTGGGTTCATCTCACAGAGTTAAACCTTTCCTTTCATGCAGCAGGTTGGAAACACACTTTTTCTAGAATCTGCAGAGTTATTTTTGGTAACCTATAGTGGACTAAGGGAAAATCCAAATATCAAAAGATAGAAAGTAGAAAGAGTCCATAAGTGAAACTGCTTTGGGATGTGTGTATTAACCTCACAGAGCTAAACTTTTCTTTTGGTTCAGCAAGTTGGAAACAGTCTTTTTGGAGAATCTGTGAAGGGACATTTAAGTGCTCAAGGAGGCTTATGGGGAAAAAATATCTGCTTAAACAAAACAGGAAGAAGTTATCTGTCAAACTCCTTTTTGATGTGTGGATTCATTTCACAGAGGTAAACCTTTTGTTTGATTCATCAGGTTGGAAACATGCTTTTTGAATAATCTGCAAAGGGAAACTTGGTAGTCCATTAGAGCTTATGGGGAAAAACAGAGTATACAGAGATAAAAACCAGAAGAAACTTTCCATGAAAGTGCTTTGTGATGTGTGAATTCATTTCACAGAGTTAAAACTTCCCTTTGATTCAGCAGATTGGAAACACACTTGTTGGAAAATCTGCAAAGGGACATTTGGGATCTCATAGAGGCCAATGGGGAAAAAACAAATATCCACAGATAAAAACTACAACAAACTATCTGTGAAACTGCTCTGAGATGTGTGGATCCATCTCACAGACGTGAAATTTTCTTTAGATCAAGCAAGTTGGTAGCAATGTTTTTGGAGAATCTGTGCAGAGACATTTGGGAGCCTATTGAGGCCTATGAGAAAAACTGAATATCACCAATAAAACTAGAAAGAAGTTATCCATGAAACTGATTTTTAATGTTTGGATTCAGCTCACAGAGTTAAATCTTTCTTTTGATTCAGCTTGTTGGAATTGCTGTTTTTGGAGAATCTGAAAAAGGGACATTTAAGAGCCCATTGAGGTCTATAAGTAAAAACTGAATATCCCCAGATAAAAAACTGAAATAAATTATCTGTGAAACTGCTTTGTGTTGTGTGGATTCATCTCTGAGAGCTAAAGCTTTCTTTTGATTCAGTATAGTGGAAACACATTTTTTGTAGAACCTGCGAAGGGACACGTGGAAGCCTATTTAAGCCCATAAGAAAAAATTGGATATACCCAGATTTAAACTAGGAAGAAGCTATCCGTGAAACTGTTTTGTAATGTGTGGATTCACCTCACAGAGTTGAACCTTTCTTTTGATTAAGCAGGTTGGAAACTATCTTTTTGGAAAATCTGCAAAAGGACATTTGGGAACCCATTGAGGCCTACGGGAAAAAACAAAATATCTCCAGATAAAAATTAGAAAGAAGCTATCTACGAAATTGCTTTTGGAAGTGTGGATTCATCTCAAAGAATTAAACCTTTCTTTTAATTCAGCAGGGTGGAAACACTCTTTTTGGACTATCAGTGAAAACACATTTGAGAGTCCTTTGAGGCCTATGGTGTAAAACTGAATATCCCAAGGTAAAAACTAGAAAGAAGCTATCTGTGAAACTTCTTTGTGATGTATGGACTCACCTTACACAGGTAAAGAGTTCTTTTGATTCAGCAGGTTGGAACCACTCTTTTTGTAGAATCTGCCAAGGAACATTTGGGAGCCCTTTGAGGCCAATGGAGAAAAGTTGAATATACCCAGATAAAAACCAGGAGGAAGCTACCCGTGAAACTGCTTTGTGTTGTATGTTTCATATCATACAGTTAAAACTTTCTTTATTCAGCAGGTGGGAAACCTTTTGTAGAATATCCAAGGGGACATTTAGGAGCCCACTGAGGCCAAAGAGAGAAAACAAAATATCCCCAGATTAAAACTGGAAAGACGCTATCTGTGAAACTGCTCTGTGATGTGTGGATTCACGTCACTGAGTTAAAGCTTTGTTTTGATTCAGCCGGTTGGAAATACTCTTTTTGGAGAATCTGCGAAGGGACATTTGGGAGCCCATTTTTCCCTATGGGGAAAAACTGAATATCCTAGATAAAAACTAGAAAGAAGCTCTCAGAGAAACTGCTTTTTGACATGTGGATTCATTTCCCAAAATTAAAACTTTCTTTACGTTCAGCAGGTAGGAAACACTATTTTTATATAATCTGTTAAGGGACATTTGAAAGCACATTGAGGCCTATGGGAAAAATGAAATATACGCAGATAAAAACTAGAAAGAATCTATCTGTGAAACTTAGTTTTGATGTTTGGACTCATCTCACAGACTTAAACTTTTGTATTGATTCAGCAGGTTGGAGACACTCTTTTTGGAGAAACTACAAAGGAACGTTTGGGATCCCCTTGAGGACTATAGGGAAAAACTGAATATCCCTAGATAAAAACCAAAAAGAAGCTACCTGTGAAATTGCTTTGTAATGTGTGGATTCATTTCAAAGAGAAAAACCTGTTTTTTTGACTCAGCAGGTTGGAAACACTCTTTTTGTAGAATCGTCAAAGGGATGTTTGTGAGCCCATGGTGGCTTAGGAAAAAATCTAGAAAGAGGCTATCTGTGAAACCTCTTTGAGATGTGTGGATTCATCTCACAGAACTAAATCTTTCTCTCGATTCAGCAGGTTGGAACCACTATTTTGGAGAATCTGCAAAGAGACATTTTAGAGCCCACTGGGGCCTATGGGAAAAAATGGAATATCCTCAGATAAAAACTAGGAAGAAGCTATCCATGAAATTGCTTTGTGATGTGTGTATTTGTCTCAAAGAGTTAAACCTTTCTACTGATTCAGCAGGTTGGAAACACTCCTTTTGTAAAATCTGTGAAGGGACATTTGGGCACTTACTGAGGACTGTGGGGAAAAATCGAATATCCCTACATAAAAACTAGAAAGAAGCTATCTGTGTAACTGCCTTGTGATGTCTGTATTCATCTCACAGAGTTAAACCTTTTATTGTTTCGGCAGGTTAAAACACTCTTTTCTTAGAATCTGTGAAAGGACATTTGGGAATCCATTGAGGCCTATGGGACAAAACAAAAATCCCCAGATAAAAACTAGAAAGAAGCTGTCTGTGAAACTCCTTTGTGATGTGTGGACTCATCTCACAGAGTTAAACCTTTCTTTTGGTGAAGCAGGTTGGAAACACTGTTTCTGGAAAATCTGGAAGGGAACGTTTGAGATCCCATTGATGCCAATGAGGCAAAACCAAATATACAGATAGACACGGGAAAGAAGATACCTGTGAATCTGATTTGTGATGTGTGGATTCTTCTCAAAGTGTTAAACCTTTCTTTTCATTCATCACGTTGGAAACACTCTTTTTGGACAAACTGTGAAGGGAAATTTGTGTGCCTGTTGAGGCCTAGAAGTAAAAACCAAATATCCTAAGATAAAAACTAGAAAGAAGCTATCTTTGAAAGCGTTTATTGATGTGTGGATTTATCTCATAGAATTAAATGCTTCCTTTGATTCAGCTGATGAAAACACTCTTTATGTAGAATCTGCGAAGAGACATTTGGGAGCCCTTTGACACCTATGGGGAAAAACAGAATATCCTCAGATAAATACTAAAAAAAAGCTATCTGAAAAACTGCTTTGTGATGTGTGGATTCACCTCTCAGTGTTAAAACTTTCTATTGTTTTAGCAGGTTGGAAACACTCACTTTCGAGTATCTGAGAACGGATATTTTGGAGGCCGTTGAGGCCTATAAGAAAAAAAGCAGAATATCCCCAGATAAAAACTATAAAGAAGCTATCTATGAAACTGCTTTCTGATGCATGAATTTGACTCACACAGTTAAAACTTTATTTTGTTTCAGCAGGTTGGAAACACCCTTTCTGATTATCTGCGAAGGGACAGTCAGTAGTCCATTGATGTCTATGAAAAAAACCCCAAATAGCCCAAGATAATAACTAGGAAGAAGCCATGCATGAAGCTACTTTGTGATTTGTAGATTCACCTCACAAAGTTAAAACTTTCTTTTGATTCAGCACTTGGAAACATTCTTTTTGGAGAATCCGTGAAGGGACATTTAAGAACCAATTGAGGCCTATGGGAAAAAAAACCAGATATCCCCAGATAAAAGCTACAGAGAAGCTGCTTGTGAAGCTTTTTTGCAATGTGTCAATTCATCTCACAGTGCTAAACCTTTCTTTTGAGGAACCAGGTTGGAAACACTGTTATTGTAGAATCTGCAAAGGGACATTTGGGAGTCCATTGTGGCCTAAGGGAAAAAAAAATATCCCAAGATAAAAAATACAAAGAACCAATCTGTGAAACTGCTTTGTGATTTGTGGATTCACCTCACAGAGTTAAACTTTTCTGTTTATTAAGCAAGCTGGAAACAGTCTTTTTGGAGGATCAGTGAAGGGACATTTTGGACCCCATTGAGGCCTAAGGGATAAAACTGAATATCCCAAGATAAAAACTGGAAAGAAGCTGTGGGTGGAACTGTTTTTTGATGTTTGGATTCATCTCACAGAATTAAACCTTTCTTTTCTTTCAGCACGTTGGAAATACTCTTTTTGGAGAATCTGCAAAGGGACATTTGGGAGCCCATTGAGGTCTATGGGAAAAAATGTCATATCCCCAGATAAAAACTAGAAAGAAACTATCAGTGAAACTGCTTGTCATGTGTGGATTCATCCCCCAGAGTTAAACCTTTCTTTTAATTCAGCAGGTTGGAAACACTCTTTTTGAGGAATCTGTGAAGAGATACTTGAGAGCTTATTGAGGCCTATGGGGAAAAACAGAATATAAACAACTAAAAACTAGAAAGAAATCTATGAAACTGCTTTGTGGTATGTGGATTCATTTCACAGAGTTAAACCTTTCTTTTGATTCAGCAGGTTGGAAACACTCATTTTGCAGAATCTGCAAAGGGACATTTGAGAGCTTATTGAGGCCTATGGGGAAAAACAAAACATACCCAGATTAAAAACCAGAAAGAAGATATCTGTGAAACTGCTTTGAAATGTGTGGATTCATATCACAAATTTTAACCTTTCTTTTGGTTCATTAGGTTGGAACACTCTATTTGGAGAATCTACAAACGGACATTTTAAGGAAAAACCCAATATTCCCAGATAAAAACCAGAAAGAAGCTATCGGTGAAACTTGTTCATGATGTGTGGATTCACCTCTTTTTGTAGAATGTATGAAGAGACATTTGGGACCCCATTTATGCCCATGGGGATAAACTCTATATCCCCAGATAAAAACTAGAAAGAAGCAATCTGTGAAACTACTTCATCAAGTGTGGATTCATCTCACAGAGTTAAATCTTTCATTTGATTCAGCATTCAGCATGTGGGAAACACTCTTTTTGTGGTACCTGCAAATAAATATTTTGGAGCTTATAAAGGCCTAAGGGAAAAACTGAATATCCCCATATAAAAACTGCAAAGAAACTATCTGTGAAACTGCTTTGAGATGTTTGGGTTTACTTCACAGACTTAACCCTTTCTTTTGGTTTAGCAGGTTGGAAACACTGTTATTGGATAACCTTAGAAGGGCCATTTTGGAGCCCATTGAAGTCTATGGAAAAAGGAAACGAATATCCCCAGATAAATACCAGAAAGAAGCCATCTGTGAAACTGCTTTGTGATGTGTGGATTAATCTCACAGACTTAAGCGTTTCTATGCATTCATGAGGTTGGAAACAATATTTCTGGAAAATGTGAGAAGGGACATTTGGAAGCCCATTGAGGCCTAAGGGGAAAAACTGAATATCCACTTATAAAAACTAGAAAGAAGCTATATGTGAAACTGCTTTCTGATGTATGGATTCATCTCACAGAGCTAAGTTTCTTTTGATTCAGCAGGATGAGAACACTCTTTTTGGAAAAACAGAAAAAAATACACATTTGGGCACCCATTGAGGCCTATGGAGAAAAACAGAATATCCTTAGATGAAAACTAGAAAGAAGGTATCTGTGAAACTGCTTTCTGACAGGTGGATTCATCACACAGATTTAAGCCTTTCCTTTTATTCAGCAGTTTGGAAACACTCCTATTGGAGATCTGTGAAGGGACATTTAGGAGCATATTAAAGCCTATGGGGAAAAACGGAATGTCCCCATATAAAAACTAGAAAGAAGCTGTATGTGAAACTGCTTCATGATTTGTAGCTTCACCACAAAGAGTTAAACTCTTCTTTGGATTCAGCAGATTGGAAACACTCTTTTTGGAGAATATGTGAGGAAACTTTTGGGAACAAATTGAGGCCAATAAGGACAAAAAATATCCCCACATAAAAACTAGAATGAAGTTATCTGTGAAATTGCTTTGGAATGTGTGGATTCACGTCACAGAGTTAATCCTTTCTTTTCATTCAGCAGCCTGGAAACACTCTTTATGTGGAGTCTGCGAAGGGATTTTGGAAGCCCGTTGAGGCCTAGGAGAAAAACTGAATATCTAAAGATAAAAACTAGGAAGAGCTATCTGTGAACCCACTTTGTGATGTGTGGATTCATCTCACAGAGGTAAGCCTTTCTTTGATATTGCAGATTGTAAGTACTCTTTCAGTACAATCTACAAAGGGATACTTTGGAGCCCAATGAGGCCTATAAGTAACAACAGATTATCCCCAATAAAAACTAGAAAGAATCTATCTGTGAAACTGCTTTGTGTTGTGTGGATTCTTCTCACTGAGTTAAACTTCTCTTTTCATCCAGCAGTTTGGAACACTCTATTTGGAGAACCTGTGAAAAGATTTTGGAAGCCCATAGAAGCCTGTAGGTAAAAAGCAAATATTGACAGATAAAAACTACAAAGAAGATATCTGTGAAACTGGTCTGCATTGTGTGGATTCATCTCAGAGAATTAAACATTTTTTTGGATCCAGTAGGTTTGAAACACACATTTTGGAGAATCTGCAAAGGGACAATTGGTAGCCCATTGAGGCCTGTAAGAAAAACAGAATATCCCCAGATAAAAACTACAAAGAACCTATCTATGAAACTGCTTTGTTTTGTCTGAATTCATCTTAGAGAGTTAAACCATTTTTTTTATCCAGCAGGTTGGAAACGCTCTTTTTGGAGAATCTGCAAAGAGACAATTGGGAGCCCTTTGAGGCCTATGGGGAAAAGCAAATATTTCCAGATAAAAGCTAGGAAGACTCTATCTGTAAAATTGCTTTGTGATATGTGGGTTAATCTCACAGAGCTAAACCTTTCTTTTGATTCAGCAGGTTGGAAACACTCTTTTTGTAGAATCTGTGACAAGATATTTGAGAGCCCATTAAGGCCTATGGGAAAAAACTGAATATCCCCAGATTAAAACTAGAAACAAGCTATCTGTGAAACTGCTTCTGAAGTGTGGATTCATCTCACAGAATTAAACCTTTCTTTTGATTCTGCAGTGTGGAAACACTGTTTTTGGAGTATACACAAGCAGACATTTTGTAGCCCATTGATCATTATGGTGAAAAACCGAATATCCCCAAATAAAAACTAGAAAGAAGCAAAGTGTGAAACTGCTCTGTGATATGTGCATTCCTATCCCAGAGTTAAATTTTTCCACTAATTCAGCAGGTAGGAAACACTATTTACGGAGAAACTGTGAAGGGACAGTTGGGAGACCATTGAAGTTATGCCCAGATAAACAGAATATGCCCAGATAAAAATTAGAGAGAAGCTATCTGTGAAATTCTTTTGTGATGTGTGGATTCGTCTTAAAGAGTGAAGCCTTTCTTTTGAGAATCTGTGAAGGGACATATTTAAGCCATTTGTGCATTATAAGAAAAACTTGAATATCCACAGATAAAAACTAGAAAGAACCTATCTGAGAAACTGATTTCTGTTGTGTGGATTCATCTCACAGAGTTAAACCATTCTTTTGATTCAGCACTTTGAAAACTCTCTTTCTGGAAAATCTGTGAGGGGACATTTGGGAGCCCATTTAGGCTAATGGGGAAAAATGGAATATCTCTATATAAAAACTAGAAAGAAGCTTTCCATAAAACTGCTTTGTGATGTGTGGATTCATCTCCTGAAGGCAAACCTTTCTATTCATTCCACCAGTTAAAAACACTATTTTTGGGGAATCTGCAAAGGGACATTTTGGAGCCCAATGAGACCACGGAGAAAAGCCAAATATCACCAGATTAAAAACTAGAAAGATGCTATTTGTGAAACTGCTTTGTAATGTGTGGATTCATCTCAGAGTTAAATTTTTCTTTTGATTCAACAGGTTGAAAACACTCTGTTTGTAGAATCTGCTAATGGACATTTGAGAGCTCATTGAGGCCTACAGGGAGAAACTGAATATCCTGAGATAAAAACTACAAAGAAGCTATCTGTGAAACTGTTGTTTCAAGTATGGAATTATTTCAAAAAGTTAAATCTTTCTTTTGAGTCAGTAAGTTGGAAATACTCTTTTTGGAGAACTGTGAAAGGACATTTTAAAATCCACTGTGGTCTATGGAGAAACCTGAATATCCCAAGATAAAAAGTAGAAAGAAACTGACTGAAACGACGTTGTGATATTTGTATTCATCTCACAGAATTAAACCTTAGTTTTGAATAAGTAGGTTGGAAACACTCTTTTTGCAGAATCTGAGAAGAGATATTTGGGAACCCATCAAATGCCTATGGGGAAAAACCAAATACCCCCAGATAAAAGTTAAAAGAGGTATCTGTGAAACTGCTTTTGTGAGGGGATTCCTCTCACAGAGTTAAAGTTTTCTTTTGATTCAGTAGGTTGGAAACACTCTTATTGGAAAATCTGTGAAGGGACATTTACTTGCCATTGAGGTCAAAGGGGAAAAAGTGTATATCCCCTGAAAAAAGCTAGAACGTAGTTATCTGTGAAACTGCTTTTGTAGGTGTGGATTCGTCTAACAGAATTAAAACTTTCCTTTGATTCAGAGCTTGGAAGCACAGACATTTGGAAGCCATGTGAAGGGACATTTGGAAGCCCATTGAAGCCGAGGAGAAAAACTGAATATCCTAAGATAAAAACTAGAAAGAAGCTTTCTTTGAAACTGCTTTTTGATGTGTGGATACATCACACAGAATTAAAACTTTGTTTTGATTCAGCAGAGTGGTAATCCTATTTTTGAGAATCTGCAAAGGGACATTTCAGAGCTAATTAGCCCTATGTGAAAAAAAAAGAATATTCCCAAAGCAAAACTAGAAAGAAACTATCTCTGAAACTGCTTTGTGATGTGGTGATTCTTCTCACAGAGTTAAACCTTTCTTGTGATTCAGCAGGTTGCAAACACTCTTTTTGGAGAATGTGTGAAAGGACATTTGGAAGCACATTGAGGTATATGGATAAAAAGGAAATATCCCCAGATAAAAACTAGAAAGAAGCTATCTGTGAAGCTGTTTTGTGATATGTGGATTTATCTCACAGAGTTAAACCTTTCTTTTGATTCAGCAGGTTGGAAACACATTTTTTGGAGAATCTCCGAAGGCACATTTGGGAGCCCATTGAGAGCTAAGGGGAATAATCGAATGTCCACAGATGAAAACTAGAAAGAAGTTATGTGTGAAACTGCTTTGTTCCATGTGGATTCCTCTCACAGAGTTAAATCTTCCATTGAGGCCTATGGTGGAAAACAAAATATCACAGATAAAACTAGAAAGAAGCTATCCATGAATCTGCTTTGTTATGTGTGGACTCCCATTACAGAGTTAAACATTTCTTTTCATTCAGCAGGGTGGAAACACACTTTTTACAGAATTTGTGAAGGGACATTTGGGAGTCCATCAGGGCCTAGGTGAAAAACTGAATATCCCCAGATAAAAATAGAAAGAAGCTACCTGTGAAACTGCTTTGCAATGTGTGGATTCATCTTAGAGAGTTAAAACTCTCTTTTGATTCACCAGCTTGGAACCACTCTTTTTGGAGGATCTGTAAGGGACGTTTAAGCAACCAACAAGGCCTACTTGGAACAACAGAATATCCCAAGATAAAAACTAGAAAGAAGCTATCTGTGAAACTGCTTTGTATTGTGTGGGTTCATCTCACAGAGCTAAACCTCCGTTTTGATTCAGCAGGTTGGAAGCACTCTTTTGGTAGAATATGTGAAGAGATACTTGGGCGCCCATTGAGGACTATAGAGAAAAACCAAATATCTCCATATAAAAGCTAGATAGAAGCTATTTGTGAAACTGATTTGTGATGTGTGAATTCAAATCACAGAGTTAAAACTGTTTTTTGCATCAGCAGGTTGGAAACACCCTTCTGATTGTATGTCAAGAGACAGTCTCTAGTCCACTGAGGTCTATGAAAATAAAATGAATGTCGCCAGATAAGAAGTAGAAAGAAGCTATATGAGAAACTGATTTGTGATTTTTAGATTCATCTCACAAAGTTAAAACTTTCTTTCAATTCAGCACGTTGGAAAGACTTTTTTTGGAGAATCTCTGAAGGGACAGTTGAGAGCCAATTGAGGCCTATGGCACAAAACTGAATATCCCCAGAAAAAACTAGAAAGAAACTATCTGTGAAACTGCTTTGTGATATGTGGATTTATCTCACAGAGTTCAACCTTTCTTTTGATTCAGAATGTTGGAAACACTCTTTTTGGAGAATCTGCGAAGAAACATTCTGGAGCCCATTGTCGCCTATGGGGAAAAACAGAATATACCCAGAAGAAAATTAGAAAGAGGCTATCTGTGTAACTGCTTTGTGATTTGTGGATTCATCTCAAAGAACTAACCCTTTCTTTTGATTCAGCAGGTTGGAAACACTCTTTGGAGAATCTGCAGAGAGACATTTTGGAGCCCAGTGAGATTTATGGGGAAAAACCAAATATCACCAGATAAAAACTAAAAAGAAACTATCTGTGAAACTGCTTTGTGATATGTGCATTCATCTCACAGACTTAAACTTTCCTTTTGACTCAGCAGGTAGAAAGCACTGTTTCTGGAGAATCCTTGATGGAATATTTGGGAGCCCTTGAGTCCTATGGAGGAAAATCAAATATCCCAAGAAAAAAAATTGAAATAAGCTGCTTAGTGATTTGTGGATTCATCTGACAGAGTGAAACCTTTCTTTTGATTCAGCATCTTGGAAACAATATCTTTGGAGCTCCTGTGAAGGGTCATTTTGGAACCCACTGGGGACTACGGGGAAAAACTGAATATCTCCAGGTAAAAACTAGATAGAAACTATCTGTGAAACTGCTTTGTGATGTGTGAATTCCAGTCACAGGGTTAAAACTATCTTTTGCTTCAGCAGGTTGGAATCACCCTTTCTGATTATATGTGAAGGGACAGTCTCTAGTCCATTAAAGTCTATGAAAAAAAAAGAAATGAATATCACCAGATAAGAAGTAGAAAGAAGCTATGTGAGAAACTGATTTCTGATTTTCAGATTCATCTCACAAAGTTAAAACTTTCTTTCAATTCAGAGCATTGGAAACACTCTTTTTGGAGAATCTGTGAATGGACATTTGGGAGCCCATTAGGCCTATGGGGAAAAACAGAATAACCCCAGATAAAAACTAGAAGGAAGCTACCTGTGAAAGTTTTTGTGATGTGTGGATTCACCTCACAGTGTTAAACCTTTCTTTTGATTCACCAGGTTGGAAACACTGTTTTTGTAGAATCTGCAAAAGGACATTTGGGAGCTCATTGTGGCCTATGGGGAAAAATCGAATACCCCAAGATAAAAACTATAAAGAATCTATCTGTGAAACTGTTTTCTGATGTGTGGATTCATCTCACAGAGTTAAGCCTTTCTTTTTTTCATTTTTATTATTATACTTTAAGTTTTAGGTTACATGTGCAGAACGTGCACACATAGGTTTATTGTGGCACTATTCACAATAGCAAAGACTTGGAACCAACCCAAATGTCCAACAATGATAGATTGGATTAAGAAGGCTCTCTTTTAATTAAGCAGATGGAAAACACTTTTTTTTGGAGAATCTGTGAAGGGACATTTGAGAGGTTATTGAGGTCTATAGGTAAAAAGAGATTATACTCAGATAAAAACTAGAAAGAAGATATTTTTGAAACTGCTTTGTAACGTGTGGATTCATATCACAGAGTTAAATTTTTGTTTTAATTCAACATGTTGGAAACACTTTTTTGTAGAATCTGTGAAGGGACATTTGAGAGCTTATTAAGGCCTATGGGGAAAAGGAGAATATACTCAGATAAAAACTAGAAAGAAGATATCTGTGAAAGTTCTTTGAAATGTGTGGATTCATATCACAGAGCCAAACCTTTCTTTTGATTCAATAGGTTGGAAATACTCTTTTTGGAGTTCTGCAAAGGGACATTTGGGAGCCAATTGAGGCCCATTTGGAAAAACCTAATATTCTCAGATAAAAACCAGAAAGGAGCTATCGGTGAAACTCATGCGAGATGTGTGGATTTGCCTCACAGACTTTAACCTTACCTTTGATTCAGCAGGTTGGAAACACTCTTTTTAAATGTCTGTGAAAGGACATTTTGGAGCCCATTGAGAACTATGGAGAAAAAACGAATATCCCCAGTAAAAAACTAGAAAGAAGCTATCCATAAAACTGCTTTGTGATATATGGATTCATCTAACACAGGTAAATCTTTCTTTTCATTCAGCAGGGTGGAAACACTCTTTTTGGTGAAAGTGCAAAGAGACATTTGGGAATCCATTGAAGCCCATCGGGAAAAACTGAATATCCCCAGATAAAAACTAGAAAGATGATATCTGTGAAACTACTTTGTGATCTGTGGAATCATGTCGCAAATTAAACCTTTCTTTTGATTCATTAGGAAACACTCTTTTTGGAGAATACATTTGCCAGCCAAAAGAGACCTATGGTGATAAACCACAATTCCTCAGATAAAAACTAGAAAGAAACTGTGTAACTGCTTTTTGATTTGTGGATTCATCTTACACAGTTGAACTTTCCTTTTTATTCAGTGGGTTGGAAACACTCTTTTTGTAGAATCTGTTAAAGGACATTTGGGAAACCATTTAGGCCTATAGTGAAAAATCGAATATCCACTGATAAAAACTAGAAAGAACTTATCCGTGAATCCTCTTTGTGATGTGTGGATTCATCTCACAGAGGTAAAGTTTTCTTTTGATTCAGCAGGTTGCAAAAACTCTTTTTATGGAATCTGTGAAGGAACATTTGGGAATCCAATGAGGCCTATGGGGAAAACATGAATATACCCAGATAAAAACTGGGAAGAAACTATTCGTGGAACTGCTTTGTGATGTGTGTACTCATCTCACAGAGTTAAAACATTCCTTTGATTCAGCAGTTGGGAAACACTCTTTTTATAGAATACACGAATGGATACTTGGGAGTCAATTGAGCGTAGGGGAAAAACACAATATCCCCAGATAAAAGCTAGAAAGAAGTTATCTGTGAAACTGCTTTGTGACATTTGGATTTATCTCAGAGTTAAAATTTTCTTTTGATTCAGCAAGTTTGAAACACTCTTTTTGTAGAATCTGTGAGGAGACATTTGGGAGCCCTCTGAGGCCTATGAGGAAAAACCAAATATCCTCAGACAAAAACTAGAAAGAACCTATCTGAGAAACTCCTTTGTGATATGTGGATTCAGCTCAGAGAGTTAAAGTATTATTTTGTTTCAGCAGGTTGGAAACACTCTTTTTGGAATATGCAAAGGGACATTCTGCAGTTCATTGAGTAATAAGGGAAAAAAGGGGTATTCCCAGTTAAAACTAGAAAGTGGTTAGTTATCCATGAAACTGCTCTGTGGTGTGTGGATTCATCTCACAGGGTTAAAACTTTCTTTTGATTCAGCAGGGTAAAGACACACTTTTTGAAGAATCTGTGATGTAACATTTGGGAGCCCATTGAGGCCTATAAGGAAAAACTACATATCCCCAGATAAAAACTAGAAAGGCGCTATCTGTGAATCTGCTTTTTGATGTGTCGATTCATCTAACTGAGTTAAAACTTTCATTCAACACAGCAGGTTGGATACACTGTTTTTGGAGAATGTGCAAAGGGACATGTGAGAGCCCATTGAGGCCCATGGAGAAAAACAGAATATCCCCAAAGAAAAACTAGAAAGAAAATACCTGTGGAACTGCTTTGTGATATGTGAATTCATTTCAGAGCATTAAACCTTTCTTTTGATTCAGTAGGTTGGAAAAACTGTTTTGGAAAATCTGCAAAGGGACATTTGGGAGTCCATTGAGCACGATAAGGTAAAATCAAATATTTCCAGATGAAAACTAGAAAGAAGCTATTGGAGAAATTAGATCATGATGCATATATTCACCTCACAGAGTGAAACCTTAATTTTGATACAGTAGTTTGGAAACACTCTTTTTAAAAGATAAGGGAAGGGATAATTGGGAGCCCATTGAGG